>NC_000012.12:99884370-100187400 GCF_000001405.40 Homo sapiens | reverse complement strand
TGGCATTGCTTGGTCTATGGCTGGCTTGCTGTAATCTCTGCTTCCCTGGCCACATTGCCATCTCCTCTTCTGCAGTTGAATCTAGGCCCACTCCTGAGATAACAGCGTTAATCCATTCGTGAGGACTGAGCCTTCATGGCCTAATCACCTCTTAATGGTTCCACCTCTTAATACTATCACAGTGACAATTACATTTCAACATGAGTTTTGGAGGGGACGTTCAAACCATAGCAAATGACCTCTGGCTTGCAGGCCTGCCACCTGATAGATTCCCCATTTGGCCTGCCTTCTTAGTTGTGTGTTTGTACTTCATTGTAAAAGTCATGCATGTGTATAAAAAGAAAAATCAGCCATTGCTGAGGGGTGCACAGTTAAAAGTGAAAGTCCTTCTAAGTCCACTTCCCAGAAGTCACCACTAGAACTGAAATTGGTTATGTATGCACCCTGAAATTTGCTCGGTGTATATGTGATCTACACAGAGGGATCATGCAGTATCCACTGTTTTAGTGTATAGCTATTTCAGTGACTTAGAATTCCACTCACTCTTCCTTCAAACACAGTTTCTCTATATTTACCATGTCATGAGGCCCACTTATGCCAAAGCTGTGCTCTTACCTGCAGGTGAGTCAGGAGGGGTTAGCAATGGCGGGGAGTGTAGGGCCACTTGCCATGCCCCTTTGAACTGGGGCATTATATAGGCACTTATCTGGAATGTCTTAACTTGTTAGTCTTTATTAGAGCTCTTGTTCTAACAGAGTTCAGTTATATGAATGCGCCCTAATTTAACCAGTTTCCTAGCCACAGACATCTGCTTGTTTCTACTTTTTTTTGTCATTTCAAATAGCATTTTTGTGGTATCCTTGTGTGTGTATATATGTATATATATATATATATATCTCTGTCCTTGTGAGAATATATTTGAGGAATTAATTTGTGGAGGAGGAAATACTGAGTCAACTTTATTGGGATGGCTACAGAGGAAACTCCCCCAACAACCTCCTCCCTGGACCCCCAACCTTTGTTTCCCTCAACAGGGCTTGTAGTCTGGAGGGAGGGAGGGAGCTGGCAGCAGTGGTAGCCTACCTCCCTCCCGTACACGAAGTCCTGGCAAGTGCAAACCCTCTGCCTCTGCCATGTCATCCCACTGCTGAAGAGGTTGTGGTGTTGCCTAAAATGTGGCTGTGCAGGCAGTTTGTGGAGGAGTTAACTCGGAAGAGATTTGATGGAACATTTCCCAACAATTCTGTCAACTCGTAAATTCTGGCTGGTTATCAGAATTCAAACGCATGTCAAAAAACGCATATCAAAAAAATTATTACTGTTTTAGTTAAGACATTTTTAAACTGTTCAGACTTCCGTCTGAAATATGTAAGCTTAGAAAGCAGTTTTCTTAAGGATGACAGCGATCGCTGATATTTGTTTAAAAAAAGCTCAGGCTGAACACAGCCCCTACTAAGGTGCTGTTTTGCTGCTTGCTGGAACTTTCTATTTCAGAGCAGCTGAGTGTTTATAGGTGGGCACCTAGCACAATGCCTGGGAGAACACAGAAGGCCCTCTCAAAGATCTGTCAAATGAGATTGGGATCTTTAAACAGCAGATACTGCCATAGAACAGACTCTAACACCAGCTTAAAAAATAGCCTCATTTAAACCAGCTGTGAGCTCCGCAGTAGAATGCACAGGCAGGACACATGGTTACCACCGAGGCCTCTGTGGGCCAGAGCAGATGGGGTGAGTGTGTCTGAAAAGTCTGCACCCTAATGACCCCCTTGTTGCCCAGTCCCAGAATTGGGTTTCGCCACAAAAGAGCTAAAACAGGAATTGGCTATATAGTGTTTCAGTTTCTGGAGGCTTTCACTTTGAGCCTGATTCCATTTCTCTGTTACCCAGGGCTTGGCAAGTGGCACCGCACCCCCAGCAGGTTAGAGCACAGCTTTGTGTGAGTCGGCTTGTGACAGGCTGGAAACACAGAACCACTGTGGGAGGAAGGAGGGTGTGTGGCAGTTCTAAGTCACTGAAATTGCTGTTCTTTCTCCCCAGGCCATGTGGGGTGTCACTGTTCTTACTCCTCTTTCCTGCATTCCCCCTTTAGGAAGCAGAGCCAAGGAGCACAGTTTGATGGCTAGGGCAAGTGGCAAGGAGAATTGAATTCCTAAAATTGATGGTGTTAGTAGTCACATACCACCTAAGAGAAGGCTGTTGTGAGATCCTTGCCATAGGCAGGGCCACTGAAACGTCGTGGTACACTGAGTCCAGCGGCGTGTCAAAAAAACGAGCAAAAGTAAAGTAAGCATTTGTGAGAGTTTTCTTCCTGAGCAGCTATTTTGAAATAGCTTTCTCTACACTTTTATAATTTTTTATAATTTTTATAAAATCAGACTTTATACAGTATCTTGCTCATTAGGTCACATGGGAATTGACTAGAATCCTTTTATGCAGTGTTTTATGAAGATGTGTGGCACAATGCCAGGCTCTGGAAGAGACTTAGGAAATAAATAGCATGTGCAAGATGCTTTATGTTGTTGACCAGCTCCCTCTTGGTCCTAGGTAAATAAGCCATGAGAAAGTGAATATAGGTTCTAAACAGTGACTCTTTGTTAAAGCAGTTAGCAAAAGGTTATACATTCACATGTTGTAACAGTGTGATGAGAACATAAGTGTGTTATATAATTTCTCTTCATTCTTCTGAATGTTTAAAGTACAAGTAAAAAGGAAACACGATATGCTTTGAAAAACACATTGAGGGGTGGGGTGTGGTGGCTCACGCCTGTAATCCCAGCACTTTGGGGGGCCAAGGCAGGCAGATCACGACGTCAGGAGTTTGAGACCAGCCTGGCCAACATGGCGAAACCCTGTCTCTACTAGAAATACAAAAATTGGCTGGGGGTGGTGGCAGGCGCCTGTAATCCCAGCTACTGGGGAGGCTGAGGCAGGAGAATCACTTGAACCCAGGAGGTGGAGGTTGCAGTGAGCCAAGATCACACCACTGCACTCCAGCCTGGGCAACAAGACTGAAACTCCATCTCAAAAAAACAAAAACAAAAACAAAAAACCACACACATTGAGAAATGACTATTTTACATGAGAATATCATCTGCCTGATTCAAACTAGAGATGAAACCACCTTTTCCCTCCTTATGTTTAATCTACCTCAGAAAACACCACATTATACATTTCTTCCTCTTCTGTGTTTATTTGCATGTTTATTTTAGTAACTTCATTGAGGTATAATTTACCTCCAATAAGTTCACTTATTTTAGGTGAATAGGCTGATGAATTTTAGAAATTATACACATTGATGTAAACACCTCCACAATCAAGATAAATAGAACATTTCCATCACCTTTAAAAATGCCTTCATGCTCTTTTGCAGTTGATCCCTTCCCTTAATCCCTGGCCCTGGGCAACCTCTGATCTGCTTTCTGTCATTATAGCTTTGACTTACAAAAATTTTATATAAATGGAATCCTACTCAATGTAGTCTCCTGTGTGTCTTCTTTTTTTTTTAATTTTTTTTTATTTTTTGAGATGGAGTCTCGCTCTGTCACCCAGGCTGGAGTGCAGTGGTGCAATCTCGGCTCACTGCAAGCTCTGCCTCCCGGGTTCACACCATTCTCCTGCCTCAGCTTCCCCAGTAGCTGGGATTACAGGCACCCACCACCAAGCCCGGCTAATTTTTTTGTATTTTTTAGTAGAGACGGGATTTCACCGTGTTAGCCAGGATGGTCTCGATCTCCTGACCTCGTGATCCACCTGCCTTGGCTTCCCAAAGTGCTGGGATTACAGGCGTGAGCCACCGCACCCGGCCTGTGTGTCTTCTTTCACTGAACCTTTTGGAGACTTATTTATATTGTTTGGTGTTTTCTTATTTCATCCCTTTTATTGCTGAGTAGTATTCAATAAGTACAGCTCTATGAAGTAAGAGGATATAAGCATATGTGTGTGTGTGCATATAAGTAGGTGGTTCATGTGAGCATGTCTCTTCCTCACCACTCCACTTACTGACTGCTCAAATGAATTAATTTAAGATGTCTCTTCATCTTTTGACAGTTTAACTTTTAAAATTTGACTATTCCTTTATTTCTTTTGCAAATTAAGGTTATACTTACAACTTTAAATATTATTTATATTAAGCAATTTGGTTATCATATGCCTTGATACAGTTTTCTTCATGATTCCTGTGCTTGAAGTTTGTTGAGCTTCTTTGATCTGTGAGTTTATAGTTTTCATCGAATTTGGAAAATTTTTTGGTCATTATTTCTTCATATACTTTTATTCCATCTCCTCCCTTTCTCCTCTCCTTCAGTGACTGGCTCATTTGTCCATCCATCCTTCCTTCCTTTGTTTCTTTTGTCTTTTTTTCTGTTTCATTTTAGGTCATTTCTATTGCAGGGTCATCAAATTCACTGGTCTTTCCTTCTACAATGTCTAGTCTGCTCTTATTCCTATTTAGCATATTTTTCATCATAGGCATTGTAGTTTTACCTTTGGAAATTTGATTTAAGTCTGTTTTTAAAAAAATATCTTCCATGTCTCTAAGATGTTCATTTTTTTTTTCTAGCTCTGAGAACATGAAGAATACAGTTAGAACTTTTAGAGTCCCTGTCTGCTAATGTTATCATTTGTTGTTTCTGGCCTGTTTCTGTTGATTGATTGTTTTCCTCATTATGAGTTATACTTCCCACTTCTTGCATGCCTGGTCATTTTTAAAATTGGATATCAGCTATTGTGAATTTTACCTTTTTGTGTGCTGGATTTTTTGGTGTTGCTATAAATATTCTTGAGCTTTGTTCTTGGATGTATTAAATTACTCAGAAACAGTTTGATCCTTTTGAAGTTTGCTTTTAAGCTTTGCTAGGTAAGATGAGAGTAGGCTTTAGGGATATTGTTGGTAGCCTTTCTGAGTACTCTTTCGGATGCCCTGTGAATTATGAGGTTTTCCACTCTGTCTGGTGAGACTAGGCACTATTTCTGGTCCTGTGTGAGGCTCTGGGATTGTTTCCTTTGCTTCTCGCAGGGGGTTCTTTCTCTGTTCTCAGATAGCTTTCTTACATGCAAACCCTGATCAGTACTCAGTTGGAGATTAGGGGGACCGTCTAAGATCTCTGCAACACTCCCTCTGTGCAGCCCCCTTCTCTTTATTACTCTGCTCTGTCAGCTGCAGCTGCCTTGAGACTCCCCACTCTATCTTCTCAGCTCAGAGAGATGCTGGGCTCCTCCTGGGTGCCCCTTGCCTGCACCCTGGCCTGGAAACTGTCCCCGGACAGTAAGGTGGTCTTACCTCATTGGCTTTCTCTCTCTCAGGATCACTATCCTTTGCTGCCTGATGGCCAATGACCGAAAACCACAGTTTCTATACTTTTTTCAGTTCTTTAGTTTTCACGGCGGAAGGTAAATCTAGTTCCTTTTATTCCGTCTTCACCGGAAACAGAAATCCCAACCTAGTTTTTAAAACTTTTAATGAAATATTTTTAGCACACGGGCAAGTATATTGATTACTCAGATAGCCATGACTCATTTTTATAGTTTTGTCATTTTTCCACTGCATTTTTAAAAACAAAACATTACAGATACAATTAAAATCCTCTCTTCTTTTTTTTTTTTTTTTTTTTTCCAGACAGAGTCTCATCCTGTTGCCCAGGCTGGAGTGCATTGGTGCAATCTCGGCTCACTGCAGTCTCCATCTCCCGGGTTCAAGCAATTCTCCCATCTAAGCCTCCCTAGTAGCTTGGATTACAGGCATGCGCCCCCACACATGGCTAATTTTTGTATTTTTAGTAGAGATAGGGTTTCACCATGTTGGCCAGGCTGGTCTCAAACTCCTGACCTCAAGTGATCTTCCCACCTCAGCCTCCCACAGTGCTGGGATTACAGGCGTGAGCCACCGTGCCCAGCCAAATCCTCTCTTATTAATCCTATTCTTCTTTCCCTTTACAGAGGTAGCCAATATTCTGTATTTGATTATTGTCATTCATGTGTGGATTTTAAAAAATAGTTTTACTACATATGTATGTATCTATAAATAGTCTCTATTAACAGTATTATCTGAAGACATAAAACAGTATCATGCTGTACCTATAATTCTTCCATTTTCTTTCACTTTTCATTCAGCATTTAAAAAATATTTATCCCTATGATACAGATAGCTTTAGCTGAAATGTGCATTCCACAAGAACAATAATCTTGCTATGTTTTGTTCACTAGGATATTCCAAGCATCTAGATAGTGTCTGGCATGTGGTAGGCTCAATCAACATTTGTTGAATGAATGAGTTCATTTTAAGTGCTGTATAGTACTTGACTATATGAATATGCCACAGTTTATTCTCCTGTTGATGAATGTTTAGCTTGTTGTACCTTTTTTTTTTTTTGTAATATGAACAGTGTTACAGTGAATGTTCTTGTTTGTGTCTCCTTGTGCACGTATGTAAGGATTTATTTTAAGAAATACTGGGTGTTAGGGGCAGGCGCCTCTCCAACTTAGCAGTACCTTGCTGAGTTACTCTCCATGGTAATATTATCAATTTATACTCCCACCAGCAGTGTATAAGAATGCCAATTTCTCCATATTCTCACCAACATTTGATATTATCAGATATTTTAATTTTTGCCAATCCTATATACATAAGATTACGTTTTGTTTTACTTTTGTTTTTGTTAATAACACATATCATTTTTCCCAATAGAAATTTGATGTCTTCTTTCCATCCTGGGAATGGACATAATGATAGTCGGAGGTCTGTGTTTTATGCCAATGAAAAGTGGGAATTTTTAGACCCAACCCCTAAGGACCTAGAGGAGTCCATAGTACAGGAAGAAAAGAAGGAGCCAACCCCTGAAGGAAACAAAGGTATCAACACACTTCCTGTTGTCTGTCATTCTCTCTACTGCCATCTGTTAACCACCAGTGATGTGGGAGGCACTTTATTAGCAGGTATTTCTAGAAGCATAAGGCCTAATTGGGGCTTGCGTTTCCTTTATGGGACTTAAAACATAAAGGCTTGGCAAATTATTTAATAAATGTTATAAGAAATAAATGACTGTCTAGTCCAATGGCTCAAAATTTTTTGGGAAATAAAACACTTGGAAGTCATGATCCTCTTTATGGAAATATTGATTTTAAAAAACTGTATAGTTAATATAAATGATCAGGGCCAGGTGCGGTGGCTCATGCCTATAATCCCAGCACTTTGGGAGGCCGAGGTGGGTGGATCACTAGGTCATGAATTTGAGACCAGCCTGGCCAACATGGTGAGACCCTGTCTCTACTAAAAATACAAAAATTAGCCAGGCAGGAGAATTGCTTGAATCCGGGAGGCAGAGGTTGCAGTGAGCCGAGATTGCGCCACTGCACTCCAGCCTGGGCAACAGAGCGAGACTCTTCCTCAAAAAAAAAAAAAAAAAAAAAATTTTGTCTTTAGAAAACTCATCAAATTAAGATTGATAATTCAGAATAACATTGGATTTTTGTTATTTGAGTAATATTATATGACTGGCATTTTGGGAAAATCATTCATTTCATTCTTTCTGTATCAGGCACATTTAGAGTTTATGACCTGGTTCTGTGTGTAATCTTATTCTTCAGATTCCCAATGCACAGTTTTTGCTTGTCTGTAGATGCTGTTGTTATTATGACACACATAATAGGTGTGTCCATTAGGGTAGGGTAGGGTAGGGTCCATTGGAGTCACCGTAGCTATTTATTCAAATAGGATCTTTCCAGAAGCATGTATTATAGATACTATTTGATATTGAATCTTTATTAAAAATTGTTTTAATGGTTAATAGATATTGTGAACTGCCACTGTATGTTCAGTTGGTTACCTTTTGCCCTCATTTATTCTACTCCAACAACCGGCCTAGGTTCTGTTCTTCAAACCTACAAGGCATGCTCCTATCTCAGTAACCTTTACAATTGCTGTTCTTTCCATCTGGAATGCTTTCTCCACATATCTGCATAACTGACTTCCTATCTGCCTTCAGATCTTTGTGCAAATGTCATCTTAGGGAAGTATTTTCTGATCGCCCTAGTTATAATTGCAACTTAAATCTCCTACTTCTTGTCCCTCTTTTCTACTTAATTTTCTCCTTAGCAACTATCACTATCTGGCAGGCCCTATATTTCACTGCCTCATTGTCTTCCTCCCCTTTCCTAGAATATTAGTTTCATGAGAGTAGGAACTGTATCCACCTAGTTGCCTACTCAATACATTATACCTAAGACAGTACCTGGAGTAAAGCAGATACTAAACTATTTGAGTGAATGAAAAAACAAAAAAACAGGAACGAGTGAGTGAATGGATGAATAAAAATATAAATGGTTGAAAACATATATGAATAAATATGTAGATGAAAAATACTCTAAGGCCAGATGTGGTGGCTCACGCCTATAATCCCAGCACTTTGGGAGACCAAGGCAGGCGGATCATGAGTTCAGGAGTTCGAGACCAGCCTGGCCAACATGGTGAAACCTGTCTCTACTAAAAATACAAAAATTAGCCAGGTGTGGTGGTGGCGTGTGCCTGTAGTCCCAGCTACTCAGGAGGCTGAGGCAGGAGAATCGCTTGAACTCAGGAGGTAGAGGTTGCAGTGAGCTGAGATTGCGCCACTGCACTCCAGCCTAGATGACAAAGTGAGATTCCGTCTCGAAACAAACAAACAAAAATACTCTGATAACAACCTGTATTTTTTTGCAGTAGAAATAAGATAACCCATTAAAAAATTGAGTTTTTAGATATAGATAATTTTTTGCTTGCCTGCCTGGCAATATTTAAGTTAAGTTGGTATCCAATGTTATTTAGCTACAGTAATGTTTGGAGTGCTATAAAATTTGTAATCAAATACATTTGTTACTTTTTAAAAAGTTTATTATCTGTGAGAAAAGAATAGTTTTCAAGTTTTTATAGAATTAAGCAATACATGGGACAGAATTTTTTTTTTTTTTAAGACAGAGCCTTGTTCCATCGACCTTGCTGGATGGAGTGCAGTGATGCAATCATGGCTCACTACAGCCTCCTGGGCTCAAGCACTCTTCCCACCCCAGCCTCCTGAATAGCTGGGACCACAGGCACACCACCACAGCTGGCTTATTTGTTTATTTTTATTTTTTTGTGGAGACAGAGTCTCCCTGTGTTGCCCAGGATAGTCTCAAACTCCTGGGCTCAAGCAAATCCTCCTGCCTTGGCCTCCCAAAGGCCTGTAAGTGCTGGTATTATAGTCGTAAGCCGCCACACCTGGCTGAGAAATCTTAATTCTTTCTGATAATATGTCAAGTATCCCTTTATCACCCCAATAATGTTTATGCAGTCTGGCTAGATTTATAGTGATGAGAGCTCTTTTTTGCACATAAATCCTAGGGGTATAGGAAGTCTGACTTTCAAATCAATAGAGTAACTAAAATATTTTAGAGCCACTTAAATAGATGACTGCACTGGTAGGTGTGAGACTCATCAGTCCATCAGAGCCATAGTAACTGTATATTGGAGAAATTGGAACCGCTTTATCTCTGGATAGCCCTGGGCTGCTGCTTACCTGCTAATTTTGAGTTTCAGTGCAGTTAATAGATTGGGAGTTTGGAAGAAAGCTTAGCTTTCCTCATTGAAAACTTTAAAAGGCAGATGGTCTGACTCCTCCAGACCCCTCAACCCACACCAATATTGCATACAACCCTCCACCTACATACATATGTGCACAGCCTAGATAAAAAATTAGTTGTACGCTGCATGATACTGAACATAATGAAGCTACTAGATTGTGACTTTCTGAGGACCTGCTTGGTTCTGAGTTTTCTTCTCCTTTTCAAGTAGTCTGGAGATTATGGTTTCACATTAGGGTAATTCATCTAACAATAACTGTTTTGCCAAAATCTGCTTTTTTGCATTGGACAAGTGCTGCACTTACTTTATTCTATACTGTGTGCTGTGTTTATCGCTTTTATCTTTGTATTCTTTGCATCTGTAGCATGTTTGCTGGTGGTTTGTTTTCTCTTTGCTATTTTGACCAGTTGACACATTGGAGATTTTCTCATCTGTAAGAAACTATTTTTAAAAGTTTATGTTCCATCCCCTTTTCTTTCCAACTTAATGCACTAAGCATCACTTTTTTGTTTCTTTTTGGCTTTTTTTTTTCTTTTTGTGGAGAACGGGGTCTCTTGCTTCTAGGATTCTAACATATTTGCACCTTATGGTTTCTACTCTTTGATAAATTTTCAAGTTTGTGTCAGAAGCCATAGCCTTTATCTTGTACTTCCAGGCAAATATTATAATTCCTTATTTTTCAACAGTTTCACAAAGGCTGAAAAATTTGCCTCATACTTCCCTCAAAGCCAAACAGTTGCTTCAAACTTCATCTACAAATAGAGGTAAGTACTAAGTTTAAAGTTCAGCAGATGATCTAATTCAGTCTTAAGCCTTTTGACATACTGAGTCAGTGGTGTCTGTAATATAACATGTTTTAGTCTTTTTAAAAAAATAACAATAGGCCAGGCGCTGTGGCTCACGCCTGTAATCCCAACACTTTGGGAGGCTGAGGTGGGTGGATCATGAGGTCAGGAGATCAAGACCATCCTCGCTAACACAGTGAAACCCCGTCTCTACTAAAAGTAGAAAAAATTAGCTGGGCATGGTGGCACGTACCTGTAATCCCATCTACTCAGCAGGCTGAGGTAGGAGAATCGCTTGAACCCGGGAGGCAGAGGTTTCATTGAGCCGAGATTGCGCCACTGCATTCCTGGGCAACAGAGCGAGACTCTGTCTCAAAAAAATGAATAAATAAAAAATTTTAAAAAGCAATAAAATAATGAGAATTTATTATGTTATTTGGGTAAATCCAGAAGAAACATTTTCTACAGAGGTATGTATTGGGTTGTTTTTCTGAAAGGAGTAAGTGATATATAGAGAATTTATTTTTGTTACCAACTTAAAACTAAAGGTCATTGTTTCAACTTTATGCCAACTGAAATTCATAAGTGCTTTAAAATGAACTTTATATATACATTTTAATGGACTCGAGCAAGCATTTTTGGACTGATTTCATAGAAGTAGAATTTCTGGAGGAAAATAATATAAAACAGTTTTAGGGATTTTAATAGAAATTTTCAAATTATCCTGCAGGAAAATTGGTTCAGTTTATACTCCCACCAACAGTGACAGAGCTCCAGTTTCCTCCTTCCATCTGTCATCTTTGCTGGTCTTTAAGCAGACAATATTGTTTTCATTACATTTCTTTGGTTTCTAGTGCTTTTGGATCTTTTTTACGTGCTTACTGGCCATTTTTATTTTTGTAGGAAGTGCCGGTTTCTCCATTGCCCACTTTCTGTTGGAAATCATTTGTTTTTTTCTGAGTAATTTTATAAAATTATAAAATATTTTATCTTTTTTTATCATTTGTCTTTTTCTGAGTAACTTTAAAGATTTCTTTATAAGCTAAGGATACAAACCTTTTATCTGTCATTGAAGTTACAAAAACTTTTTCCCAGTAAGTAATTTGTCATTTTGCTGTATTTTTTCTTTGCTTTTTGCTAGCCAAACTCCAAAGTCACATTTTACTTAATTTTTATCCTGCTGAATGAAAGCATTTTAACTTAGTGATTTTAGTGTAAACAGGAGCAGGACAGAATGTAATTATCTAGGTCTCGTTCTGTCACCCAGACTGGAGTGCAGTGGCATGATCATAGCTACTGCAGCCTCAAACTCTTGGGCTCAAGGGATTTTCCCGCCTCAGCCTCCCAAGTAGCTAGGACTACAGGTGTGTGCCACCACGCTCTGCTAATTTTTAAAATTTTCTGTAGAGATATGAATTCGCTATGCTGCCCAGGCTGGTCTTGAACTCCTGAGTTCAAGTAATCCTCCCACCTTGGCTTGCCAAAGTGCTGGGATTACATGTGTGAACTACTGCTCCTGGTTGAGAGTTTACTTTTGTTTGCTAGTGGTGTTCTTGGTATCTTTTCACATTTGAGGCTTTGGTGCTAGTGCTGAAGTATTACACTCACCATCTAAGGTTTACAGGGCTTGTGTTTTAATATCGAACAGATGAAACTGTTCTGCATCTTTGCAGGTATACAAAATGTGCCTACCAGGACTCTCCTTTGTATCCATTGAAAGCAAGAAGTAATAGAGTAAAATTTTGCCTGGCTAGAGGCTTTGAAAGAATGGAGTATTCTGGTTTAATTCTATTAACTTAGAATTATGAAGGTGAAAAAATTTCAAAACTTTTAATTTCATGTTGAATGCAATTTGAAAATATAACCAATGATTCCATTTTTTTTCTAATAAGTTTGGACATTCAGATCTACTTGATCTTTTATTATAGAACTCCTACTGTGCCTGAGACTTACATTGTGAAGATCCTTTTCTAAAACTTTAGATGTAAGAGGATGTAAATGGTATTGTGTGAGATCAGGCTGGATGAGAACTGTTACCTGTAAATACACTTTTTAGACTAAATCTCTGATTGCCACTTGTTTTCTAATTTAACTCATAAAAATAAAACACATTGGATGGAGGGTGGAAGTAGGAAGGAGATTTATGTCTTTTAATTGCATGTCATTGTTTCATATCAAGACAGAACATATAGCATCCCTGGCTTTGGACCTACAGAAGGAAACACATTTTTCTACCTGCTGTATGCCAGAGGTTCTTGAACACCTGGAGGGTTTATTGAAGCACAGATTGCTGGGCCCTACTCCAGAGTTTCTGATTCATCACTTCTAGGGTGGGGCCTGATAATTTGCATTTGTAAAAAGTTCTTAGCTGCTGCTGGTCCAGAGACTACATTTTTGAGAACCACTCTTGTACACTAACTAACTACAAATTGTAGAACTCTAGAAAAAAGCTTAGTTTGGTTTGGGATAAGAAGCACAAAGGTTATGGATCAAATCATGAAAGCTTCAACCATTGATACCAACCTAGTGTGGAATTCACATAACAAGCAATACACAATGACATAACACAGTTCTTGGTTTTCATGATTGTAAGTCATAGCCAACTATTGAGTGAGAAATTCAGATTCATTTACAAGGTTTAGAGATTCCAGGTGATTCTAGAAAAATAGAATTTAGTGATTAACCCCATGAGAGTAGGAGTTATTTATGTCCTTTTTCTCTCCCCTATCACTTAGCATTTAGCCTTACTTTAGAAGGGCCCTGTATTTGCTTTAAACTGTTAAGGAGCTTTGAATGCTTATTAAATTGAAAGCTTTGTTTATTTATTTATTTATTTATTTATTTAATTTATTTTTGTGAGTTGGAGTCTTGCTCTGTCACCCAGGCTGAAGTGCAGTGGCGCGATCTCGGTTCACTGCAACCTCTGCCGCCCGGGTTCAAGTGATTCTCCTGCCTCAGCCTCCCATGTAGCTGGAATTACAGGTGCCCACCCCACCACACCTGGCTATTTTTTGTATATTTTGTAGAGACAGGGTTTCACCATGTCAGCCAGGCTGATCTCGAACTCCTGACCTCAGGTGATCCACCTGCCTCAGTGTCCTAAAGTGCTGGAATTACAGACGTGAGCCACCATGCCCAGCCCAAAAGCTTTATGTTTTTAAAGATATTAGACATGTTTCTTGTGTAAAAAAAAATCTTAACAATAATGTAGGAGAATAAGAGAAACTTTTTCCAAAAAAGAGAAATCACTATGATTATTTTGTCTCATTGGAATGTTGGATAACGTAGTCTGCTTCATTAATCATCAAGCGTGCTATGGATTTTTCCATTTTTACAGGATTTGTACCTCAATTGATGGAATATTGGTAATTCTTCTACTCCATTTGAAGATGAAAAATAAAGGCCAAAATCATAGGCCTGGCACAGAAGCTGGATAATGAAGACAGCTCCGGAGGAACACATAGATACACACACATATAGACACACACATATATAAAGTACACAGACATATTATTTTTAAAGTTTATTTTTTAAAGTTTTAAAGTTTCTAAAATGAAAGCTGGCCCTGCCTCTCTCCCAGAGTGAGCGGAGACAGCGGTTGCATGAGCAGCTTTCCTTGTGAGGCCACAGGTCCCTCTGGACACGCTGCTGCCTGACCATGCCTCCTTTCCCTTTCAGCTTTCTCATAGACCAATGGGCTTGGAGCATTAAGGCCATACCCCTATTATGCATTCTAGTGCGACCTTGTTTACACCTCCCCTGGCTCAGTCACACAGCTGTGTGGTAGGCTACTAGAAGTGTTTAGTAGTTGTCACTGGGATCATGCTGATGTGGCCCCATCCCCGCCTCTCCCTGCCCTGTGATATCGGAGGAAACCTGACAGAGCAAATTGGCCATGGCCAAGAAAAAGGTAAATGCACCAGGTTGTGGCCCACCGTCCCAGGCTCCCTCCAATGGCAGGACTGCTGCCAGAGTCTGTGGCACTCCTGAGGCACACTGGGCTGGGCCCCACCCAGTGCCTCTGGGCTCCCCCAACCAAAATCTTGTCAGCCAGCCCCTCCCCCTCAGCAGCCCAGCCTCTGCCCTCACCAGTCGCACCAGGGTGACTTTGGGTGGGTGACTTCTGGGGCTCCCTGCTCCATACTCAGTCTTCACCTTCTGCTGCCCCAAGCCTGACCTCCCTGGGGTCTTTGGGCTGACATCTCCAAGGTCCTGGGTCCTGGCCCTGCACCCACCTCCCACATCTCAAAGTGGTGACTCGGGCCTCATGCTGATAGCCAGCCCCCACCCCAGGGAGGAGTAAAATATAGTGACATCACAGTCCCCCTAGGAACTGTCATTACTGCCACGAGACTGGCCTTTGATCTTAGGACCCAGTCCACTAAGTGTTCTCACCCTGCTTCTGGTTCCTCTGGTCACAGCACAGATTTCCAGCTGGAAGGGGAATGGGGACTATGGGATCTAGGAACGAAAGGTTTCAAGCTGCCTTACTCCCTTAGCATAGACATTGACAATGTGAAAAGCCCACACTTTCCCCATGAGCTCAAAACGTTGACAGTGTCTCTGGGTAGCAATAGGAGAATGGGTTTGGTTTGTTTTTCTCCCAGACTTCTACTCTCCAGAGAGTTTAGCTTTTTTTTTTTTTTTTTTGAGTTTTCCACCTCATATTCGAATTCTCCATGGTTCTGGGACCAGAATGCCCTTCAATCAGTGGTCTCTGGAGTAAGATCTGCTTATCTCCTGTGGAACAGATCTTGGGAAATTGAATTTGACAGTTTGAATCTTCCTAATATCATCTCAACCTAGGGTACTTTGAGTGCCTGGGGTTGTTGCTTCTTGGGGAAGTGCTAGCCTGACTAGTTGTCAGGAGCCCTGTATTTTTACCTTGATTGAGTCCCTAATTTGTTCTTTGATTCTGAACAAGCCACCTCTTCTCCTTGGGCTTGCATTTCCTGAGGAGGTAAAGTTAGAGAATATCAAAGGTCTCTGTTAGCTCTCAGAGTCCAAGGTTTAAAGGCCCACTAGAGCTGGGCATGGTTGCTCATGCCTGTAATCCCAGCACTTTGGGAGGCTGAGGCAGGCGGATCAGGAGGTCAGGAGTTCAAGACCAGCCTGGCCAACACAGTGAAACCCCGTCTCTATTAAAAATACAAAAATTAGCCAGGCATGGTGGCACGCACCTGTAGTCCCAGCTACTTGAGAGGCTGAGGCAGGAGAATCGCTTGAACTTGGGAGGTGGAGGTTGCAGTGAGTCGAGATGGTGCCACTACACTCCAGCCTGGGCAACAGAGCAAGACTCCGTCTCAAAAAAAAAAAAACAAAAACAAAAAAGCCCACTAGAATGAAAACCTCAGGGCCAAGGGCTCCTGTCTGTCTTTTTCTGTCTTGTATCCCTGCTATTAAGAACCATACCTGGCACATATGTGCTCAGTAAATGTTTGTTGAATGAATGCACCTTTCTAAATTACAAGCTGGCAGAAGGGTGGGCTTTTCTCACACTTCATCTCTAGAGGTTTATGTTACTGTCCCTTTGAGAGACTCCAGATTCAGACTTTCAGTTCTATGGCTGTGGGCCAAAACCAACAAAGACCCAAATCCTCTTTCCTTGGGAGCTTGAGGAGAGTTTACCAGTTCATGTTTCCACTGAGTCTGAGAACTTTGCCTTTAAAATCCATTCCTGGCTGCTGCCTACCCCTTCCTGATCTGGGGAATAGAGTCAAGGGTGCCATCCTCAGTCACCTTCTTTTAACTCTCTCTAAAGAAACAACAGAACCAAGAAATGGTGGATCAGTTGGAAGAAGTAACTCTTTGCTTACAACATGACTGCTGGGTTTGGGAGGCACTCAGATGTAGAGACCTCAGTCTTGTCTCACCTAGTCCAGCCTGGGGAAGAAGGCTCACCCCTCAGATTCCACCCCATCCCCATAAGGTCCCTGATAACTTGGTCCCATGGGTGGAACTGTCCTGGGGCATGTCCCTTGCTGTACCATCTCTGCCTCCCCCTAGTAAGAGCTCTGTCTTCCTCTTCCTATAGGAAAAGAAAGAGTGCCACCAAAAGCAGGGAGCCCTAAGGGAGCAGTTACAGGTGAGTAGAGAGTGTGAAGTTCCCTCCTGTCCTCTGGAGAATGTTTCTTCCCTTCTCTATCAGCTTTTGGCTTTTCTACCAAAGGTTCACATTCAGAATGTAGAAATCCTTGTATCAGAGAAAGCTGAGTTACAGCCTGGCTTACACTCAGCATGCTGCCAGGCAGAAAGAAGGTCGGAATCTGGGCACCCCATCATCCTTCAACTTGGCACTTTGACAGGCCATTAGGGGGAGTCCTTTGGGCCCCATCTGAACCTCTCTCATTCCAGGAGTCTGAGGATCTGGCCAGCCGCCTTTAGTATTCCAGGCAGTGTGTGGGAGAGTTGGAGCAGGCTCTCTGCTGTCTCCACACAGCAGAAGAAAGCAGACAGGGTGAGTCCAACCGCCTGCCCCATCCCCTGGCAGCCTGGCTTCCCAGGTGGCGGAGTGAGCCTAAAGGTTCCTTCTGCAGGATGGAATGTCCTGCCCAGAAGGCAGCATGGGCCATTTCTTGCTGCTTTTGTGTGTGGTTGTTAGACGTAGCCTGGGGCTGAGTCCGCTTCTGTGGGTGAGTTAGGGGCCCTGTGGGGAGCGAGCACTGGACATAGAGCTTGGAGGCCAAGTGCTCACCCTGCCCTTAACTGGCTTTGGCCTTTGCCAAGTGCTAAGTGGGGAATATGGTACTTGTACTGTGAAGGTACAGAAGAGTATCTTTAGTATGTTACCATTTGTGTAGAGAGAGGGAACGTGTGTGTGTGTGTGTGTGTCTACATACATACTATGATCATATACATAAAACATATCTGCAAGGATTCATAAACTCAGGAGGGTGTTAGTGGGAAAGGGGCGGGAGAGCATTAGGACAAATACCTAATGCATGCGGGGCATAAAACCTAGATGACGGGTTGATAGGTGCAGCAAACCACCATGGCACATGTATACCTATGTAACAAACCTGCACATTCAGCACATGTATCCCAGAACTTAAAGTAAAATAATAAATAAATAAAACACAAAAAACTCAGGAGAGAGGAACAGGGTGGCTGGGCGATATTTCCCTTCTGTACCTTCTGAGCTTTGGACTATGTGAATGCATCATCCTTTCAAAAAGTGAACAAGAAATTGATTTCCCCATTCCTGTCTGTGCCCCCACCCCCAGTGAACAAATGGGCTTGGAGAATCAGATATACCTGGGGTTTCAAATCCCAGCTCTGTCTGAGTGATCTTAGGCAAGCACTTAACCTCTAATGCCCCATGTTTTTTGTTGACACAATAGAGGTAATAATAGTAGTTGTCTCACATGGTGGTTGTGAGGATTAAATGGGATTGTTAGCATGGTGGCTGGTGAAGCACTCAATAAAGGTTCAAACCGTGGTAGTAATAACGGTAAAACAATAGCAATATTACGTAATCCCTCTGGGCCTCTGTTAGCCAGCTGTAAATTCAATCTCTTTCCCTGTCCCTTCACGCTTACTAAGTTCTTTTAAAAACAAATGAGACTGACTGGGCGCGGTGGCTCATACTTGGAATCCCGCACTTTGGGAGGCCTAGGCGGGCGAATCATGAGGTCAGGAGTTTGAGACTAGCCTGGCCAACACAGTGAAACCCTATCTCTACTAAAAATACAAAAATTAGCTGGGTGTGGTGGTGGGCACCTGTAAATTCCAGCTACTCAGGAGGCTGAGGCAGGAGAATCGCTTGAACCTGGGAGGCCGAGGTTGCAGTGAGCTGAGATCATGACACTGCATTTCCACCTAGGTGACGGAGCTGGACTCCATCTCAAAACAAACAAACAAACAACAACAAAAAAAAAAACAAATGAGACCATGGGCTTGGAAATGCCTTGAAAAAATGTCAAGTGTGATTCAGAGTGAGGAAGTATTACTGTGGAATAGTTACTGTAGCTATTGTTACCGGTCGGCCAACTGCTCCTCTGCCTGCTATATCCTGACTTAACCTTGGTCTGTATTTGCCGTACAACAAGGAGTTAACCAAAGAGAGAGACGCCCTCAGGCTGGAGTTATACAAGAACAGGTAGCATGGGGGAAGGTGGGATGGGAGGTCTGGGGGCCCTTAGCATGGGTGATGTGCTGGGAGGTTGGGGGGTACAGGTAAGCATGGTGAGGTGGTCATACAGGTTTGCATATGTGCACAGTTAAGCTGTAGTGCTGGTGACTCATGGTGTAGCCTTGGGCAACTCATGCCTTCTCTTGGGCCTGCCATCTGTGACTTTGGATTCCTAGGGTTCCTTCCAATGCCGCGGTTCTGTGTTGGTTAGGCAAGGGTGCAGGGTTGATCACTAAAGCAGTCCTTTCTGTTCTTAGTTCATTCCTTTCTCTACTGCTTCTGGCCATAACCGAAGCAATGAGGACCTGAAGCAGGAGAAATCAGAATTGGAAGAGAAGCTTCAAGTCCTGGTGACTGAGAAGGCTGGCATGCAGCTTATTTTAGAAGAGCCGCAAAAGAAATTACAAATGATGGCACTCCTGCTTCAACAGGCTAGGGGGTGCGGCTCCGGGGGTGGTTGGAGCCCCATCCAGCTGGGGCCATGGTCTAGGGATCATGTGGGGTATGGGGAGGCTCTAGCCAAGCGTTGGAAAATTTGGGTCCTTGTTCTGATCCTACCATAGAATCCTCTAGAGAGTGCTAAAAATCTACAAATTGGGGCCCTACCATAGTCCTGGGTAATCAGAATCTCAGGGTTAGGGCTTAAAAAAAAATTTTTTTTTAAAGCATCATAGATGAAAACCATTATTTTATAAATTACATTTGTATGGCTAGCTAATGAGTCTGTATACTTCCATCTGACGTTCAAGCCAACACTTTCACTATTCCATGGGTAATAATAGAGAGTAGAGATTTTTTTTATTTGAAATGGGGTCTCTCTCTGTCACCCAGGCTGCAGTGCAGTGGTGTGATCTCGGCTCACTGTAGTCTCTACCTCTCAGGCTCAAGCGCTCCTCCTGCCTCAGCTTCTCAAGTAGCTGGGACCATAGGTGCACACCACCACGCCTGGTTAATTTTTGTATTTGTAGAGATGGGGCTTCACCATGTTGCCCAGGCTGGTTTTGAACTCCTGAGCTCAAGTGATCCACCTCCCTCAGCCTCCCAAAGTGTTGGGATTCAGGCGTGAGCCACCATGCCCAGCCTGAGATCTTTTTAAAATTATTTAATTTTTTATTTCTAAAGCAAAGAAACTTGACAGCAGAGTCGTATTGACTGAGTTGTACATTAAGCCTAGCCCTAGCCCTTTTAAGGTGCACTGTGTGGAACGGCCCAGGCTCCCCAAATCTAAACTTCTCACTCTTCACCATCCAGTTTTCAAGGCACTGTGAAGCCCCTGATGCGAAACAGCAGTTACCGCAGGCCATGGAGGAGCGGGCACAGCTGAAAGCACATCTAGGGCAGGTGAAGCTTTGCAGGGGAGGGATGTGGAAGGAAGATGACCCCAGGTGGCCAGGAGCAGGTGAGGACCAGTGACAGCCCTTTGTAACTTTTGTACCCATTCTTTAAGGTAATGGAGTCAGTTAGATAACTACAAACGGAGAGAGATACGTATGCTGAAAATCTGAAAGGAGGGAGGGCCATGTGGTGTCAGAGGAAGCAACAGATGTCGGAGCAGGTGAGACCTGACCCTTCAGCCCCCCACCTTAGATAGATCACTTGATCTTTCTAGGCATCTGTAAAATGGGAAGACTATAGCCAGAGTTGGTCATGGGTCTGGGCTGTGTGAAGGCAAGGTCAGAGAGGGAGATGGTAGCCTATCCAGCCACCAGCCCTTCTCTTCAGTGCCCTTTCCCTCTGTATTTTGGGCAGGTGTGCACATTGAGAGAGGAGAAGGAGGATAGCATGAGTTGGGTATAAGAACAGTAGATGAGCTTGGCTGAAGTGAGTAACCAGATGGGTAAGCGGGGGCTGTGGTGACCTGGGAGCAGGACTGGTGTCAGAGGGCTGTGGGGGTGGCTTAGAATGCTCCAGGGAGGTGGGTGGATGGAGGGCTTTGGGGCAGAGGGAGAGAGGTCTGGGGCAGAGGGAGAGAGGTCTGTGCCAGGAGTTGGCAAGTCTGGTAATCTCCATGAGAATCAGTGTCCCCATCAGCAAAGAGGGAAGCGTGTCCATTGTCAGCCATCCACAGTTGTCTCTATCACAAAGTGGCTTGGAAGATTGGCTAATATCCGGGTGCAAGGAATCATTAGCAGGGAGGCCAAGTTTGGGGAGCCTGAGAGGAGCTGTGGACCAAGAGGAGGGTTTTTTTGAGAATCGAGAGGCCCTTACTGTCTGCTTCCCTTCTTACCTGAACCCCTGCCCCTGGAACTCCCAGCAGGGCCCTCCAAGGTGGAGCAGCAGCTACAAGCAGAGGCTGACCACCTGCAGAAGGAGCTGGAGAGTCTGGCAGCTCCGAGCCCAGGAGCAAGACACTGAGGGCTTCAGTCACCCGAACCAGGAGTAGGAGGAGAGGCTGCTGGAGCTGGAGCAGGTGGCCGAGCTCTTGCGGGAGCAGGCAGAGTCACGCAGGCAAATCCTGGAGACCATGCAGAACAAATGCACCACCATCAGCCACGTGCTCACCCAGAACCACAAGCTCAAAGAGCAGCTGTCTCCGCTGCAGAACGGATTCATAAAGCTGGTGCGTGACCCCATCTGGAAAGCCTGCTCTCCTCCCTAGCACTCCCGGCCTTTGTTTTCCCACCCATAAAATGAGGCAGTGTACCCCTAATGTGAGATGGTAATTCTGAAGGTACCTGTGAACCAGAGCCCTGCTCTGATGGCTGTGGGGAAGAGGGAATGATTTTTCTAACCTGCCTCCACCCTTCCAGGTGCCACGGGAGGCAGACACCAAGTTCTGGGGTCTCCAGCTGCAGTGGGTGGCCGCCAATTGCTTCTCTCTGTCCAGACTAATGAGAACATGGAGATCACCAGTGCACTGCAGTTGGAATAGCACGTAAAGAGGGAGCTGGGAAAGAAGCTGGGCAAGCTAAAGGACATGGTAACCCTGCCCCATCCAAGAAGAGCTGGAAGGCGGGCACCAGCCTCTGGGGAGGGGAGGTGTGAAGCCAGAGGCAGCTCCAGCCTGGGGGACAGGTGACCCCAGCACCCTCCAGGGCAGTCCTGTGACTGTTTCTTGCTTCCCGCCCTCTGACATTTAGTGGTGGGTTCGTTCTTCCTAGGTCTGGACATCATCATCCCAGCTGGAGTCATGGAGCCTCCCAAACATAGGGAAAGAGATGGTGGTATAAGAGGTTCCTTAGAGTCAAACTAGATTCCGGCCTTGGCTCCACTGGTCACCTACTTTTCATCTCTAAGTCTCGGTTTCTTTAACTTAAAAGGGAAGTTAGCACCTTCCTCTTGGAGGTGCTGAGGATTAAATGAGATAATACGTGGAAAGCATTAGGCATGTAGCACAGTTAGCAGATGGTGGTTGGCTCCCTCTGCTTTTCCATCAGTCTGTGGCCTAGTTTAAATGGTGGGAGGAAGGGTGTGAGATTTAAGGCTGGTTGTAAGGGATCAGTCAGTGTAGTTGGAAAAATTGTAAGATGAAGTTATAGGATATAGACACAAACCTTCCTGGAAGGCCAGAAAGTCTGCATAGCTTCAATAAAGGATTTGGCTGAAAGCAGCGTAATCCCCTTTACCTTGAGTTGATAGCAATAGAGCAAATAACATGGGAACGTGGGGGAGTTTATTGAATAGCTTGTTTACTCATGTGGTCCTAAGACCAACCTTTGATTATCCACGGGTGCATGATTGCTCTCTACTCGGTGGTCGGCAAATTTAATTACCCACAGGTGTGTTGACTCAAAGCCTCTGTCATTAAATCTATGCTGAATAAATGCCGTCAGGGCCAGCTAGTCAAGGTGCACAACTCTTTTTGTGCGTGGTGTGGCCCCTTAGCTGCTCTGTCACTGAATATTGGTGTCTGAGTATGTTATTCATCTGCCGTGCAACTGGGGTTTGCAGGACAGACCCCTGCAAGTGGTGTCCCGCGTGAGGCACACTGTGAAGGATCACAACGGACCCCTCGAAAACAAAGGTGAAAAGAACTGCACAGTCAATAAGTCAGTAAGTCATTGATGCCCGCTCGGAATTTCCAAGTTTGGCGGGGATTGTTCAGGCTAGGGTTTCATCATGGGACAACAGTTATCAGCTCAACAGGAACAGTATATAAAAGTATTGAAGCAGCTGCTTAAAACTAGTGGAGCCTCATTTTCACAGGCTCAATTAAGGGACCTAATGCAAACTGTTGTCTCACATAACCCATAGTTCCCAGAAAAAGGAACGCTAGACGTAGAGCTCTGGGAACAAGTGGGGAGAAATCTTAATCAGCATCATGTGCAAGGGCAATGGGTCCCAGTATCATCTTTAATGCTATGGGCCTTAGTCAGGGCAGCCCTGGCTCCATTATACACAGAAGAGCCTAAAAAGGGGAAGGAGGAGGAACCGTCACCTGCTTTACCACCTCCTTTTCCCTCAGCCCCAATATCGCCAGGCCAAAATAACAAAGAGGAAATGGAGGTTTTGCCTGAGCCCCCTCCTCCAATAAATAGGAAAAAAGACAAGAGCTATGCTACAGCTATGGGACCCTTTCTTAGGCAAGAGGCATTAAGTGGGGAGCTCTTAGCCTGCCTGGTAATACAAGATTGACAGGGCAATTGGGTATATAAACCCATTTCTTTTAACATTTATAAAAAGTTAAGAAAAAGCATTAGAGGCTGAAACCGCGTGGCCAAATGGGTGGTAGGCAGAAGGAAATACTTGGCAGCAAAGGAAGCTCGCAGACCTGGAGCCAGCAAGTGCTTCCAGGAACTCAGCCTGCACAGAGGCAGCAGTGACAAGGAGCCAGGCGCAGCACACCAGAGCTGGCCTGATAGGGAGGGGCAGGAGGCGTGCACGAAGGTCCGCCCAGCGGCAGCAGGGTGAGGGAGCAGCACAGACAAAAGGTGGCACAGACAAAAAGCAGCGCCTGAGCAAGCGCAACATGACCGCCGCCCCGGGACCCGCCGGCTAGACTCTCTGGCTCCGCGGGTGGCCCATGGCAAAATTTCATGTGTTCCTTGTATACAAGCGACATCCCAGATTATAATTCTCTGCTAAGATTTAAGTACAATTTAAGAATTTAAAACACCTCTTTCTAATAATGGCCACTGTTGCTTTTACACTATTCCCCTGGCAAAGCAAGACAGAAAAATTTGCATTTACAATACCAGCTATCAATATTGAAAGGTCAGCTTGCCGATTTCATTGGAAAGTGCTTCCTCAAGGAATGCTAAACAGTGCTGCCATGTGTCAGTATCATGTAAATCAAGCTTTGTTCCCCAGTAGAAAAGAATTTCCTCATTGCAAGGTTATTCATTTTATGGATGATATTCTACTAGCAGCCCCAGTGGAGCCAGTGCTTTTAAGTTTATATACCTCTGTCATAAAGAATGCACAGCTAAGTGGTTTAATCATTGCACCTGAAAAAGCACAAATGTCCTCTCCTTGGAAGTATCTTGGGTACATACTTCCTGGTCAGTAAGACCTCAAAAGGTTAAATTAAATACTAGCAACTTACACACCTTAAATGATTATCAGAAATTACTAGGTAATTTTAACTGGCTTCACCCCACCTTGGGCATTCCTACTTATAAGCTGCAAAACCTGTTTTCTATCTTAAAGGGTAACACAGCCCTGGATTCTCCCAGATATTTAACCCCTGCAGCAAAAAAAAAAAAAAAAAAAAAAAAAAGATGGAAGAAATAGAACAGGCTATTTCTCAAAGACAACTAAATCTCATAGATCCAGAATATTCTGTTCAATTGTTTATTTTTATTTTCCCCACTAAACACTCCCCTACAGGGTTAATAGGACAAATGGCCCCAGAGCTATGCTTTCTAGAATGGATTTTTTGCTCACATACCGAGACCAAAACACTATCTCCCTATATCCAGTTAATCAGTAAAGTCATATATTCAGGCCACCGATAGTTCACTCCCCCATACCTAATGCTTTAACACTGTTTACGGATGGTTCTAGTAAACATGGAAAAGTGGCAGTCTGGTGGAGACCACATAATTCCATCAATCGATCTGGATTTACTAACACTCAGAGAGCTGAGGGTGGGGCCTTGATATTGGCTTTGGAAACTTTTTCCACTCAGCCCCTCAATATTGTTAGTTACTTGGCTTACTCTGTTTATTTACTGCAGAACCTTGAGACAGCCCTAATTAAGTCCACTCTGGAGCCCACCCTGTGTGCTCTTTGACTTCAGCAATTGCTAGATCAGTGTACACATCCTATTTTTATTATATTCAGGGCCACAGCTGACTGCCTGGCCCACTGGCTTATGGCAATGATGAAGCAGACCTTCAGGTTATGACATCAGTGCTTGACCAAGCCACACAATCGCATCAATTTTTCCACCAAAACTGGAGAAACTTGTCTAAACAATTTCAACTTACCCAGAGGCTGGCTAAACAAATTATCCTGCAATGCCGAGATTGCCAGCTCACAGGCACATACCCTCCTTCAACCCTAGAGGATGGGAACCTAATAAGTTATGGCAAACAGACGTTACACACATCCCTGAATTTGGAAAACTTAGATACGTACATGTATCCATTGATTTAATTAGTGCAAATGCCCTTCCTGGAGAGTCTACTGGATATGTCACTAAACATCTTCTTTTAACTTTTGCATTTATGGGGCAACCCACAAAAATTAAAACTAATAATGATCTAGCTTATGCCAGCTCACAATTTCAACAATTTTGTCACATGTGGAACATCCAACATTCCACAGGCATCCCGTATAACCCCCAAGGACAAGCCATAGTAGAATGTGCCCACTCCACCCTTAAAAATATGCTCAAAAAACAAAAAAGGGGAGTATGGGTAAGGACCCTGCAGCATTATTGGCACAAGCCTTATTTACCCTTAATTTTTAAAATTTAGATGACAAATTTCAGTCCATTGTAGAAAAGCACTTTGCTAAAACCTCTCAAGACATAAAACTGCAGTTTTATGGAAATATGTGAACAGTAATGTATGATGTGGTCCAAATGAATTGTTAACTTGGGGAAGAGGATATGCTTGTGTTCACACCCCCTCAGGTCCTCTTTGGATTCCAGCACGACGCATCAAACCATACCATGACGTGACTAGGACCCAACCTAGAAATGAAGGAACTGACCCTACAGGACTCACAACCCTGGATAATGCAGTGTCCTCGGACGGCAACAAGCTCTGGACATTACCTGGGGGATGCTGAAGGCGGCAACTGAGGAGGCTGAATGAATCCTGCTCCAGACACAGACACCATTCACTCCAGATAATTTGTTGCTTGCTATGCTCTCTGTTGTACATTGCAACTCGCATAGGGTATTGATACTTCATATGCTCTTGCTTTGTCTGCAACCTGTACCTGGTGCACTCTATTGGGCTCATATTTTAGATCCACCTTTCTTTCACCCTGTCACCTGGGCAGACACCTCCTTCTCAGCCTTTAATAACATAACTGCTTGGCTAGGAGGGATAGATTTACCCCCAGTGGGGTCCCTCATTAATGGCACACATTAAACTAAGGTGCCAGGTAACACTACATATCATTCCACTATCCTCCCACTGTGTGTAAGTTATAAAGGTTCTAACCCTGTGTACCTGCCCAAACACAATTATGGCTACATCATGGCAAAGGAGATGCCTTAACATTCCTAGCTGCAGGTAGCCTCAAACCGGGCGATGCAATCAATGCCACTTTCCCAAACATTCCTTCCTGTGTTAAAGAACAAAGCCGGGAAAGTAATGGATTCCACTTTAGCTGGGAGGTCTGTCATGGGGAATAAGCCCATATGCTCCAGTTAGGCAATTATAACATCTTAGACTGGAGCCCCCACAGCCACTTGCAGGGCAGCCTTACTAATGTCCTCATCCATCATGGCACCAATCACAGTTTCATAGCCACGTCCCATTCCCCTATGATTTGGGCCTATGGGGGGATAGGATATTCCAGACCCCAAGTAAAGTCCATGCCACCCCAAGACACTTTGTGGTGCCTGGGACATCTTAGCACCTCCTTTGACACCTGGCATTGGACATATCATAATTCCAGTCACAACTATACTACAACCTTTATTCATAATCACACTGATCAGTGCCTGATTTGCACTACCCATCCATATGTTTTCCTTGTGGGAACTAATATTTCTGTTATACCCCAAAACTCCATGTTTGTGACCCAGGTGCAGGGACAGCCTTGGTTCACCTCATGTATTACTAATTACAATATATCTAATTATAAATATTACTAGAGTCGTGGTATTAAGGAGACAATCTGAGGCATTCCCACCAGTCAATTTGACATGCGGTTGGCAAGGTTCCTCTTCCCTTCCCACTTTAGATCGTGCCCTGTCCCAGGTCAGACCCGAAAGATTCATAGGCACACTTACAGCCTTCATAGTCTCAGCCATAGTCATCCTAGCAACTGCTAGTGTGGCTGTAGCATCTATTACTGAATCAGTACAAACAGCTGCTTTTGTAGATAATTTGGCCAGAAATGTTTCTAATGAACTTCTCTTACAGCAAGGTATAGATCAAAAGATTCTTGCACATCTGCAAGCCCTCGAGGCTGCCTTTGGAATATGTGGGGGAGCGACAAGATGCACTGGCATTCCAACAGCAATTAAACTGTGACTGGGAGCATAAACATATCTGTGTCACTTCTCTACCATGGAATCAGTCAATGCATAGTTGGGATGAGGTGAAACAACACCTCTGGGGAACCTTTCATGACAATTTAACAGCAGACATAAGGCAACTTAAAAATACAATTTTAGAATCCCTTCAAACTGTAGATCTACACACCCAACAAACAGCCATATGGAAGGGTGTGTGAGATTATCTCTCCTGGATAGACCACCGCTCCTGGGGGCGGGGGGTGGTGGGTCACTCCTTGATTAGAAAAGAATGTTGCTAATTATACTCATGTTTGTCTTATGTTATTTACTAATTTTAGGATGCAAAGCCGGAATAAGAGCAATGACCACCATGCCTGACAGACCTGTTGCTGCGCACACCTGTACTCTCCAATGAACAAGACTGAATGCAAAAAAAACAGAAAATGGGGAGATTTAGGGGATCAGTCAGTGTGGTTGGAAAATTGTAAGATGAAGTTACAGGATATAGACACAAACCTTCTTGGAAGGCCAGAAGGTTTGCATAGCTTCAGTAAAGGATTTGGCTGAAATCCTTTTTACCTCTAATCCCCTTTACCTTGAGTTGATAGCAATAGAGCAAATAACATGGGAATGTGGGGGAGTTTATCTGAATAGCTTGTTTACTCATGTGGTCCTAAGACCAACCTTTGATTATCCGCAGGTGCATGATTGCTCTCTACCTGGGGGCAGGGGGAGTTAATTACCCACAGGTGTGTTGACTCAAAGCCTTTGTCATTAAGTCTGTGCTGAATAAATGCCATGAGGGCCAGCCAGTTAAGGCCTGTGGCCGCCACAACTCTTTCTGTGCATGGCCCGGCCCCTTAGCTGCTCTGTCACTGAATATCGGTGTGAGTATGTTATTCATCTGCTGTGCGGCTGGGGTCTGCAGGACAGACCCCTGCAGCTGGGGAAGGAGGCATGGGACTCTGGGAAAGGGAGGCAGTCATTTAGGCCTGGAGCCAAGGGGCCAGGGGCCTGGGTAGGCAACAGAGCCACACAGTGACCTTGCTACCCTATTTATGGGCCAGCCACCACCTGCCCTCATGCCCAGGGTCTTTCTGCAGGTGGAGCTGAAGAGCCAGGAGGCTCAGAGTCTGCAGCAGCAGCAGGACCAGTACCTGGGTCATCTGCAGCAGTATGTGGCCACCTATCAGCAGCAGGTGGTCACCTATCAGCAGCTGACCTCTGAGGAGGAGGAGCTGCACAACCAGTTACTGCTGCAGACCCAGCTCGTGGACCGGCTGCAGCAGCAGAAAGCTCAAAGCAAAGCTGTGGCCAAGATGGGCTGCCAAGAGTTGCGGGAGACCCAGGTGAGGGAGTTGCTCAGGGCAGGGCCCTGAGGGTAACGACCTGGCAACCTTTGTGCCTTCTCACTCCCTTTCTTGGCCCCTTAGGAGCACCTGGAAGCTATCAGCCAGCAGAACCAGCAGCCTCAGGCCCAGTTGAGCCTCATGGCTCTCCCTGGGGAAGGTACCGGAGACTGCTCACAGGAAGAGGAGAGAGCCCCAGGAGGAAACGGGAACTGTTAGCAGCATAGGATTGAGGAGCTGAAACAGACTTTTAGAACAGCTGGTCATTATGCCAACCAGGTGTCCACACTAAGTTTGGCACCAATATGGTGACCTTCTGGGAGCAGGGGACCACCAGGTTAGGTTGCCTAAGGGTGGGTGAACTGGCCCAGGTCAGAAATGGAGCAGGTCGGAACTCCCATGCCTATTGGTAGTGGGACTGCACCTGGGCAACATAGCAAGATCTTGGCTCTTTAAAAAATAAAGAGGCCGGGCACGGTGGCTCATGCCTGTAATCTCAGCACTTTGGGAGCCTGAGGTGGGTGGATCACGAGGTCAGGAGTTCAATCAAGACCGACCTGGCCAAGATGGTGAAACCCCGTCTCTACTGAAAACACAAAAATTAGCCGGGTGTGGTGGCGGGCGCCTATAATCCCAGCCACTCGGGAGGCTGAGGCAGAGAATTGCTTGAACCCAGGAGGCAGAGGTTTCAGTGAGCTCAGATCATGCCACTGCACTCCAGCCTGGATGATAGAATGAGACTGTTTCAAAATAAAGAACAGCTGCTCATTCCCCACTAGGGAGGGGCTGGCCTAGGGTTACACAGTGAGGGTGGGGGCAGAGGTGGGCCCACTCTGCCCTTGTTGGGTTGTCTGAGGACCTCTCTGGCCACCCCCAACAGGAGATGGACAGTGAGGAGGAGGAGGAGGTGCCTCAGCCCATGCCAAGCATCCCGGAGGATCTAGAGAGCCAGAAGGCCATGGTGAGCCTGACTCCCCCTGCCCCACCTTTGCTGCCTCCCTCTGTGGTCCCTCCCAGACCCCCTTCTGCTCTTGGGTTCCTGGCCTTCTGATTTCTCTGGTCCCTCACCCCTTCCCTGGGAGCCAGTGGTCAGACACCATTTCACCTGTGACTAACAGGTGCATCCTCTGAGGCCCCCCAAGGCAAGGCCTGCTCTCCACCTCCCTGCCCCGTTCATCCTGTGTATCCCCCATAAGAATGCGTACCTCTTGCCTGCAGGTGGCATTTTTCAACTCAGCTGTAGCTAGTGCCGAGGAGGAGCAGGCACGGCTATGTGGGCAGCTGAAGGAGTGCACTGCCAGCGCCTGGCTCATCTGTTGGCCTCGGCCCAGAAGGAACCTGAGGCAGCAGCCCCAGCCCCAAGAACTGGGGGTGATCCCATGTGTGGGGAGACCCACCAGGCCCTGCAGGGGGCCATGGAGAAGCTGTGGGTGAGTCTTTCCTGGCATGGGCCAAGAAGGGTTGGGGCAGGAAGGTCGCTGCCTTAATGTGACCCCATTATTTTGGCTCCAGAGCCGCTTTATGGAGCTCATGCAGGAGAGAAGGTGGACTTGAAGGAGAGGGTTGAGGAACTGGAACATTGCTGCATCTAGCTGTCTGGAGAGAGACAGACACCATCGGGGAGTGGGAAGCCAGGGCACGGCAAAGAGAGCTGCACATTGGTCAGAGGGGCCCCAGCGTCTGAGTCCTGTCCTCCTGCAGGAGAGTACATCGCACTGTACCAGAGCCAGAGGGCAGTGCGGAAGGAGGAGGAGTGCATCAGCAGGCTGGCCCAGGACAAGGGAGAGGTGAAGGTAGGGCGTGGAACATCTCTGTAGGGGTGGAGGGTGGAGGGTAGAGGGGGTGGGGTTGGGGATGGTCTCAGACACAGGCAGAGCAGCTGAGCACCCCTCCCTCCAGGTGAAGCTGCTGGAGCTGGCGTGGCTTGTGGACGACTGCAACAAGTGGCATAGCAGATTCCTGGCAGCTGCCCAGAACCCTGCTGATGAGCCCACTCCAGGGGCCCCCGCCCCCCAGTAGCTTGGGGCTACTGACAAGCCAGGGTAGTGAGTAGAGTCCTCAGGCACAGTGGGCACGCAGGAGCAGGGGAGGGCTCCCACAGCACCCTGCCTCCCTCTCTCCAAAGATCTTTGTGAGGTGAGCCTTGCCAGCAGTGGGGAGTCTGCACAAGGAGAGGCGGGGAAGCATTCTCCCTGTGACAACCCCACTGAGCAGCAGATCATGCAACTGCTTCATGAGATGCAGAACCTCCAGGAGCACCCAGGCTTGGGCAGCAGCCCTTGCATTCCTTTTTTGTACCAGACTGATGAGAACAATGAGGTGAAGATCACCATCATCTAAAAGCCGGCCACTGTCAGCAAAACCTGGGGAAGTGGGGCTGGAGGCTCTGCCCCTACCATGTCCCTACCACCCCTTCCCAGTCAACCCTTTACCCTCACAGTAGCAAGCATAAGACCCCTGTCTAATGTGGGGAGACAGGTGGAGATGAGGTGAAGATCACCATAATCTAAAAGGCCACTAAATAAAAAAATAAAAAATTTTAAAAAGGTATGGGATTTTAAAAAAAATGTATGGGATTATAAAAAGTTATAGGATTAAAAATGTTATGGGATAAAAGTTATGGTATAAAAGTTATGAGAAGTTATGAAGCCAGACATGGTGGCTCACGCCTATAATCCCAGCACTTTGGGAGGCTGAGGTGGGTGGATCACCTGAGGTCTGGAGTTTGAGAGCAGTCTGACCAACACGGAGAAACCCCGTCTCTACTAAAAATACAAAATTAGCCAGGCGTGGTGGTGCATGCCTCTAATCCCAGCTACTGGGGAGGCTGAAGCAGGAGAATTGCTTGAACCAGGGAGGCAGAGGTTGCAGTGGGCCGAGATTGTGCCATTGCACTCCAGCCTGGGCAACAAGAGTGAAACTGTCTCAAAAAAAAAGTTATGAAAAGTATAAAAAAGGATAAAAGTGTGAATAAAATAAAAGCGGGCAGCTGTCAGCAAAGCCTGGAGAAGTGTGGGGCCAGAGGCTCCGTCCCCATCATGTCCCAGCCACCCCTTCCCAGTCACCCCTTTACCCTCACAATAGCAAAATAAGACCCGTGTCTAATCAGGGGGAGGCAAACATGCAGACCCTTTGCCACCTTGGCCAGAGCTGACTCCTTAAATTTCTGGACGATGATTATTGTTTTAAGAGTCAGAGGCTTATAGAATTGGCTTGTTTGGAGGAGGCCTAATGGCCTCCTTAACTCTCACCAAAGCAATTTTTTCCTCAGGGGGGCTCCCATCTTCTTACTCAGAGAGGCGGCTGAGGCAGGACAATGGGGCTAATGTAGACCAGGTGAGGGCACAGGCTCTGGAGTGGCCCCCCTTAGTGTACATACTATATCCGTGTAACATTTTGTATATTCCAGTGGTAGGGCCACCTCCTGTGTCATACATAGCAGAGGTTGGAGCTGGCATATGGGTAGGAAGTTCTGATAGTTATTTGGGGCTGGAAAACTTATTTATTGATAGCATAGGCCAGGGGAAGGGGCAGAGATGGGGTCGTGGCACTGTGGTGATGCGACTCCTGTTTATTTTGCTTTTTATTTTGGAATGTATTTAGCCATATACTGCTTGGCCTGGTGTATTCCTGTTTCCCTCACTGGGTCATGGAGTTTGTGCCACTGAACAGGGAGCCCCAAAGTGAGCATGTCCAGCTGGGGTATTGGGGACCTTCCAGGCCTGTTACCTGTATGCTGCCTGGTAACACCTGGGGAATTCCACAGGAACTGCCATGGCACCTATGGGTGACCATGGGGCCTGGACGGCTAACAGGCTCGGAAGCCTGATCTAGCAGTGGCAAGTAAGGCAGGTGCCAGCATCCAAGGTCACTGACTTCCATCCAGCCCAGTTGTCTTCCATTTTGTTCTCCTGCCTCCCTCGCCTGTCTGCACCTGGTGGCCTGTTCTGTCTGTCCCTCTAGATTGCCAGCTGCCCCACAGGCTTCCTCCAATCTGAGTTCATGGCCCTGCCCCCTAGTGGCCAGAGCCGGCTTCACAGGATGAGAGCCTGCTAAGCTCCGGAGGCTTTCCAGGAAGCGTCCCTTGGAAAGGATGTGGCCTTTTTACCACTCCCAATAGCACCCTGGTAATGGGTTGACCCTTCCCCTCCCCTGAGCTCCACAGAGAACGCAACCAGCAGAGGACACATTCCCCGTCACTTAGAAATGGGTTTTATTCCCAGCCAAGGGACAGCAGGACTGGTAGAGACTGTCGGGCCACACAGCTGTCTGCACAGCACCCCCAAGCTTGTCGGGCGGCAGGAGGGATGGTGGGGACTGGCTGTCCACAGGCCAGGCATGACAGGGAGGCTCACTGGAGGTGATGGACTTTGGATGGGGATTGTTGGGGGACAGTGTTCTCTTGTAGTTGGGTCACAAGACTCCACAAGGACAGCACGGTGACTGATTCCCAGCGCTAGAGGCGAGGCAGTCGGCCATGTGTAGGAGTGTATACATATATGTACACACACACACACGTATATATACACATATGTGTGTATGTATATATATGCATATATATACATATATGTGTGTGTGTATATGTATATATATATGAGTATTTATAGAACAGGGCAGGGGTGTACCACAGAGGGGGCACAAGTTTTCACCAAAGGTTATGCCTGGATGTGTCAGCTCACCACTACAACAGACCATCACAGATGAAGGGGGCTGGTTTTGGGGCTAGGGGAGCCACTGTCAAGTCACAGAACAGTCGTCCAGGCAGGCTTGGAAAGGAAGGTCTCTGAGAAGAGGAGGGATCTGTTTAGAGGTAGAAGAGGGCCCTGGGGCTCTCAGGATGGGATGGATTTGCCTGACCCCATTGGCTGGCAGTTGGAGAGAAAGCAGAGAGAAAACGGGAGAGAGAAAAGTGAGGAGAGAGCTGGTAAGGCAAGCGCAACGCACTGCAGCAGTGGTGGGAGGGCCAGGGAGGGGAGGACACAAGTGTGGATGTGGCAAGATTCCTGGAAAAGAGGGGCTAAAAGGGAAAGGGGAGGAAGATGGAGGAGCCGGAGCTTCACAGGTAATGCCTGGGGGCTGCGGCGGCCCTCCCCACCCCACACATGCTGGCCTGTCACACGGCATCTAGGCAGTGCACCCACAGTTCAGACCGAAACTCAGCCCCCTCGGGCTTCCCACTTGTCACCCTGTCTTCCAACCCACTGGCCCAGGGCCACCCCTCGCTTTGGGGAGCCCTACACAACAGCCACCAGGCCTGACAGACAAAGAACATTGCTTGAACCAAGAGGATGAAGCTAAAAGGGATGCATGGCTGGAGGGAGTGCCCAAGTCCCCCCTGGGTGGTCAGAAAGCCCAGGACCCTGGGGGAAGCAGGGAGTGCAGGCAGCCAGATGCCAGTGGCCATAGATTTACAAGTCTAAGAGGGGAGCCTCAGCTGGTTGGGGGGCTACAGGTCGCATAGATGAGGCTGGGCCCTTCCTGCCAGGAAAAGAAGAGCGAGAGTCAGTGGTGGGGGAAGCCTGGCTGGAGCTCAGCCAAGCCAGCAGGCACTGTCATCCCCTTGGCTGAATAGCATAGGCGACCCCTAGGAGCAACAGGCCAAGGTGCCTGAGCCCACTGGCTGGCTATGGTCCTTCAGCTGGGGCCAGGGACACTGCCTTCAGTCACACGCTAGCAGGTATGACGGTACCCGGGAGGGAGGCAAGACCCCACACTAGCAGGTATGATGGTACCCGGGAGGGAGGCAAGACCCCATCTCTACTAAGAAAAAAAAAAAGACCGGGCTCTGTGGCTCACGCCTGTAATCCCAACACTTCGGGAGGCTGAGGCCGGTGGATCACCTGAGATCAGGAGTTCAAGACCAGCCTGGGCAACATGGTGAAACCCCATCTCTACTAAAAATACAAAAATTAGCTGGGCACGGTGGCACGTGCCTGTAATCCCAGCTACTTGGGAGGCCGAGGCAGGATAATCACTTGAACCTGGGAGGCGGAGGTTACAGTGAGCCGAGATCGCGCCACTGCACTCCAGCCTGGGCGACAAGGGTGAAACTCTGTCTCAAAATTTAAAAAAATTAATAAATCTTTAAAAATCAGCCAGGTGTGGTGGTGCACACCTGTGGTTCCAGCTACTTAGGAGGCTGAGGTGGGAGGATTGCTTGAGCCCAGGAGGTTGAGGCTGCAGTGAGCCATGATTGTGCCACTGCACTCCAGCCTGGGCAACAGAGCAAGACCATGCCTAAAAATAAATAAAAAATAATTTAAAAAATTGAGAAAGATGGGAGGAGGGTGATTGCATCTTGATTTTCTCTAAACTTTAATTGAAATTGAGCTTTTCCTTCCATGGCGAATGTTGCTAGGAACAAACCTCATTAGTGTTAGCAGCACCTGTTACTTTGTTACCAACAGAAATCACAGATATTTTCATATTACACTGCAGCTGTTGCAGACATCTCGGGATAGCATTTTTGCTCATCATTACCTCAAAATTATAGTAATTAGACCTAACTTTGGATCTTGTTATTTAATGTGCCAATAAAGCATATCATGTAATATCACAAATATTTTCATAAACTTTATTTTGATATAATTTATTTCCATTGCTCTCTGTATTTTATTTTGTGCACTTAAAAAAAAAAATCTATTCTGAGCAGTCCATGGGCTTCCTCAGATACCAAAGAAGGCCACGGCACAAAAAGGCTAAGGATGCTGGGGTCTAACCCAGAGTAGGTTTGCTGACAAAGTGAGGTACTGGAAGCATTCAGATGCAAAGAAATGTGTTTCTGTGATTTTCCATGAGGCACTCTCTCTCCACCTCCCTTTCAGGTAGGATACTTTTATGGGCAGAACCTGGTCATTTTCCTAAGAAGACAAAGGCTTTGTGTACAAAAGGGGGCAGAGCCCAGGATGGCTGTGGGCCAGAGGTAAAGATTCCAAAGTCAGACAAATAAGGGGGGTATCTCTTTATAATCAGTAGAAGTGTGGGGCTGAGGCGGGGCAAGGCCCAGGTGAGCTCCATGAAGAAGGGTTGGGGTAGGAAGGTAGAGGGACAATCCTGGGAATTGGAGGTTGCAATGAGAAGAGATTGTGCCACTGCACTCCAGCCTGAGTGACAGAGCGAGACCCTGTCTCAAACAAACAAACAAATAAAGAGGCTTCCCTGGAGCTCTTTAGTTATTTACAACATTTTACAAAACAATGTAGGTAAAGAATAAGGCTAATCTATAATCAGAGAAACAAAGGCTACAGCTGCCTAGGTTATAATTGCCCTTTTTTTTTTTTTTTTTGACTCAGGTGCTGTAATCCCATTCCTTTAAGGCTAAGAATATTTTAAAGTTCCAACAATTCATATTTGGAGTTATTTTATTTTTTAAAAAACTGAGACAGGGTCTTTCTCTGATGCCCAGGCTGAATTGCAGTGGCATGATCTCAACTCACTGCAGCCTGTGAGATCAAGTGATCCTCCTGCCTCAGCCTCCCCAGTAGTTGGGACCTCAGGTGTGAGTCGCCACACCTAATTTTTTTTTTATTGTTTGTAGAGACTAGGTTTCACCGAGTTGCCCAGGCTGGTCTTCAACTCCTGTGTTCAAGCAATCCTCCTGCCTCATTCTCTCAGAGTGGTGGGATTACAGGCATGGGCCACCACGTACAGCCAGAGTTACTTATTTTCACAGTGGAAAGTTTCTTTGAGCCAAGTTTGAGAACTGCAACCCTGAAGACATAGATTTAAGTTTCCTTGAATGTATGTTCCAACTAGTAGCAGTTACAATTGGTTTGTTTTGTTGGTTTTTTGGGTTTTTATTGAGACAGTGTCTCACTGTCGCTCAAGCTGGAGTGCAGTGGCTTGATCATTGTTCACTGCAGCCTTGACCTGCCGGACTCAAGCAATCCTCCCTCCTCAGCCTCCTAAGTAGCTGGGTCTACAGGATCAAACCACCACTCCTGGCTAATTTTTGTATTTTTTTATAGAGTCAGGCAGGGTTTCACCATATTGCCCAAGCTGGTCTTGAACCCCTGGGCTCAAGAAATCCACCCACCTCAGCCTCCCAAAGTGCTGGGATTACAGGGAGGAACCAACAAACCTGGCTTGGCCACAAGTGGATTTTTAAAGGATAAGAGGGCCGGGCACGGTGGCATGAGCCACCCTGTAATCCCAGCACTTTGGGAGGCTGAGGCGGGTGGATCACTTGAGGTCAAGAGTTCGAGACCAGCCTGGTCAACACAGTGAAACTCCTTCTCTACTAAAAATACAAAAAAAATTTTAGCTAGACATGCTGGTGGGTGCCTGTAATCCCTGCTACTCAGGAGGCTGAGGCAGGAGAATTGCTTGAACCTGGGAGGCGGAGGTTGTGGTGAGCCAAGATCCCACCATTGCACTCCAGCCTGGGCAACAAGAGTGAAACTCCATCTCAAAAAAGTTCTTAAATTGCTTACCAAGAATTTACATTGGTTCATTAAAATAACATAAGCAATTTATTGGCTATATGTTGCTCTTTGTATCAGAAATTCCAGGAACATGAAGATAGTGAATGAGGGTACACTGTGCAACTTGTGGTAACATTTTAAGTAATTTGGGCCAGGCTGGGTGGCTCACACCTGTAATCCCAGCACTTGGGGAGGCTGAGGCGGGCGGATTACTTGACGTCAGGAGTTCGAGACCAGCCTGGCCAACATGAGGAAACCCTGTCTCTACCTAAAAATACAAAAATTAGCCAGGCGTGGTGGCATGTGCCTGTAGTCCCATCTACTTGGGAGGCTGAGGCAGGAGAATCACTTGAACCTGGGAAACGGAGGTTGCAGTGAGCCGAAATCACACCATTGCATTCCAGCCTAGGCATCGCAGCGAGACTCTGTCTCAAAACAAAAAAACAAACAAAAAATTTTTAAGTAATTTGTTAGTCTGGAAACTACAGGGTAAGACATAAAAAACCAAAATGCCTTTAAACAACCCTAGACATGGGTGGGGGAATGTTGACTACGTCTCATTCTCATGTCTCTTGGGGTCTAATACATTTTACATACCTCACATTTTCCAGACTGCTCTGAGCTACTTTTCTTTCTCATAGTCATTCTATTTTCTCCAATTTAATATTAAAGTTATAAAATCTAAAAACCCTTAAAAACAAAAGTTGTAAGATCTCTTATTCCAGTCAAGTAAAGAATACTTTGTAAATCTTACATCATAGAGCAGCCATCATTTCTATTTATCTCTCATCCTTTAAAATATGCTATTTTCAGGCCAGGCATGCTCGTTCACACCTGTAATCCCAACACTTTGGGAGGCCGAGGCAGGCAGATCACCTGAGGTCAGGAGTTCGAGACCAGCCTAGCCAACATGGTGAAACCCCGTCTCTACTAAAAATACAAAAAATTAGCTGGGCGTGGTGGTGCTCTCCTGTTGTCCCAGCTACTCAGGAGGCTGAGGCAGGAGAATCACCCAGGAGGCAGAGGTTGCTGTGAGCCTAGATTGCGCCACTGCACTCCAGCCTGGGTGACAGAGCTAGACTCCACCTCAAAAAAAAAAAAAAAAAATGCTCTTTCCATCTTGTCTCTCCTGTTTATCCACCCTTTCTCATTTAAGCTTCTTTTTCCTTTCCTCATGACTTACATACCCTTTGATCAAGATTATTCTTGTTCTTGGCTTCAGCTACCACGATTCGTAAACCAGAATTTCCACCCAAAACTATAACCTTACAAAATTTCCACTGAGAAATCCTCAGAAAGCCTTAACAGCAAGAAATTCAACAGGATCTTATCTCCAAAACTGCCTGTCCAACTATATTACTTAACTAGTGGCGTGCCCCGAGCAAAAACCTCAATTACCTTCAATATTTATCCTTGATTTAATCTTTGGCATGTGTCCTTTACCTTCTTTCACCTCTACTGATACTGTCTTACCTCTCACCTGAAATAATGCCACCACCTTCTCAATGCCCTTTCTGCCTCCATTCTGTTCTCCATCCTCTGAACTGACAGCAAAATTGTCTGTAAATATTTTTCTGACTCAGAAATATGAACATCTTCCCCAATTAACCCATCATAGAGGTCTTCAGGACTCACTATTTCCTATAAAATGATGTCTATATATTTACATTTACAATCTCATCTCCCTCCAATTTTTTTTTTTTTTTTTGAGGCGGAGTTCCGCTCGTGTTGCCCAGGCTAGAGTGCAGTGGCGCAGTCTTGGCTCACTACAACCTCCATCTCTTGGGTTCAGGCAATTCTTCTGCCTCAGCCTCCCAAGTAGCTGGGATTACAGGCACCCGCCACCATGCCCAGCTAATTTTTTGTAATTTTAGTAGAGACAGAGTTTCACCATGTTGGCCAGGCTGGTCTCTAACTCCTGACCTCAAGTGATCCACCAGCCTCGGCCTCCCAAAGTGTTGGGATTATAGGCCTGAGCCACCGCGCCCAGCCTAAACTCATTTTATAGTCTTGTGCTGGTGAATGCTTAACAACTAGATCTCTAGGGGAAAAAGCCCTGCTTTCTATGTTGTAAATACTGTCATCATGGCTGATTTCAAACTATCCTTGTGGACAAAAAGAATCAAAGTCTATAAACTATTTGAAGAGATTTATTCTGAGCGAAATGAGTGACCATGGCCCATGACACAGCGCTCAGGAGGTCCTGAGAACATGTGCCCAAGGTGGTAGGAGTGCAGCTTGGTTTTATACATTTTAGGGAGGCACAGACATCAATCAAATACATTTAAGAAATACATTGGTTTGGCCGGGCGCGGTGGCTCATGCCTGTAATCCCAGCACTTTGGGAGGCTGAGGCGGGCAGATCATGAGGTCAGGAGATCGAGACCATCCTGGCTAACACGGTGAAACCCCGTCGCTACTAAAAATACAAAAAAAATTAGCTGGGCATGGTGGCGGGCGCCTGTAGTCCCAGCTACGTAGGAAGCTGAGGCAGGAGAATGGCGTGAACCCGGGAGACGGAGGTTGCAGTGAGCTGAGATCGTGCCACTGCACTCCAGCCTGGGGACAGAGCGAGACTCCATCTCAAAAAAAAAAAAAAAAAAAAAATACATTGGTTTGGCCAGGCCTGGTGGCTCACGCCTGTAATCCTAGCATTTTGGGAGGCCGAGGCAGGCGGATCATGAGGTCAGGAGTTCGAGACCAGCCTGGCCAATATGGTGAAACCCAGTCTCTACTAAAAATACAAAAAATTAGCTGGGTGTGGTGGCGCGTACCTGTAGTCCCAGCTACTCGGGAGGCTGAGGCAGAAGAATTGCTTGAACCCAGAGGCAGAGGTTGCAGTGAGCTAAGATCGCACTACTGTGCTCCAGCCTGGGCAATAGAGTGAGACTCCATCTCAAAAATATATATATATATTGGTTTGGCCAGGCGCGGTGGCTCACGCCTGTAATCCCAGCACTTTGGGAGGCCGAGGCAGGTAGATCACAAGGTCAGGAGATTGAGACCATCCTAGCCAACATGGTGAAACCCTGTCTCTACTAAAAATACAAAAATTAGCTGGGTGTAGTGGTATGCGCCTGTAGTCCCAGCTACCTAGGAGGCTGAGGCAGAAGAATCGCTTGAACCCAGGAGGCAGAGGTTGCAGTAAGCTGAGATTGCGCCACTGCACTCCAGCCTGGCGACAGAGCAAGACTCCATCTCGAAAAAATGAAATACATTGGTTTGGTCCAGAAGGGCAAGACAAGTCAAAGGAGGGGAGCTTCCAGGCTATAGGTAAATTTAAACATTTTCTGGTTGACAATTGGTTGACTTTGTCTAAAGACCTGGATGATCTGGTTAAGATAAAAGATCGTGGAGACCAAAGTTCTTTTGAAGTCTTAATGTGGCTGCCCTTAGAGACAATAGATGACAAATGTTTCGTATTCAGACCTTTAAAAGGTGATAGACTCTTAGTTAATCTCTTCAGGATTGAGAGGGCCTGTAAGAAAAAAACCTAACTATGTTAATAGAGATTCTTTATAGATGCAAATTTTCCCCCACAAAGAATGGCTTTGCAGGACCATTTCAAAATATGGCAAAGAAACATGTTTTGGGGTAAAATATTTTGACTTTCTCCTTTGTCACTGATAAAACAGGATGAGGTAAAGAAGCTGGCCAAAACCCATCAAAACCAAGATGGTCATGAAAGCAACCTCTGGTCATCCTCACTGCTCATTAAACACTAATTATAATATATTTGCATACTAAAGGAAACTCCCATCAGGGCCATGACAGTTTACAAATGCCATGGTAACATGGAGAAATTACCCTATATGATCTGAAAGGGGGAGGAACTCTCAGTTCCAGGAACTCCCTGCACCCTTACTAGAAAACTCATGAATATGTACCCTTTGTTTAGCATATAATCAAGAAATAACCATAAGTATAGTTGGGCAGCCCATGCTGCTACTCTGCTTATGGCGTAGCTATCCTTTTATTTCTTTACTTTCTTAACAAACTTGGTTTCACTTTACTCTTGTCAGCTTGGTCTTGAATTCTTTCCTGCAGAAGGCAGGAACCCAAGTAGCCTCCCAGCCTGAACCCCAATTTGGGGGTCACCCTACCACAACCAGCATAGCTAAATATCTGCAGAGTTCAGTTTTGATATGGACAGGAGACAGGGAAATACTGGGTAGAACAGAGTGGTTCCCTGGCAAATGCCCTACTCTCAAGCCTGGAAACCCACCGTCCTAAATGGGAACAGGCATTTCTGTTTTTGTGCTCAAAAGTTGCCTTTTGGCCTGCCACAGCACCCTATCTTGTATCCATAGAAAGCCCAAACCCCAGGCTCCACAAGCAGATGAGCAGACAAGGAGATGAACAGATGAGCAGAAGAATGGCAGACCAGTGCAGCAGAGACAAGAGAAGTAGTGACTGAACGCTGAGAAGAGTTTGGCCACTGGATGGCCAAATTCCAGGGGAAGATCATCTTCCCACTCCATCCCCTTTCCAGCTTCCCATCCATCCTGTTGAGAGCCACCTCTACCACTCAATAAAACCCCACATTCACCGTCCTTCAAGTCCCTGTGTGACCTCTTTCTGGATGCCTGACAATGACCTGGATACTAAGAGGGCACTGAGCTAGTTAACACTTAAGCTATCTGTGGACAACAAAGCTAAAAGAGTGCAGTGTAACGCATGCCCACTTGGGCTTCAGGAGTTGCAGTTACCCACCCCTAGACGCTACCATGGGGCCAGAGTTCAAAAGTCCTTGCTCCGGCTTCTGCACTTGCCCATCTGTGTGCTCCCTGTCCTATTAGGGGTTTGCATGTGCTCGGTAGCCAAGCAGATGAGCCACCCCCCTGTGTACTTCGTGCATTAGTGTTAGTCCTGCGAGTGAAGTCAGGGAACCCTCCTGCTTCAGTTTTAAATCCAAGTCTTTGATTTCAGGGTCCATTTTTTTAAAAAAATTAAATGGATTTATTCATATCTTTGAAATAATACCTCTACTATAAGTCTGTCCCCAAATGAATTACTCCTTCCTCTGTGTTCTTATAGCACTTTGCTTGTTTTTGGTAAAGTAATTAATAATACCTAGCCTTTATTGAGTTTGCTATAAGGCAGGTTAACAGTAGCTACTAATAATAATATCTCTTAACACATGAGATCACTGAAGCTGAGAAAGATTAATTTGCTGAAGTTTACACAGTTATAAAGTGGCCAGCATTTGAACCAGAGTCTACTAACAGAGCTGAAGGTGTAAGTAACATGAGTCTGCCTTCCAAGCCAGGCCGTTAACTCTGATGGCAGGAACAGAGATTTTTGTTTTCATTTAGGCAACCCCAGGATACTTGAATAGTGCCTGGTTTATAATCTATGATAAATGTTGAGTGTAGTCAGCTGGGTGTGGTGGCTGATGCCTGTAATCCCAACACTTTGGAAGGCTGAGGCGGGCGGATCACGTGAGGTCAGGAGTTCGAGACCAGCCTGGCCAACATGGTGAAACTCCGTCTCTACTAAAAATACAAAAATTAGCCTGGTAATCCCAGCTACTTGGGAGGCTGAGGCAGGAGAACTGATTGAACCTGGGAGGCGGAGGTCGCAGCGAGCCAAGATCGTGCTGCTGCATTCCAGCCTGAGCGATGGAGTAAGACTGTCTCAAAAATAAAATAAAAATAAAATGAAATGTTGAGTGTAGTCAACTTACACGTCTATCCTTTCCATTCTTCAAAAAGGGCCAGCTTATTGGACTATGTGTAAACTACTTCCCACCCAACTCCCAAGATGTACAACCACACATCTTGCTAATACATCCCTCAGGGGTGGTACAATTTCTTTTCCTGTTTTAGATATCACTAGTGTTAAAAGAAAAACTTCAGCCAAATTAAATTTAAAGGAGTTTAACAATGAACGATTCCTGAGTCTGGCAGCCCCCATAATCACAGCAGATTCAGAGAGACTCCAGCACAGCCACATGCTGGGAGCAGATTTCTGGCCAGCAAAAGGAAAGTGAGGTCTAGAAAATGGAAGTGAGGTACAGAAACAACTGGATTGCTTACAGCTCAGTGTTTGCCTTATTTGAACACAGTCTGAACAGTTGGCTACATCTGGCCAAAACTCAGTGATTGGCACAGGTGTGGGCTATGGTCGGTTTATACCTCTGCTTATTTTCATAAGTTCATGATGTACAGAAAAACCTTTAGGCTGAACTCAATTACGTAAGGAGGCAGTGTTAGGCTAAACTTGACTTAACACTGAGTAATTTTTTTTTTTTTTGAGACAGTCTTGCTCTGTCGCCCAGGCTGGAGTGCAGTGGCTTGATCTCAGCTCACTGCAACATTTGCCTCCCGGGTTCAAGCAATTCTCCTGCCTCAGCCTCCTGAGTAGCTGGGATTACAGGCGCCCGCCACTATGCCCAGCTAATTTTTGTATTTTTTTTTTGTAGACACAGAGTTTCACCATGTTGGTCAGGCTGGTCTTGAACTCCTGACCTCAAGTGATCTGCCTGCCTCGGCCTCCCAAAGTGCTGGGATGACAGAAGTCGTCATTTTAATCTCTGAAAATGTTAGCTCTGTTTGGGATTGGGTGGGGTGGAGGTGTAGAATTGTAACAGTTTTCCCTAGTTCAACAATTTCCTTCCTTCCTTACAGAACTTTTCATATGATATTTACACCTTTAGGTTCAACCTAGTGAAGTGGGTAAGGCTGATGATTAATCTATTTCACAGATGATTAAAATGAAACTAATAGTAAAGAAATTATTTTCCCCAGGATAACACAGCTAGAAAATACCAGAGCCAGGACTTGAATTATACACCTTCTAATTCCTAGGTCCTAGACTACTAGGAACCATTGTCAACCTTTACTTCCCTTAGAATAGCAATAACCAAAGGAAACATTAAATTGCCACATTTAGGTAAGGGAAAGGCAGGACACCTTAACAAAAGAAAAAAAAAAAACACCAAAAACAAAAACCTAAGGAAGAATATGAAGAAAGGTGAGTAGGTCAAGAGAGCAAAGCAAGCACAGGAGTTAATGGCCGATTCTTAAAACATTCTAAGGAGGCCGGGTGCAGTGGCTCACGCCTGTAATGTCAGCACTTTGGGAGGCTAGGAGGGTGGATCACGAGGTGAGAAGTTCGAGACCTACTGGCCAATATGGTGAAACCTCGTCTCTAATAATACAAAAATTAGCCGGCCGTGGTGGTGCGCACCTGTAATCCCAGCTACTCAGGAGGCTGAAGCAGGAGAATCGCTTGAACCCTGGAGGTGGAGGTTGCAATGAGCCGAGATCGTACCACTGGACTCCAGCCTGTGTGACAGAGCAAGACTTGTCTCAAAAAAAAAAACAAACAAGCAAAAAAATAAAAAACATTCTGAGGAAATGAATAAGGGAAGTAGGACGTGGAAGTAAAAATCAGCGACGGGTCAGCGATGGAGGCGGGAACACCAGCAGAGGGAAGGAGGGAGGATTAAGGCCAAGAAGGATGGTGTATTGAGAGTCAAGGGCCCTGTGTCGCGAGGGCTAAGAACCCTGGCGCCAATGCCACAAACCTCCCGCCCCCGCCCAGAGCCCAGCCAGAGCCCAGCCAGAGCCCGCCCAGAGCCCGCCCAGAGCCGGCGTTGGCCCCGCCCCGCCTCGTGCCGGCCCCGCCTGGAGCCGCCCCGCCCCCGCCCTCCACCGAGTCTCTTAGGTGATGCTGCAGCCAAGATGGCGCCCGCGGCGGCCGTGGCGGCCTGAGCGTGATGCTCCGGGTTCTCGGCGGCGGCTGTGGCCTTGGCCGGGGCCTTGGGTCTCTCCCGGTCGTGAGCGATCAGCGCCTCTCCGCCGGCCGGGCTAGCCGGGACAGAGAGGAGACGGCCACGAAGAGAGGAGGCAGTGAGCAACAGGACGAGACCGCGGCGTCTCCAGCCTCGGTACCATGGCCGGGATCATCAAGAAACAAATCTTGAAGCACCTCTCCAGGTCAGTGAGCGCCTCGGTGTCGGCGCCAGTCGGCCTCCACCCCAGCCCGCACTGGAGTCAGCCTGCGGCTTCGGGGGCGGCGGCGCCTGGCGGCTGTGCGGGAGGCGACCTTCGGACTTCCCCGCTCTGGCCGGGGCAGAGGTCGCGGCCCCGGATCTCTTGTCGCCGGCGGCGCCGGGGGCTGGCCTCACGAATCGGCCCCTGACGCGTCTTCTCCCAGGGTGGGCGCGCGGAGGAGCCCGGAGTGCGGAGCGCGGCGGGCTGGGATCGCTCCCGGCGCGGCGTCTGGGGGCGTCCCGGCTCGGCTCTGTGCGGTACTGAGCGGAGGCTGGAGGTGGCCTGGCGTCACCCAAGTGCCTGGTTAATGTGCTGGGCTCTAACTCGAGTTCGGTGCTCCTTCCCCTTGGAGCAGAGCGGTTCCGTTAACCGAGGGCTTCTGGCGCAGTGTGGACGCTCAGTGGAGGCTGTGTTCTCAGTGGAACGTTAACCTTGTGATTGTTCTGAATTCCTCCCACCTTGGCGTTCCCGCTCTGTGGCATCAGAGGGTGTGCCTGTTTGCACAGTTAGGATTTGTTTTAGGTAAATAAGCAGAGTTCGCAGCTTTGGCAGGTTCTTTCTGGAGTCCTATGAGACCCACATCATTATTACTGAACATTTTTTTTTTTTGGTTTTTGCTCTTTTTCCTCTGCAACTCTAAAATTCAGGGAGTTAACATCTGTGGTGATTAAACCCAAGACATGTCATTCTCTCCATTTCATAACGCGGTTTTAGTCAGAAACATGACTCAGTAAGGCTGGCAGTTTGTTACTGCTCTTGGCTTCTCCGTGTTTGTCTCAAGACACAGGCTAAATGTAGGCTCTTGTTCCAAGTTGTTACCAGCGAACTCAAAGCCCTTGGTTAGGATCCCTTTCTGTTCGATTTGTAAGTTAATTTTAACTAATTTTGGGAAGACACGGGTATGATTATAGACTTGTATAGTAAACATAATTCTTGATTCCCCAGATTGTCTTATACCACAGGTTATATATTGGGAACAGAATTCTACTTCTGTGATTCAGCAAATATTTTCCTCACTTATAATACTGAATAAGATATAGCACTTTTCTTAAAAGTAGCAAAGTATAGCAGCGTGTGTGTGTGTGTGTACATATATATACATATGTACATATATACATATACATATATACACATATATACACATACATATATATGTGTACTACATATATATGTGTATACACTACACATATATATGTGTATATATGTAGTATTTTTTTAGTAGAGACTGGGTTTCACCAGGCCAGGCTGGTCTTGAACTCCCAACCTCAGGTGATCCGCGGTCCTCGGCCTCCCAGAGTGCTGGGATTACAGGTGTGAGCCCCCACGCCCTGCATGAATATGTATTTCTTAATGTTATCACTCATTGAAAAGTTTCTTTTAAAATTATATATATGGCCCAATCTTGAACTATCTTATTTTGGAAGGTTTTATCTATTTTTAATTTATGTCCTCCCGCCTTTCTCATACCCAGCTCCACAAGAAAATACAGATCTGCAGAAAATGATTTGAATGCCTACTTTCTCACTCGTCCAAGGATGATGCTGCATAGCTAGTACCACTCTAGATGCTTGGAAGAAAAGTTAATTCAATCAACAGATAGTGCATTAGAGTTTAATTCTTTTATAGAACTCCATTTGAGAGGGGCTCTTAAAAATTAAGAGCATGCATACCAAAGTATAATAAAAAAAATTAAGAACAAAGATGTAATGGCTTACTGCATGAGATAGAAAACACCCATATATTGAAAATTGAGTCTTTAGGGCTAGTTTTTATTTTATTTTATATATATATATATATATATATATTTTTTTTTTTTTTTTTTTTTTTTTTGAGACAGAGTCTCACTCTGTTTCCCAGACTGGAGTGCAATGGCATGATCTCGGCTCACGGCAGCCTCTGCCTCCTGGCTTCAATCAGTTCTCCTGCCTCAGCCTCCCGAGTAGCTGGGATTACAGGCATGCGCCACCACGCCTGGCTAATTTTGTATTTTTAGTAGAGACAGGGTTTTTCCATGGTGGTTAGGCTGGTCTCAAACTCCCAACCTCAGGTGATCCGCCTGCCTTGGCCTCCCAAAGTGCTGGGATTACAGGTGTGAGCCACCGTGCCTGGCCCTTAGGGTTAGTTTCTAAATCTGTATGATTTGTAATAGCTGTGTGATAAATAGTGTGATGAGGATTTTTTTTTTTTTCAGAGATGAGTTTTTGGGACACTTGAGTTTTCAGTTATTTCATATTTCAAAACATCCTTAACTCAGGTGACTAAAGAGTATCAAATTTTTATTTTTGGTTAATAAGTTAATCTTACTGCTAATTGCTGTCATCTCCTAAGAAAAATAGTTATTCAGAAATCTAAAGGCAGCTCGTAATTGACAAAAGAAGGCAGGTGTTGTGATAAATTATAGTTACTCAGGAAGGAATGAACTTTTGAAATTACCTGGTTCAAGTTTAATTTTATAGAATATCCAGTAATGAAGATGTCACTACATTGACCTAGTGGTCTGGGATACAGTAGAATATAGTTTACCAGGAAATAGTTGAACATACTAGTTTCTAATACTAGACATCATGTGAGGCCTGTGTATGCAACCCATTGCACCTTCTCAAAGGTGACCTTTCCTGACCACAGAGTTTAAAATTGTGAGCCCCCATATTGCCAGTCCTCTTGCTTGCATTATTTTTCTCCATAGCACTCATGCTTGTCTGTCGTACATATTTATTTCTTTATGTATTTTTGTCTTTCTCCACTTAAATGTAGACTCTATGAGAGCAGGGATTTTTGTCTTGAGGCTGGCATAAAGTAGGTACTCAACAACTATTTGTTGCATGAATGTGGATACATAACATGAATGAGCTTACTTTCTCTTACATTGCTTTTTTTTACTGAGGCAAGACTACTGCCAATATTCTTATAGATTTGGGAATGACCAGTTTCCCTGTGGCTTTAGGAGGCAGTGAGTAATTGAATCATTAAATAAATGTGGTGCCTTTGGATCCTGGAAAATAACTAGGAAAATGACCTAGTTCTTACAGGGGTTTATATGAGGGGTCTTCCGGTAAGGAAATAACCCAGTTATTGTATGGGGGGAGGAGTTCTGCCAGTAAGGAGGAAGACTGTGAACCAACATGAGAAAGAGCTCTCATTTTTAGCCTTGAGGTTGAAATATAGTGCAGTTGCAAGATTAAAACCATCTTTGCCTGGATGAAGGGACTTGAGAAGCTGGTATGTTGGGAAAGTATGGAAGAGGAATTGTTCTTAAGAGATTAACAGATTCTTTAACTCAATGCTAAACTATTTGAGAACTGTAAATCTATATACTTGTTCCTTGCCTAATTGTTAGTTTGTATTCCAAACATCTCTCCAGTTGTTAATAAAAAGTTTATCTACTTGAAGAATCTGAAATGAGGACAAGGAGGTGTGTTGGTGGGATGGGGGAGCTTAGAGTAGTGACATTTTTCCAGAGTGAAACAGGAAAAGCTTTTGAAGGAGAAACTGCCCCGATTTTTCAAACTGTAATAGGACTGAATGTATTTTGGGAGGGTTTTCTAGGAGAGTAGTTTTTCACATGGGAATGGAAACTTCTAAAGAGAAGTCGTAACAAATGTGAGAAAGGAAATAAAAGCAGAAGCTACCTTTCAGCTCAAGACATTAGTGTGTGTGTGTGTGTGTGTATGTGTATGTGTATACACATGTACACACCTGTGAACAGGCGCTTGCAAATCGGCAAAGTGGACGTATATTTAATTAAGCCAGGACCTGAAAAGGGGTAGGGAAGTTTTGGATACAGACACTCTCTTCTCCTTCGCTCCCTTAGGCTAAGGGCATACTGTGCTCTGCACAAGGTTTCCTGGGAGTGGGAGTTGACTGGGCAGACATTCACCTCACCTCGGTGGAGTCATCGTATAGTTTAAAGCAGCAGTTGTCAACCAGGGTCAGTTTGTCTTGAGGTGACATTTGGCAGTGTCTGGAGATATTTTTAATTGTCAAGACTTGGAGGGGAGGGTAATACTACTGCCATCTAGTGAATAGAGGCCAGGGATGCTGCTAGACGTTCTACATTGCACAGCATATTCCCTCACAACAAATAATTATTTGCCCAAATGTCAGTAGTTCCGAGATTGAGAAACCAGCTTAAAGTGTACAGGTGTGTGTCGTATGATTGAGCTAGGGTTCTGTGCTAGTAAAGTTGTTTTGCCTGCAAACATCAGAAAGCTGATCTATTTAAGTAAAAAGGGAAATGTAACAGAAAGCAGAAGAATATCTGAACAACCAAATCAAGGAAAGAACAGGAACCAGCTAGCTCCTAGAATCTCATTGGAAGAGTTCTTGGACCTTCCTCTTAAAGTAGCAGCAGGGTTTTTTAACCTTGGCATCATTGGCATTTTGAAATAGATAGTTCTTTGTTGTGAAGGCTGTTCTGTGCATTGTAGGATGTTTAATGTCTCCAGACATTGCCAAATGTCTCATAGGAGGCAAAATTACTCCTGGTTGGGAGCTACAGCTTTAGAGTGCTGGCCTATCTTCCATAATTCCCAGTCTTTGATCTCTCCTGTCAGGTTTCAGAATCCCCTAGAGAGAAAGCCTTTGTGACCCAGTTTTGTCTACCCATGGTTCAATTAGCAATGGCAAAGGGTTGTACAGCAAAAATATGGTAATGGAGAGGGCTATTTTGAGTTAGGCTTGTTGCTCCATTAGTCATCTGTAATAGGCAGTGCACTAAATTAGATTTCCAAGGGCCTCATTTGCTACATTAAGGAAATTGAACTTTATCCTGGGGGTGAGGAGTGACTACTAATAAAGGTAAGAGGGATATGCTCATTAAAGCAGTCTTATTTTTGAAGTCTAGGGTTTAGGAGCAATATCTGGGGTGGAAATACGGAGTCTACAAATGGACTCTGAGTAACTTAAGTAGAAAATGGGGCCAGGTGTGGTGGCTCATGCCTGTAATCCAAGCACTTTGGGAGGCCAAGTCAGGCAGATCACTTGAGCCCAGCAGTTTGAGATCAGTCTGGGAAACATGATGAAAACTCTGTCTCTACCCCAAATACAAAAATTAGCCAGTCTCATAACCTGGTCTCAAAAAAGAAAAAAAGAATATTCATTATGGACATTCAGAAGGGTTAAACACATGCAGGATTTGGTGCCTGAATGGCAAAGTGATGAGAGGGATTAGAGTGCCTCACTTTGTGTTGATGGGATTGGCCACTAGATTGAGGATATATAAGGAAGGGGAGGAGAGGGCGGTAGCTGATAGCCTGGAGAGAAAAGGAAAGAACCGTCAAAGGATTGGGAATGCTATCTAGGTGGAAAAGTAATGGAGTAAAGGAATGAGATAATTGGAAGGGTTGGAGATTTTGTCTGAAACTGTCACATTGAAGTTTAAGATTTTAGAAGTGAAGTAGATCTGGTTTAGGAAAAGCTATCTGAGGCTGGGCGCCGTGGCTTATGCCTATAATCCTACCACTTTGGGAGGCTGAGGCGGGTGGATCACCTGAGGTCGGGAGTTCGAGACCAGTCTGACCAACACGGTGAAACCCTGTCTCTACTAAAAATGCAAAATTAGCTGGGTGTGGTGGCCCATGCCTGTAATCCCAGCTACTCGGGAGGCTGAGACAGGAGAATTGCTTGAGCCCGGGAGGTGGAAGTTGCAGTGAGCTGAGATCGGGCCATTGCACTCCAGCCTGGGCAACAAGAGCGAAACTCCATCTCAAAAAAAATAAAAAAAAAGAAAAAAAAGAAAAGAAAAGCTATCTGATATGGCCATAGAAGTGAGTTGCTGAAGAAAAGTTAAGGTGCATATAATTGGAGATCAATACTGCTAGGTCTAAAATCTTTCCAGTACTGACCATTCCTAAAAGGAAATGCAGTGTAGCTTATTTAGTCTGCCAGACATTATTTTTTCAAATGCTAACTTCACATCATTACTGATAGGCTAATATTTGTATCATAAACTTTTATGGTAAAGCTCAGTAAATAATTTTTGAGAGTTTATGTATTTAACGTTTTTGAGCACATATATATATATGCCACATAGTGGGCATTAGAGATACAAAGATGAGTAAGACATGGCTTCAGTTTGTGGGAAGCTTCAGCGATTCCTATTCTAATATAAGAAGCATGAGTAGGATCACTAACTGTAACCTATTTCTAAATTGGACTACTTGTCTGGCATTGCGGGTGATGTGAAAAAGGAAGAAAAAAATAAAAAAAATTTTATTGCTATATGAAATTTGTTAGATTTTGCAACTAGGAAAAAAACTGATTTAAATATTGTTTTTTGGATTATAAATTTACTTGAGTAGGTTTGAGGTGTTTTTTTTTTTTTTTGAGACAGAGTCTCGCTATGTTGCCCAGGCTGGAGTACAATGGAGCAATCTCAGCTCACTGCAACCTCTGCCTCCTGGGTTCAAGCAATACTCCTGCCCTAGCCTCCTGAGTAGCTGGGATTACAGACATGCACCACCACACCCAGCTAATTTTTGTATTTTTAGTAGAGACGGGGTTTCACCATGTTGGCCAGGCTGTTCTCGAACTCCTGACCTTGTGATCCACCCACTTTGGCCTCCCAAAGTGCTGGGATTACAGGCATGAGCCACCGTGCCTGGCTGACAGTATTCACTTTTAAATAATCTCTAATAATGTGGATTTTGACACTGTATGTACTAGTTGCTTATTTAAAATAATTTAATGAGTGCCTGCCTTGTACCAAATATTGTACCATACTGCTGGGGATGTAGCAGTTAACACACTAGGCAAAGATCCCTGCCCTCGTGGAGTTTACGTTTTAATCAGAAACAGATAGTAAGTACATAAATAGGTGAAATACTGTGTAAGTACAGTATATCAGTGTGTTAAATGCTACTGAAAAAGTAACATAGGGAAAGGGGATGAGAAGTACAATAAATTGGGGATGGAGTTTGCAATTTTAAATCTGGTGATTGGGAAGGCTTAATTGACAAAGCAATATTTGAGGCCGGGTGTGGTGTCTCACCTGTAATCCCAGCACTTTGGGAGGCTGAGGCGGGCAGATCACTTCAGGCCAGGAGTTTGAGACCAGCCTGGCCAACATGGTGAAATCCTGTCTGTACTAAAAATACCAAAATTGGCCGAGCGTGGTGGTGCGCACCTGTAGTCTCAGCTACTAGAGAGGCTGAGATGGGAGAATTGCTTGAGCCCAGGAGGCAGAGGTTGCAGTGAACTGTGATAGCACCACTACACTCCAGCCTGCAGAGTGAGACCCTGTCTCAAAAAAAAAAGAAAGAAAGAAAAAAAAGAAAGCAATATTTGAGAAGAGACCTGAGAGAGATAGTGGGAACAAATGCAAAGGGTCCAGAACTGGGAACTTGTTTGATATTTTGAAAACATACGAAGACCACCAATATAGGTGGAGAGAGTAAAGTGAGAAGAGGAAGATGCGATCAAAGAGAAAACAAGGGCCAGATCATGTGGGACCTTGTAGTGACTTTGACTTTTACTCTGAGATTGGAAGCCACTGGAATGCCTTGAGCCAAGGATCACTCTGGCAGCCATGTGGGAATTAAATAATAGAAGCACAAGGGCAGAAACAGGAACCCAATTAAGAGATGTTAACTATTTAGGTGAGAGAGAAATTGGATTGAACGAAGGCAGATGCAGTGGAGTTGTTGAGATAGTGATAGTCAGGTTCTAGGTGTATTTTGAAGGTAAAGGCAGGATTGACCGACAGGTAAGATGTGGATTGATAGAGAAGAGAGGAGAGCAGTAATGGGTGACCATCCAGAGTTTTTGACATAAGCAACATAAGCAATGGAAAAGGTGGAATTGCTATTAACTAAATCGGAAAATTGGAGAAGACTGCAGGAGGAGCAGGCTTATGGGAGAAGATCAGGAGTTTGTTTTGGATATGTTAAGTTGGATGAAAGTTCGATTTTTTTTTTTTTTTGAGACAGAGTCTCGTTCTGTTGCCCAGGCTGGAGTGCAGTGGCACAATCTCAGCTCACTGCAACCCCTGCCTTCTGGGTTCAAGTGATTCTCCTGCCTCAGCCTCCCGAGTGGCTGGAATTACAGGCAGCCGCCACCATGTTTGGCTAATTTTTTTTTACATTTTTTATTTTTAGTAGAGATGAGGTTTTATCATGTTGGCCAGGCTGGTCTCAAACTCCTGACCTCAAGTGATCCACCTGCCTCAGCTTCCCAAAGTGCTTGGGATTACAGGCCTGAGCCACTGCGCCCAGCCCAAATGTTAGATATTTAATTGGAGATGTCTTCTCTTTTATTTGTGATCTAATTTAGACTATACATGTTTTAGTCTGACAACAATGGAAGTATGTTTGTGGTTATCCTTTGGCTTATGCAATAAACAATTACTGGGAAGCGAATTGTGAGTTGAATTTTCAGGGGTGGATTTTTTGCTATTGTTGTTTTTTTTTATCCTTTTAAGTACATGCACTACAGTAGTCCTCCTCCATGGGCAGCACACTTCAAGACCCCCAGTGGATGCCTGAAACTGCAGATAGTACTGAACGATATGTATATTGTGTTTTTTTCTTTATGTACATCCCTCTGGTAAAGTTTAATTTATAAATTAGTCATGGTCAGAGATTAACAAAAACTAATATGTAATAGAAAAATTGTAACAATATCTGTATATTGTAATAAAAGTTATATGAATGTGATCTCTCTCTTTCTCAAGCTATCGTACTGTACCACAGGTAACTGAGACCGTGGAAAGGGAAATCTTGGGTAAGGGAGGACTACTGTATATAGCAGGTGTCTTTCTCTTTCATATTAATTTCCAACTAAAACCGGATACTGATTCTTGTTGGGTGCTTGGTCTAGGAGATGTTGCAATATTAGCATACTAGAATCCTGGAATCAGAAGGGATTTGTTCCTATCTCAGAGAAGGAAATTATTAAAACATTGACATTTGTGACTTGTCCAAGGTCTCACAGATAGTGTTGAATGGTAAAGTCACTGATCCAGTACCCTTTTCATTGATTTTTCTGTGCTGCCTATTAAGGTGTTTCCTACTCGCCCCCACCCCACCTCAACAGTTTGCTTTTCTTTTTACCCAGTTTTCAACACTACTCTTGTTTTACCATCCTGCTGTAGTATCCCTTAGGAGATTCTTTTATGACTTGAGAATCATTTGACTCTGCGGTCCTTTGAAGTTAGAGGAACATAATGTTTTGACTCAGCATTTCTTGAAAGTTGGGGGATGTCTCAGGCCATTTTATGTTGCTATAAAAGATTATGGGGCTGGGTAATTTATTTTAAAAGACAGGTTTTATTTGTTTATTTATTTATTTATTTTTTTGAGACACAGTCTCACTCTGTTACCCAGGCTGGAGTGCAGTGGTGTGATCTCGGCTCACTGCAAGCTCCGCCTCCCGGGTTCATGCCATTCTCCTGCCTCAGCCTCCCGAGTAGCTGGGACTACAGGCACCCACCACCACCCCCAGCTAAATTTTTTTATTTTTGTAGAGACAGGGTTTCACCGTGTTAGCCAGGATGGTCTCCATCTCCTGACCTCGTGATCTGCCTGCCTTGGCCTCTGAAAGTGCTGGGATTACAGATGTGAGCCACCACGCCCGGCCTATTTATTTATTTTTGAGACAGAGTTTACTCTGTTGCTCAGGCTGGAGAATAGTGGCACAATCTCAGCTCACTGTAACCTCCACCTCTCAGGCTTAAGCAATTCTTATGCCTCAGCCTCCGGAGTAGCTGGGATTACAGTCATGTGCCACCACGCCTGGCTAATTTTTGTATTTTTAGTAGAGATGGGGTTTCACCGTGTTGGCTAGGCTGGTCTCAAGACTCCTGGCCTCAAGTGATCCACCTGCCTTGGCCTCCCAAAGTGCTGGGATTACAGGCGTGAGTCACCACACCCGGCCAAAAAATAGGTTTATTTATAAAGAAAAGAGGTTTATTTAGCTCGTGGTTCTACTGGCTGAGAAGTTCAAGGGCATGGTGCTGGCTTCCAGATAGGGCTTTTATGCTGCATGACAACATAGTGGAGAAGGTAAGGGGAAGTGGACACTTAAAGAGGGCAGAGCCTGAGGGATGTCTTGGCTTTATAACAACCTACGCACGTGAGAACTACTTTATTTTCTGTGAGAACTTACTACTGCAAGAACAATACCAAGCCATTTATGAAGAATCTGCCCCCATGACCCAAACACTTCCTACCTACTAGGCGCCACCTCCCAACACTGTCACATTCGGGATCAGATTTCAACATGAATTTTGGTGGGGACAAATAAACCATATTGAGACTCTAGCGGGAAAACATAATGTCTTTTTTTCTTTTCTTTTTTTGAATAATTTTCCTTTTTTGCAGTATTACACTTTGCTTTAGTACTGCAGTTTAAACACTTTTTAAATAAGTTGATCTCTTATCAATTACATGTGTTTTAAATTCTGCATATTGTATGCTTAGGACAAATAATTTTTTTAACAGTGGGTGTGGCTGGGCACGGTGGTTCACGCCTGTAATCCCAGCACTTTGGGAGGCCAAGGCGGGTAGATCACCTGAGGTCAGGAGTTCGAGACCAGCCTGGCCAATATGGTGAAACCCCATCTCTACTTAAAAATACAAAAAATTAGCCGGGCATGGTGGCGCATGCCTGTAGTCCCAGCTACTCAAGAGGCTGAGGCAGGAGAATTGCTTGAGCCCAGGAGGCGGAGGTTGCAGTGAGCTGAGATTGTGCCCCTGGACTCCAGCCTGGGCAACAGTGAGACTCCACCTCAAAAACAAAACAAAACAGTGGGTATTAGTGGCTGGAGTTTAGTTTGAATGTAAGTTACAAGTAAAAGACTTTTGGTTATTTTCATAAGTGAAAATCGAGTAGTTATATTAAAATCAAGTTATTCAAATAAAATTGAAGCCAGTGTGATTCAGGATATAATTTATTGTTTGGTTTTTCAGACATTATATTCACTAATAGTTTGATTGACAGTTTATTGACTTATTTTAAGATTATTCCCAGCCAAGATGAATGTTGTGTATAAACTTTGAATTTCCATATTAGTCATAAACTAGGTTGAATTTGAACTTTATGCATATTTACTATTTTTCTACCCAAAAATACTACTAAGAAAGAGATCTGGCTTCTTTTTACCACTACCAGTATAGCATCAAATGTTTTCCTTTACTGTTGTCTATTTGTAAATCTTTAAAAAATTTTTTAAATAAATTAAAAATATATATATTTTAAAACTTTAAATTAATTAATTTTTTTTTTTTTTGAGACAGGGTCTTGCTCTGTCACCCAGGCTGGAGTGCAGTGGCATGATTACAGCTCACTGCAGCCTCAACTTCCCAGGCTCTAGCAATCCTCCCACTTCAGCCTCCTGAGTAGTGGGGACCACAGGTGTGCACCACCTTGCCTGGTGAATTATTGTATTTTTGGTAGAGATGGGATTTTGCCATGTTGCCCAGGCTAACCTCAAACTCTTGTATTTGGGAATAAACTTCATGATACCAGAAAATTCAGTGATTTTAAGATATGGCAAAAAACTCTTTCTCTCTCTCTCTCTCTCTCTCTCTCTCTCTCTCTCTCTCTCTCTCTCTCTCCCTCCCTCTCTCTCTCTCTCTATATATATATATGTATGTATGTATGTATGTATGTATGTATTTTTTTGAGATAGAGTTTCATTCTTGTTGCCCAGGCATGGAGCGATCTCAGCTCACTGCAACCTCCACCCCCTGGGTTAAAATGATTCTCCTGCCTCAGCCTCTCAAGTAGCTGGGATTACAGGTGCTTGCCACCATGCCCAGCCAGTATTTTTGTTTGTTTGGTTTTAGTAGAGACAGGGTTTCACCATTTTGACCAGGCTGGTCTCAAACTCCTGACCTCAGGTGATCCGCCTGCCTTGGCCTCCCAAAGTGCTGGGATTACAGGCATGAGCCACCGCGCCCAGCCCCAACTTGTTACTTTTGCTGTGCTGCAACTTTATATATAACTGAAATGCACTATAAAGAGGGGCATCCATAAAATGTAAGATTTATCTTATTTTTAAAGAATATAGGTATTACTGAGTATGATTTTGATTATCTCTTTTGGTAGATTGTTCATTCCTACCAGTACTTAAGGAAGGTTCTGTAAAATATACAAATAAAATTAAGATATAGGAATGTCTTCTGGAAACAGTCTGGTAGATGAGTGAATAAATAGAATTCAAGATAATGAATCTTATGAGAGAGTCACAAGCAAAACGCTATGCAACCTTAACAGAGAGACGGTGAAACAGAGGTGGTCTGAATGTCAGAAAAGCTTGTAAAGAAATAATGAAATGAGGCCGGGTGTGGTGGGTCACACCTGTAATCCTAGCACTTTGGGAGGCCAAGGCGGGCGCATCACTTGAGGTCAGGAGTTCAAGACCAGCCTGGCCAACATGGTGAAACCCCGTTTCTGCTAAAAATACAAAACAATTAGCTGGGTGTAGTGGCGCATGCCTGTAATCCCAGATACTCAGGAGGCTGAGGCAGGAGAATCACTTGAACCAGGAAGTGGAGGCTTCAGTGAACCGAGATCGTGCCACACTGCACTCTAGCCTGGGCAACAGAGTTAGACTCCATCCCAAGGGGGGGAAGAAAAAGGACATAAATGACAGCTTGAGAGTAATAAAATAGTTATTAAATCTATTTTCCTGGACTAGAGCGTGTATACAAAGGAAATATTTAAGGCAAATATCCAGAGAAGTTAAGGGTAATTTTTTAGGTCCTCCAAATTTGGCTGCAATTTTAATTTCCAATATTACAGTTTTCTCCTTTTTTTCCACCCATGTTTTGTTGTCTTATTCCTGCAGCCAGATTGTCTGTATCTCTTCATAATAGGCCTTCTTCTCTCAGCTTTATTTTAGTAGTACATTTTCCATGGGCAGCTTTAATGAGGCTAATCATTGGCCTCCTCCATTTTAAAACTCCTTTAGGTCTTAAAGCATATCCTGTTTGTTTTATTAAAACAAATGCCTTGTTTTTTGTTAATTGTGTGGATAGTCATCTCTTTAAGGGCAGAATCGCCCTGGCAATGTTTTAGAAGCCAGGGACTTTGCTTGTCTTGTTCACCGTTGTATCTTTAGCATCCGCCACAGGACTGCAGTACATAGTAGTTGTTCAAAAACATTTTTAACTGACTGGAGAAATAAATTTGTACTACTTTGGCCTCCATAGAATACATAGAACATAAATTGGTTGCTCTGAATACATTTTTGGCAGGTTTAACTAGTTGAATCATATCCGGAAAATTTAGATTAAAAGCTTTTCTCCCCCCACTATGAATACTATAGTTTTCCAATTTATTTTTGAGTATATAGATATGGCCTATTGCTGGATATCTCTTTGGTTTGTGGATTGTTTTTTATGGCTAGCTTTATGCCTCAGTATTCTCGGTGAAATGAGAATTACAGTTAAAAGTGGGGGTTTTGTCACTTAAACCAGTTTGATAATCTGTATGTGTAGACTGCTTGCTTTGTAGATTGCTTATCTTAATTGATTTCATTTAATGTAAATTATACAGTTCAGCTTTTGTATAACTTCTATGACATAGTATCTCATTTTTGTTAATTGACAGTTTAATATAAAATTAAAAAGATAATGTGAATGTAATTGGGGAGTAGTAGTAACAGTGACAGAGAAAATGAAGAAAATCTTAAATGGTTAATTCATCTTAGAATTTAGGCAGTTTGCCTTTAGTGAATCCAGTGTGAAATGCAACTGTTTTTTTTTTCCAAAGGGCACCACAGCTAAATTTTTTTAATCATCATTCCTTTCCTCTTCCTTCCCTTAAACTTGCTCCCTTCTGTGTCCCCTGTGTACCCATTCCCTGCAGCGTTCCCTGCTGGCTGTGGTGGAGATTGGTGTGCTGTGAATTGCATAATCACCCAAATGAGTACCAGAGGAGTCTAAGAAACCCTGGCAACTGACTGCTTGCTTTCACCAGGAATAGGGACCTTTTTCTGAATTTCCTGCCCTCAGGTAATACTTCTATTCCCCATGCTTTTTTTTTTTTTTCATTCTATAAATGCAAGCACTTAATATGCCCTGCATAAAGATACTTTGAGAATATTTTCTTACTGTTTTAGTCAGATACCTATTTCATTTTCTTTACTATGTAGCTAGAGGCTCATGTAATTCCTCTCTGAGTGTCTTCTCTTTCTTTTTTTTGAGACTGAGTCTCGCCCTGTAGTCAGTGTCTTTTCTAATAGATAAGGTTTGGCAACATACTTAAAGTTATAACCATCTCTTCCTGATGTTGCAAGAGAGTTTTGTAACTTCCTGCCAGCTGTTTGGAAATAGTAGTTAGCATTTGATCTACTTTTAAATGAATGGGTAAGGCTTCTTAGTCTAATGTAATTAGTGAGGTACAAAGTCTCCTTTGATAAAGAGGCTGTTTTGAATAATTCATTCATCATTGAGGGATTTAAGAATTTATTTTGTGTATTTAATGATAGTTATCTTTATCAAAGAGATTGAAATAAGTCTCACAAACAGCAGTGCAAATGGGATTCTTTTTTTGTTTTTTGAAGTGGTAGGGGTGGTGGGGGGAAAAGGTGTTGCTCTGTTGCCCAGGCTAGAGTGCAGTAGTGCAGTCACAGCTCATTATAACCTCAAACTCCTGGTCCCCAGTTATCCTCCTGCTTCAGCCACCAGAGTAGCTGGGACTACAGGCATGTACCCCATGCCTGGCTGAGTTTTTAAATTTTTATAGAGATGAAGTCTCACTATGTTGCCCAGGCTGGTCTCAGAGCTCCTGGGCTCAAGCAGTCCCCCCACCTAGGCCTCCCAAAGTGCTAGGATTACAGGTATGCACCAGCATGCTCTGCCAGGATTCATTTTTGAAGAATTTAAGGGTTTTACAGCATTCTCTTCTACCCTCTCCTGTCTTTTTAAAAATTTCATTATCAGGGAAAGCAATTATGTTATAAAACCAGGTTATTGGAAATGGTGCTGAATTTCTTTCAATTTAGGACTCAATGAAAAACCTAGAAACTCATATCACTGAATACTTCTAATTCTTGGGAAATTTATCCACATAAATACTTTGAACTTCCAAAAGTCTTGTAATAAATTGTTAATTAAATGCCACAAGTAGAATTGTGCAACTTATTACATACTTACCTAAGAGTAATGGACAAATGAGAAACTTATTGGCTATATGCTAAAGCAATTGTATAGGCCTAGTGGCCTAAATATTGTTTTACGTTCTTGCCTGCATTGATTCCATGCTTTCATTTGGGAACCTGGATCTCAAACAGAATTGCCAAGGGAAAGGTGCCAAGCTTTAACCTCAGGTGGAAACCTTTGAGATTCACTTTAGTATATTAATAGTTAAGGTCTTTTATTGTTTAAAATGGCTTTCAAGGATGGTTCTGATTTTGTGTATACCTCTAGCAAATCCTCTGAGACGCTTGCTCGTGAAGTATAATCACAAGTGTAGCCCTTTGTTTTTTCTAGATTATACCTCCTTAAAACATATCTTTTTTTTTTTTTGGCCTGGTTTATGCTTAGCTTATTCAAGGTGAAGTGTTATGATTGTATTCCAAGTTTTAACCACAGCTATCCATGTGTTTATTCAAATCACCTACCAAGATTCATTCCTTTTTCTTCTTTACCTTCCTGTTTTAATCAGTCATGATTACTTTATATTGAAATAACTATTGAACTTATCTTCTTTATCCTAAACCTAGGACATAGCAGGCTGCTTGGAATAAAGTAGATATCAGTAAGATTTGAATATCTCTCATCACCAGATTTCATTAATTATTTATTGCATCAGTTGTTGCAACTAAACACTGAGTATTTTCATCTCCTTTGGGTCTCATACTTCTGTATTCCATCCTTGGCGCTGTTAAGAGAAAGATGTTTCCAAAATGCTAATCTTAACATTTAATTTCTTGCTAAAAATCTTTTAATGGCTCCTGTTTAAGCTTTTTTTTTAATAAAAAATTTTGTTTATAACAGTAGAATTTTTGTGCCCAAAGAGATTTTAAAAGAGAACTTTACTACATAAAGTAGACAAAAGTAGAGCTCCTCTAGTTGAGTCAGTAATTGGATGGTGGGTGGTGGTGGTTCCTTTGGCATATTCTTTCTTTTTTTTTTTCTCCTCTCACTTGAGTTGAACCATGAGCAGTCTTCTTAGGGGCACTGTGGGAAAAACATTGATGTGTAGGTTAAAACCCATATTCGTTGGCTTGGAAAACAAGAGTCCTTCATGATCTGGCTTCAGTTGGCTTCTCAAGGAATATTGTTTCTTTCCAAACTACCTGAGGCCTTATCTTACATCTGTGTCTACTGTGTGACCCTGTAATCTTGAACGTGCTGCTGCTGCCGCCTCTGAAATGTCCTTCTCTCTGCCTTATTCACTTGACAAAAACTTACTGTTTAAAAACGTAGCTTGAGTGCTGCCTACTTTTATGAAGCCTTCCCAAAGTCTTCTTTACTATTTTCTTTATTTTAATAGATAGCCTTACTCTTTTGCCCAGGCTGTTCTCAAACCCCTGGGCTCAAGTCATCCTCCCACCTCAGCCTCCCAAAGTGTTGGGATTACAGGCGTGAGCCACTGCACCTGGATATCTACTTTACTGTTAAGAGAATTGATCATCACCCTTTTCCTTGTGATTCCATTTTATCCTGTTGCCATTTTTATTGTATGACCTATCACATAGTACCCAGCACATAGTAAGATCATAACATATTGCAATGATTTATTTATATGCTTGCTTCTAATAATAAAATGTGAAGTTCTTGAAAAACAGTAACTATTTCTTATTTGTTTAAATTTCCCAAGAGCCTAATGAGTGACTGGCAAATAGTAGGCACTCAGTTTTTGCTATGAAGGATATATGTCTAGTTGTGTCAGATCTTCTGATATTTCAATAAAATCTGGATGCCCATATTTTCTGCCCTGCCCTGCTCCCCTCACTCTGTTGCCCATGCTGGAGTGCTATGGCGTGATCACAGCTCACTGCAGCCTTGACCTCCCAGGCGTAAGTGATCCTTCTGCCTTACCCTCCCAAGTAGTTGAGACCACAGGTACACCACCATGCTCGGCTAATGTTTTATTTTTTCTAGAGATGGGGTCTCCCTATGTTTCCCAGACTGGTCTCAAACTCTTGCCCTCAGGTAATCCTCCTGCCTTGGGCCTCCCAAAGTGTTGAGATTGTAGTCGTTAGCCACCATACCCAGCCTGATGCCCAGATTTTTTTTTTTTTTTTTTTTTGAGATGGAAACCGGTCGCTCTGTCACCCAGGCTGGAGTGCAGTGGCGCAATCTTGGCTCACTGTAGCCTCTGCCTCCCGGGTTCTAGCGATTCTCCTGCTTCAGCCTCCCTGAGTAGCTGGAATTACAGGCGTGTGCCTCCATGTCTGGCTAATTTTTGTATTTTTAGTAGAGACGGGGTTTCACCATGTTGGCCGGGCTTATCTGGAACTCCTGACCTCGGATGATCCGCCCATCTCGGCCTCCCAGAGTGCTGGGATTACAGGCGTGAGCCACTGTGCCCGGCCTCAATGCCCAGATTTTAATGTAAGGTCTACCCATATATATATATATATGGACCTTAATAAATAAATATAAATATATATATATATATATATATATATATATATATATATATATAAAATTTTTTTTTTTTAAGGCAGGGTCTCACTCTGTCACCCAGGTGGGAGTATAGTGGTGTGATCATAACTCAATGCAACTTTTAACTCCTGGGATCAAACGATCCTTCTGCCTCAGCCTTCCAAGTGGCTAGGACTACAGGTGTGTGCCACCATGCCCAGCTAATTTTTATTTTTATTATTATTATTTTTTGAGATGGAGTCTCACTCTGTTTCTCAGGCTAGAGTGCAGTGGAGCAATCTTGGCTCACTGCAACCTCTGCCTCCTGGGTTAAAGTGATTCTCCTGTGTTAGCCTCCTTGAATAGCTGGGATTACAGGCGCGTGCCATCACGCCCAGCTAATTTTTTTGTGTTTTTAGTAGAGATGGGGTTTCACAATGTTGGTCAGGCTGGTCTCGAACTCCTGAGCTCGTGATCTACCCTCCTCAGCCTCCCAGAGTGCTGGGATCACAGGCGTGAGCCACCATGCCTAGCTAATTTTTATTTTTTTTAATATTTTGTAGAGACAGGATCTCTGTGTTGCCCAGGCTGGTCTCAAACTCCTGGTGTCAAGCAGTCCTCCTTGCCTCAGCCTCCCTTAGTGCTGGGATTACAGGCGTGAGCCACTGTGCCCTGCCTAGGTCTACCCATTTTTAATGGTTTTTATTTATTTATTTGAGAGACAAGGTCTCACTCTCTCTCCCAGACTGGAGTGCATGGTGTTATCATAGTGCACACTTAAATGCAGCCTCAAACTTCTTGGCTCAAGTGATCCTCCTGTCTCAGCCTCTGAAGTAGCTAGGTCTACAGGCATGCACCACCATGCTTGGCTAATTAAAAAAAAAAAAAAAATTCTCGTAGAGATGGGGTCTTGCTATGTTTCCCAGGCTGATCTTGAACTCCTAGCTTCAAGCAGTCTTTCTGTCTTCGGCCTTCCAAAGTGTTGTGGGTACAGGCATGAGCCACAATGCCTATCCTATTTTAAAGGTTAACAACAAATTGAGATTTTTAAAAACACTGTGTGGGCCAAATAGTATCTGTGGGCAGACAGCTCACAGGCTGCCAGTTTGCATTCTTTCATTCTTTAAATGTTTATTTGGAAAAACTGGTTATATGAGATTGATTTTTTTTCATTACACGCATAATTACAAAAATAACCAAGCCAGACAAACTCTGTGTAAATTGAGAATGCATTTAAAAAAAAAAAGGCAGTTTAAACCATTGGGAGCATACTTTGATTCTTGTTCCATTAATATTTTAGGTTTTAGTTTAAAAAATTTATGCCTTGACGTTAATCAAACTCAAAGAGCCTGTCCGTCAGAAGTTCTGGAGGCCCAGACTTGCAATGGGTTTGGTGGGCAAGGACTGGGGTGACGGAGGGCAGTCTTGGGACTGAGCCCTCAGCCTGTGGGATTTGGGATCTGATACCATCTCCAGATAGACAGTGTCTGAACTGAATTAGAGGGCACACAGCTGGTGTCCACTGCTTGGTGTGTGGGGGAGAAAACTCCACGCACACGGTCACAGAATTTTTCTGTGTTGATGATTATTGTTGTGTGAGCAGAGGAAAAACATCGTTAGAGAGTTTCCCTATACACTACAACACTCAGTTCCTTCTAAAATACCATTTTTTTAAATTGTTTTTGGCTCTGTCTGCCCTGACTATAGTAAGCCCTATAGGGCAAAGATCTTTGTCTGTCTGTTCTCTCATACATCCCAAGCACCCAGATTGGTGTCTGCCACATAGTAGGTCCTCAGTTAATATTTGTTGAATGTACAATACCTTTAATCTCTCAGACACTCTGCTAGGGACTGAGGACAAGATCCCTGCTCTCTTGGAGCTGATCTTCTAGTTGGGGAGAGGCAAACATGTAAGAAGGCAAGTAATTGCAAATTCTAATAGACCAGGAAGATCAAAGTGGATGAAGCGAGCAGAGCATGGGATGGGAGGAGAGAGGAGAGAAGCTGCTCTGAAGGGGTGATGAATTAGGGTAAACCTAAGAGATGAGAAGGATGAGAGGGTGAAAAGCATGCCAGGCACAGGGAGCTGCATGTCCAACTGTTCTCAGGGGAGAAAGTTTGGCCTTCTCTAGGAACAGACGGAGAGAAGGCAAGGGATCCTAAGGGAGATGGTGCAAGGGCTTTTGGGGAGTTTGGGGTTTATCCAAAATGTAGTAGAGAAGAGGGTTCTTGAAGAGTTTTCAGCAGGGATGGGACATGTGGGATTTGTGTAAAGCAGGGAGCAAACTATGGCTCAAGGGCCTGCTTTGGCTCACTGCCTGTTTTTGGAAACAAAGTTTTATTGGATCACAGACACACCATTAGTTTTCTTAGGAGCTACAAAGGCAGAATTTATGAAAAAAGAAAATGTTTATGCCTGGAATATATGCTAAGTCTTACAAATTTACACTGAAAGCTCCTTGAGGGTAAGAGTTGCCATATATTGCTACAATGCCTAGTAAATGCTCAGTAAATATGGTTGAACTGAAAATTTATCAGTATGATAATGGAATGGTAACTGATCCTAAAATACCTCTTAAACTAAAATTGTACAGGTTTGATTATAGTCTGGGCTCTACTTTAGTGTGACCTTCAGCATTTGACTTAACCTCTCTAGGCTTCATATTCTCTACTATAAAATGAGGAGGTTGGATTAAATTATTTGATATTCTTTGTAGTATGAGGACTGCCTATGGCTCCACTTTTTTAAGCTTAAAATTGCTTCTAATATCTCCATTGGATGGCAGATGCAATGGGGTGGTTTTCAAAAGGCCATGGTTCTAATACCTTATATATTTTTATTCCATTGTATTTTATTAATAGTTAACAAGTTCATTTATTTTATTTTATTATTTGAGATGGAGTCTCACTGTGTTGCTCAGGCTGGTCTGGAACTCCTGGGCTTAAGTAATCCCACCTTAGCCTCCTGAGTATCTGGGATTACAAGCAGGCACCACCATGCCTGGCTAAATTCATTATTTTTTAAGATATTTATATATACACATATATGTGTGTGTATATATATAGTATGTATATATCTTATTTGAACAGCTTTATTAAAATATAACTGATTTATAGGCAATACACTGCACATATTTAAGGTGTACAATTTGATGACTTTTTTTTCTTGAGACGGACTTTCGCTCTTGTTGCCCAGGCTGGAGTGCAGTGGCACGATCTCAGCTCACCGCAGCCTCCGCCTTCTGGGTTCAAGCAATTCTCCTGCCTCAGCTTCCCAAGTAGCTGGGCTTATAGGCGGGCGCCACCACGCCCGCTAATTTTGTACTTTTAGTAGAGACAGGGTTTCACCATGTTGGTCAGACTGGTCTCAAACTCCCGACCTCAGGTGATCCGCCCTCCTTGGCCTCCCAAAGTGTTGGGATTACAAGCTTGAGCCACCATGCCTGGCCTGATGAAATTTTAACATATATGTAATCATAATACCATTACCATAATTAAGAAAATGAATATTCACCACCCTCAAAAGTTTCCTCATGCTCCTTTGTAATCCTCTCTCTCCTTCTGCCTCATTCCTGGGCAACCACTGATCTACTTTATATCACTTAGGTTAGTTTGCATTTTCTGTTTTTTTTTTTTTTTTTTTCCATGAGATGGAGTTTCACTCTTGTTGCCCAGGCTGGAATGCAGTGGCACTATCTCAGCTCACTGCAACCTCCACCTCCCAGGTTCAAGTAATTTTCCTGCCTCACCCTCCCGAGTAGCTGGGATTACAGGCATGTGCTACCACACCCCACTAAAAATTCTGTATTTTTAGTAGAGGCAGGGTTCCTCCATGTTGGTCAGGCTGGTCTCAAACTCCTGACCTCAGGTGATCCGCCCACCTCGACCTCCCAAAGTGCTGGGATTACAGGCGTGTGCCACTGTGCCCGGCCTAGTTTGCATTTTCTAGATTTTTATATAAATATGCATTTTTTCCTGGCTTCTTTCACTCAGCATTATTATCTTGCAATTAATCTATTTTATCGTATGTGTACATTCTTATTGCTGATTATTCTATTGTGGATATACCACAATTTATCCGTTTACCTTTTGATAGATATTTGGGTTGTGTCCGTTTGTCAGCTATTAGAAATAAAGCTATTATGAACATTCGTGTATAAATCTTCGTGAGGACATAGGCCTTTCTCTCTCTCTCTCTCTCTCTTACATAATTGTATGTGCTATGTTTTCATATGAAGGTCCTAAGCTTTTCATTCCTTTTAAGTAAATTCTTAGTAGTAGAATGGTTAGGTATATGCTAGGTATATGCATCACTTTAAAAACAAATTCCAAACAGCTTTCCAAAGTGGTTTCAACTTGTTCATTTTACATTCTCACAAATACGTATATGAGAGTTCCAGTTGCTCCATATCTTCACCAATACTCAGTATAGTTAGCCTTTTTAATTTTAGCTATTTTAGTGGATAAGTAGTGGTATCTTACTGTGGTTTTTAATTTGCAGTTTTCTAATGACTAATGTTGGGCATCTTTTCAAGTGCCTATCTGCCATCTGTGTCTTCTTTGGTTCCAAGGTCCCTTTAAATCTTTTGCCTATTTTATTTTTTATTTTTATTTTTTTCTTTTTTGAGATGGAATCTTGCTCTGTCACCCAGGTTGGAGTGCAGTGGTGCGATCTTGGCTCACTGAAACCTCCACCTCCTAGGTTCAAGCAATTCTGCCTCAGCCTCCCGAGTAGCTGGGATTACAGGCGCCTGTCTCACGCTCAGCTAATTTTTGTATTTTTAGTAGAAATGAGGTTTTGCCATTTTGGCCATGCTGGTCTCAAACTCCTTATCTCAGGTGATCCGCCCGCCTAGGCCTCCCGAAGTGCTGGGATTACAGGCGTGAGGCACCACGCCCAGGCCTTTTGCCTGTTAGTGAATTGTCTTACTTTCAAGTTGTAAGAATTTAAAAAAAATTGTAGGTACAAGTCTTTTTTCAAATATATGCTTTGGAAATATTTTTTCCCAGTCTATGGTTGCCCTGTAGTTACAGTGTCTTTCAAAGGGCAGAGGTTTTAATTTTGATCCACTAACTTATTTTTTTCTCCTATGATTTGTGCATTTTTTGTTGCGTTAAATCTACCAAACTCAAGGTTACTAATATTTTCTTCAGGAGTTTTTAAGTTGTAGTTCTTAGATTTAGGTCTGTGATAATTTAGAGTTAATTTTTGTTTATGGGGTGAGGTAAAGGTCAAGGATTTTTTTGTTTTTTGTTTTTTTTGCATATGGCTGTAACATCATTCTGGTACCACTTCTTAAAAATATTATTTTCATTGACTTGTTTTTGCACCTTTGTTGGAAATTAGCTAACCATGAATTTGGGTCTTTTTCTGGACTCTGTATTTTGTTGCATTTATTATTTATTTACACCCACCATTATCAGACTGCCTCGATTACTGTAGCTTTTAGATAAGTCTTGAAATTGGCAGTATAATGTTTCCAACTTTGTTCATCTTTTTCAGAGTTATTTTGGATATTCTAGGTCTTCTACATTTTCATGAAAATTTTAGAATCAGTATGTCATTTCTCTCAAAAAAGAAGCCTGCTTGGGTTTTGCTTAGGGTTGCCTTGAATCTGTAAGTCTTTTTGAGAGAATTGATGACATTTTAACAGTATTGAGTTTAATCCACTAATATGTTTTATTTCTTCATTTATTTAGATCTTCTTCAATTTCTTGCAACAGTATTTTGTAGTTTTCAGTTTCTAGGTCTTGCACACCTTTTGACAAATTTATCCCTAAAAATTTCATATTTCTTATGCTAATGTTAATGGTAGTTTAAAATATTCAGTTTCTGATTGTTGCTACATATAGAAACATAATTTATTTATTTATTTTTTTATTTTATTTCATTTTTGAGACAGAGTCTGGCTCTGTCGCCCAGGCTGGAGTGCAGTGGCGCGATCTCGGCTCACTGCAACCTCCGCCTCCTGAGTTCAAGCAATTCTCCTGCCTCAGCCTCCCGAGTAGCTGGGACTACAGGTGCATGCCACTAAGCCCAGCTAATTTTTGTATTTTTAGTAAAGACAGAGTTTTACCATGTTGGCCAGGCTGGTCTTTGAACTCCTGACGTTGTGATCTGCTCGCCTTGGCCTCCCACAGTGCTGGAGTTACAGGCATGAACCGCAACACCCAGCTGATTTCTTTATTATAATTTTTATTGAGTGAAATTTACATACAATAAAATGAATAAACTTTCCATAATCAGCTCTGATTTTTTAAAAATAAGCTTTTAATCTTAGAATAGTTATGGATTTATAGAAAGGTTGTGAAGATAATGCAGAATTCTCATACCCAACATTTAGTCTCTCTTACTATTAGCATTTTACATTCATATGGTTCATCACAATTAACTAATGTTGATAATTATTATAGGCCATACTCTGTTCAAATTTCCTTAGTATTTCTTTTACCCAATGTCCTTTTTCTATTCCATGGTCCCATTCCAAATATATTACATTTAGTCATCATGTCTTTTTAGGCTCCTCTTGGTTGTGCCCATTTCTCAGACGTTCCTTGTTTTTGAAGACCTTGAGAGTTTTTTGTTTTGTTTTGTTTTGTTTTGTTTTGAGACGGTCTCACTCACTCTCCCAGACTGGAGTGCAGTAGTGTGATTATGACTCACTGCAGCCTCAACCTCCTGGGCTTAAGCAGTCCTCCTGCCTCAGCCTCCTGAGTAGCTAGAACTACAGGCATGCACCACTACACCTGGCTAATATTTTATTTTTTTGGAGAGGCATAAGCCACCGTGCCCAGCCAACCTTGAAAGTTTTGAGGAGACCTGGCCACGTGTTTTGTACAGTGTCCTTCAATTGGGGTTTGTCTGCTGTTTTCCTTTAAAAAAAATACAAAAATTTATATAAAATTACTCATTTTTTTTTCTGGGACCAAGAGAAATGCCAATTTCAACTGTGTCAAGATATCTTTGGTTGCTCTATAAAATCGATACACATAAGTCCAGGATTGATAAGAGTAGTATAAAAAAGGCATTCTTTGTATCTCCTCCACGATAAATCTGTGATTTTAAATCTGATGCATATAAATGAGTCCCCCAGATAACTTCCTAAAATGGAGATTTCTAGGCCCTGCTCCATATCAAGAGCACCAGAATCTCTGGGAATGGGCTTGAAATGGAGTAGTTTTAAAAAGCACCCCAAAGGTCAGGTGCGGTGGCTCATGCCTGTAATCCCAGCACTTTGGGAGGCCACAGCAGGAGGATTGCTTGAGCCCAGGAGTTTGAGACCAGCCTGGGCAACACAGCGAGACCCCATCTCTACAAAAAAATTAAAAATGAGCTGGACGTGGTGGTGCTGGGCATGTTGAGGAGGTCAAGGTGGAGGCAGGGGAGGTGGAGGCAGGGGAGGATCTTAGGAGGTCGAGGCAGGGGAGGATCACTTGAGCCCAGGAGTTCAAGGCTGCAGTGAGCTGTGATCACACCACTGCCCTCCAGCCTGGGCGACAGAACGAGACTGCCTCAAAATAAATAAATAAAAAGTTCTGCAGGTAATTCTGAAGTCACTAGTGTATGTCTACCCTTTTTCTTAGGATTAGATTGGCATTAGGGGTTTTTGGCAAGGAGACCACAGAGGTTAGTTAAGAGCTCTTTTTATTATGTCAAATCAGGGGTACATATTATCAACATGTCTTATTGCCGATGTTGACGTTGATAACCTGGCTGATGTAGCATTTGCCAAGTTCTCCACTGTAAAGTTATTCTTTTCCCCATTTTCTTACTGAACATTTTGGAAGGAAGTACTATGTGCAGCCCTCACTAAAAGAATGAGGAGTTATGCTCCACCTCCCTGAGACTAGAATATCTATGTAATTTTTTTGGAACTTTTCTGCCAGGAAGATTTCTCTATTTTCTCCAAGTTATTTATTTATTTAATCATATGTTTATATTAGTGTAGACTTCTGTATTTTTGTTTTATAGTTTGTGTTATTATCCAGTACTGTTTTATTTATTTTGTTGCTCAGATTCTTTCAGCTTTGGCTATTGGTAATTCTTTCTTACGGCTCCTCTGTCCCTTCAACTGATTTATTTTTATATTGGCCTTATATCCTGCAACATTGCTACACTCATTTTTTAGTTCTGGCAATGTCTTTAATAATTCTGTATGATTTTCTACACAGGTGATCATGTCATCTGGGAAAAAATAATTTTACTACTTTTCAAAACCAGATGCCTTTTATATATTTTTCTTACCTTATTGTGTTGGCTAGAACCTTCAATACATTGTTGGAAAAAAGTGATGAGAGCAAACACCCTTGCCTTGTCCCTGTCTTAGGGGAAAAGCAATTTTAGTCTTTTCTCATTACACGTAATTTTAGCTGTAGAGTTTTTGTAGATGTCCTTTAGAGTTTTGGGGAAGTTCTCTTCTGTTCCTGTCTTGTTGAGAGTTATTTTTTCATGAATGGGTGTTGACTTTTGTAAAATGCTTTTTTGGGCTCTATTGAGAACATGATGTAATTTTACCTTTTTTTTTCTTTTCTTTTTTTTTTTTTTTTTTGAGACAGGATCTTGCTCTGTTGCCCAGGCTGGAGTGTGGTGGTATGATCTAGGCACCAACTCCACCTCCTGGGCTCAAATAGTCCTCTCACCTCAGCCTTCTGAGTAACTTGGACTACGGGCCCCTGCCACTATGCTTAGCTAACTTTTAATTTTTTGTACAGATGAGGTCTCACTACTTCTGGGCTCAAGCCATCCTCCCACGTCAGCTTCCCAAAGTGTCAGGATTACAGCCGTGAGCCACTGTGTCTGGCTAGATTTTACTTTTTTTTTTTTTTTTGAGACAGTCTCATTCTGTCACCCGGGCTGGAGTACATTGGCACCATCTCGGCTCACTGCAACCTCTGCCTCCTGGGTTCGAGTGATTCCCCTGCCTCAGCCTCCTGAGTAACTGGGATTGCAGGTGTGCACCACCACACCCAGCTAACTTTTTTTGTATTTTTAGTAGAGATGGGATTTCATCATGTTGGCCAGGCTGGTCTTGAACTCCTGACCTTAGGTGATCCGCCTGCCTTAAAGTGCTGGGATTACAGGCGTGAGCCACCTCGCCTGGCCTAGATTTTACTTTTAATGTGGTGAATTGCATTAGTTGGTTTTTGGTTTTAAACCAGCCCTCATTTCTAGAATAAACACTTGGTCAAGATGTATTATACTTGTGTGTTTTTTTTGTTTTTTTGTTTTTTTTTCCCAGACAGGATCTCACTCTGTCACCAAGGCTGGAGTACAGTGGCACGATCACAGCTCTGCAGCCTCAATCTCCCGGGCTTGAGGGATCTTCCTACCTCAGTCTCCCAGGTAGCTACAGGCGTGTGCCACCGTGCCTAGCTAATTTAAAAATTTTTTGTAGAGACAAGGTCTCACTATGTTGCCCAGGCTTGCCTGAAACTCCTGAGCTAAAGTGATCCACCTGGCTTTGGCCTCCCGAATTGCTGGGATTCCAAGTGTGAGCCACGACGCCCGGCCTATACTTACTTATTGTTTTAAACTTTAGTTCATACCTTGGCTTGTGAAATCATTTTAGTTATGATCACTATTTTATTTTTTGAGACAGAGTTTCACCCTGTCGCCTAGGCTGGAGTGTGGTGGTGTGATCTCAGCTCACTGCAACCTCTGCTTTCCAAGCTCAAATGATTCTTCTGCCTCAGCCTCCCAAGTAGCTGGGATTACAGGCGCCTGCCACCACATCTGGCTAATGTTTGGTATTTTTAGTGGAGACGGGGTTTCGCGTGTTGGACAGGCTGGTCTCGAATTGCTGACCTCAGATGATCCACCCACCTTGGCCTTCCGAAGTGCTGAGATTACAGGCGTGAGCTACTGCGCCTGGCCGATCACTATTTTAAAAGACTGTAATAGAACATATCAGACGATTAAAATACTGCTTCATGAAATTTTGCACCTTTTTTTTGTATCCTTACGAAATTGTTATGTATAGTGTATTTCTTGCCTTAGGTTATGTAAAAAAATTTGAAAATCCCTTAACTAATTCACATTGTGAGCCTGGAGATAATCAAGTACCTCAAATAATGAAGTGTTGTATTAAAAGAGGTACACCTGGAGTGACAGGAGTGTAGGTGATTAAAAGAGAAAATGAGGAAATAGGAGTTTCTGTAGAAAAGCCTTGATCTGTTTCTTAGTTTTGATTGAAGGGATCTTTATGGTTGCATGATGAGGCCCATGGGCTGTGAAAGGATTTAATTAGTTACAGATAATAACTTAGTGATCCAAGCCAAAGTACTTGGCAGTCTGTCAGATTTGGGCAAGTTTTTCTGAAAACATCTTCTCTTGTATGACTTTAAAATGTGGCTTTAAGGTATTTTCCCATCTGAAAGTATTGTTTTGAATAAAATCAAACAGAAGCTGTTAAATTCATTTGCTTGCATACACATACTGGTTCTTATAAAACTCTTCATATGATAATGAGAATTTCATCCTTGTAGGGACACACAGTCTTGGGATACTAGCTAGTGATGTCAATTACTGGTTCATATTAAGGATTTGAATTGGGTCCAGTTGAGAAGAATGGAAAATGGTGGAGAATAATCTTTTCAGTACCTTTCAGTTCTAAACGTTGTGGCTATGTGTTTCTCAGTCACTCTCCATTATTAATTTATAAGTTTGATCCCAAAGTAGTCTATTTGTTTCAAATTTCTGGAGGAAAGAATATGATCGAATAGCCTAGATGCCATGTCAACCTGTAGATCAATCACTATAACCAAGGAAGTATGTTAAAAAAATCTTAGATGTGCATCTTTCCCCTGTATATACAGTTTTTCCCAGAGAAGAATGAATCACTGTTAGCTGGGTAGCCACTCCAAGAGGTATTTATTAATAACAAGCTAAATAATTGAATTATAACCATTAAATATTGAATTACAGTGCTGAAATAATTTACTTTCTAGGTGACTAAAATTAATCATTTTCTTTAAGGCAGTGGTTCTTAGCATATTCTGTGTCCAAAAACCCCCTTTGAAAGTCTGATAAAATATTGTAGACTCCTTGAAGCCCATCTAATACCTGCAGATCAAGAGTGCCTACTTTTTAAGTTTATTAATTAAACAATCTAACATGCATTGTTAAATTCCCTGTAACATCTAGTTTTTCATGTTATACCATGAAATATTGTATAATGGGAATTGTTTTTCTCTTTTTTTTTTTTCTGAGACAGGGTGTCTCTATGTTGCCCAGACTAGTGTCAAACTCTTGGCCTCAAGTTATCTTCCTACCTTGGCCTCCCAAAGTGCTGGGATTAGAGGCCTGAGCCAACCTGTCTGGCCTATATCTTAGTCTTAATAATAGTGAACACTTACTGAGTTATTACTCATATTGGGGATCATAACTAGCATTTTACATGTTCTGAGTTAATCCTTAAAACAACTCTGTGAGGCAGGTACTATTATCCCCATGTTACAGATGAGGAATCTGAGATATAGGTTAAATAGTAAGCAGTAGATAGCATTTTACCTCTTGTTGAGATGAGATTTTTTTTTTACACAGAGTCTTACTCTGTCTCCCAGGCTGGAGTGCAGTGGGGCAATCTCAGCTCACTGCAACCTCTGCCTCCTGGGTTCAAGTGATTCTCCTGTCTCAGCCTCCAGAGTAGCTGGGATCCACACCCAGCTAATTTTTCTGTATTTTTAGTAGGGACGAGGTTTCGCCACGTTGGCCAGGATGGTCTCGAACTCCTGACCTCAGGTGATCCAGCCACCTCAGCCTCCCAAAGTGCTGGTATTACAGGCATGAGCCACCGCACCCGGCCGAGATGAGATTCTTTTTGTGTGTGTGACAGGGTCTTACTCTGTCATCCAGGCTGGAGTGCAGTGGTGCTATCATGGTTCACTGCAACCTCGACCTCCTGGGCCCAGGTGATCCCCCCACCTTAGCCTCATGGGTAGCTGGGACTACAGATGCATGCTACCATGCCTGGCTAAGTTTTGTATTTTTTGTAGAGATGGGGTTTTGTCATGTTACCCAGGCTAGTCTTGAACTCCTGGGCTCAAGCAATCCACTTGCCTCAGCCTCCCAGAGTGCTGGGATTACAGGCATGAGCTCCTGTGCCTAGCAAGCTGAGATTCTTTTTTTTTTTTTTTTTTTGAGATGGAGTCTTGCTCTGTCACCAGGCTGGAGTGCAGTGGTGCAATCTCGGCTCACTGCCACCTCCGCCTCCCGGGTTCAGGCAATTCTCCTGCCTCAGCCTCCTGAGATTCTTGGCTTTTTGTGCATTTATTCTCTGTTCCCTTAACCAAATTATAAATCTTTGATTATATGGACCTTTTTGTTTTGTTTTGTTTTGCCCTTAAATGTTTACTTAGTGCAGTGCACATAATTTAGACCCTAATAATGGTGTATTGATTGTAAAATGTATAATCTAAATCAAGTCTACTTTTTTCATTTGCTTGGAAATTTTATTGCTGTTGTTAGCTATTATTTTTGTTTTTTGTTTTGTCTTTGAGACAAAGGCTCTGTCACCCAGGCTGGAGTGCAGTGGCAAAATTATGGATCACTGCAGCCTTGACCTCCCAGGCTCAAGCAATCCTCCCAGCTCAGTCCCCTCAGTAACTGGGACTACAGGAGTGTTCCACTATGCCTGGCTAATTCTTTTTTAAATTTTTTGTAGACATAGGGTCTCACTAATATAGTCACTCACTAATATATAGACCAGCCCAGGCTGGTCTCAAACTCTTGGGCTCAAGTGATCTTCTTGCCTTGGCCTCTCAAACTGCTGAGATTTCAAGCATGAGCCACTGCTCCTGGCTAAATTACATATATTTTAATCCTCCTCATTTTTCACTTTTGCTCTTGCCAGGCCAGGCTTTTTTGGTTTCCCTTGAACTTTTGTCTTTATAAAAGTGGTACATGCTCGTTATAGAATACTTATACAGAGAAGTATAAATAAGGAGAAGTAAATCTAGGCTGGGTGTGGTGGTTCACACCTGTAATCCCAGCACTTTGGGAGGCTGAGGCAGGAGGATTGCTTGACCCCAGGGATTCGATATCAGCCTGAGCAACATAGTGAGTCCCTGTCTTTAAAAAATAACTAGCTGGGGCTGGGCACGGTGGCTCATGCCTGTAATCCCAGCCAGCACTTTGGGAGGCCGAGGTGGATGGATCACAAGGTCGGGAGTTAGAGACCAGCCTGACCAACATGGTGAAACCCCGTCTCTACTAAAAATACAAAAATTAGCTGGGCGTGGTGGTGCGTGCCTGTCATCCCAGCTTCTCAGGAGGTTGAGGCAGGAGAATCGCTTGAACCCAGAAGGCAGAGGTTGCAATGAGCTGAGATTGTGCCACTGCACTCCATCCTGGGTGACAGAGCAAGACTGTCTCAAAACAAAACAAAACAAACAAACAAAAAAAAACAAAAAACTAGCTGAGCATGGTGGCATGTGCCCATGGTCCCAACTGCTTTGGAGGTGGAGGTTGCAGTGAGCCAAAATCAAACCACTGCACTCTAGCCTGGGCAACAGGGTGAGACCCTGTCTCAAAGTAAATTAAATAAATAAACTAATTAGCTGGGTGTGGTGGTCCCAGCTACTTGGAAAGCTGAGGTGGGATCACCTGAGTCCAGGCGGTCGTGGTTGAAATGAGCCATGATCACACCACTGCACTCCACCCTGGACAACAGAGCGAGACCGTGTCTCAAAAAAGCAAAAAAAAAAAAAAAAAAAAAAAAAATCTAAAACCCCACCAGCCATAGGTAGTCATGGGATTTTATGATGCATTTTTTACATACTTGAAATTATAGCACATAATTTTGTGACTTGAATTTTCATCAAACATTATAATATAAACATTTCTTTATAAGACTGGCAACATATATTACTTGATATGTATGTATTAATAATATAGTGTATTATAATTAGATGGGGTATCCCTCTTGGGACGTTTAGATTGTTTTCACTCTTTTTTTCTTGTAGATATCCTTGAAATGAACATTCTTGTACATACCCAATCAAGGTGTTGCCTGATTTCTTCACTAACCATGCTTCACCTCCATCCCCATATTCCTCCATGCCCAAGACTAAGGATATATAGTCAAATGTTAGAATATATAGTCAAATATTCTGTTTGAGTTACTCAGATTAGTCTGTTGTCCATCCTTCCTTCCCTATAAATATTACAGATAACAGTATTTCTGATATTTTTTCAATTCCACTTTATATCATCTCCCTCCTGTCTTAGAACCTTTATGCATTTTATTCCTCTGCTTGGAATACTTTCTTTCCCTACCCCCTTTTCCTCCTTGCCTAGTTAACTTCTCTTCCTTTAGATACCAGCTCAAAAGTCCCTGTTTCAGAGAAGCTCTGGATTAGAACTCCTGCTATATTCTCTCTTAGTTGTGCCATTTGATCCGTCTCACCAACTAAACTGAAAACTCCACAAGGGCAGGGACCTCAAGTGTACTGCTTCCCAGTATGTGTGTCTGCATAATGAATTCTCAATAAATACTTATTGAGTGTTGTCTTCTGGCTCTAATATTCTGCCTCAGGGAAGTGGCAGGGTTTTTTGTTTGTTATCTATGGTTAGGAATGGCATTCTATGAGAAAGCGTCGTGGTATTGAATCAAGCGTGATCAGAAGCAAGTGTAATACAGCTCAGCATCATTGGTCAAATACATGTGTTAAATGATTGTTGTATTTCTCAGTTGACATCCTGTGAGAAGATATGAATTCAGATAGAATCTGGCTCAAATTCTGGTTTGGAGTCAGTGGAGAAACATGAGTTTATTGATTGGTATTCTTGTTGACAAGTAGGGCATGTGAATAACCCAGTATATAATGTTGCTTTATATTTAATTTCCAAAAAAAGTAAAGACTAACTCTTGTTAGCCAGTAGTTTAGTTTTTTTCAGTAATTTCACTTTTGAAAAATTATTTGTTGGGCATAGTTAGTAATTTTTATTTTTTAGGGTTGTTTGGAAGATAAAGTAATGTATATGAATGTATTTCAAAGTAGATGTGTAATGTATTTTCATTGTTAGTTGTGATATTAGGCAAGTAAGTTCAAGTTTCTCCTTAGGTTTACTTATTCAAAAATTGGGTTAAAATTAGTATAGACCCTAATAGGTTATCATGGGAACTAAATGAAATAGTCACGCATGTATGCCAAGAGCTTGGAACACAGTAAACCCTTGGAAAATGCTCACTCTTACATTAACTATTTCCAATCTTTTTTTTTTTTTTTTTCTGAGACAGGGTCTCACTGTGTCACCCAGGCTGGAGTGCAGTGGCACAATCTCAGCTCACTGCATTCTCCACCTCCTGGACTGAAGCGAAACTCCCACCTCAGCCTCCTGAATAGCTGGGACTACAGGCATGCGCCAACATGCCCAGCTAATATTTTTGTATTTTTAGTAGAGACCAGGTTTCACCATGTTGGCCAGGCTGGTCTTGAACTCCTGCCCTCAAGTGATCCGCCCTCCTCAGACTCCTAAAATGCTGGGATTATAGGTGTGAGCCACGCACCTGGCTGCCTTTATCATTTCTTTGTGTTACAGACATTCCAGTTACACAATTACTTTAAAACGTACAATAAATTATTGTTGACTGTAGTCACTTTGTTGTGCTGTTGAATACTATATCTGTCTTAGTCCGTTTTTATACTGCTATGAAGACATACCTGAGACTGAAGAAAGAAGTTTAATTGGCTTACACTTCTGCATGGCTGGGGAGGCCTCAGGAAACTCACAATCATGGTGGAAGGTGATGGTGAAGCAAGGCATGTTTTACATGGTGGCAGGAGAGAGAGAGAGAGAGAGAGAGAGAGAGAGAGAGAGAGAGAGAGAGAGAGAGAGGAAAACTGCCAGACACTTTTAAATCATCAGATCTTGTGAGAACTCACTCCCTAACTATCATGAGAAACTACCCCCATGATCCAGTCACCTCCCACCAGCTCCTTCCCCTGACATGTGGGGATTACAATTAGAGGTGAGATTTGGGTGGGGACACAGAACCAAACCATATCAGTATTGTATTCATTCTACCTAATTGTATTTTTGTACCCACTACCCATTCCCACCCCTGCTCCCCACCACTACCCTTTCCAGCCTCTGGTGACCATCATTTCTACTCTTGATCTCCATGTATTCAATTGTTTTAATTTTTAGCTCCCACAAATGAACGAGAGTGTGTAAAGTTTGTCTTTCTGTGCCTGGTTTGTTTCACTTAACTGTAGTGTCCTCCAGTTCCATCCATGTTGTTGCAAATGACAGGATCTCATTCTTTTTTATGGCTGAATAATACTCCATCGTGTATATGTACCACATTTTCTTTATCCATTTGTCGTTGATGGACATTATGTTGTGTCCACTCCTATTATATTTTTAGTTCTCTGTATATTTGAAAAAATGACTCTGGAGTATAGTAACTGACACATAAATAAATGTCAATGTGTATTCTCTTTCAGATTTACCAAAAATTTATCTCCTGACAAGATAAATCTAAGTACCCTTAAAGGAGAAGGTGAACTGAAGAATTTGGAGTTGGATGAAGAAGTACTCCAGAATATGTTGGATTTGCCAACATGGCTTGCTATCAACAAAGTTTTTTGTAATAAAGCGTCCATTAGGGTGAGACTTTGATATCTGTGGCTTGATATTTGTGGAAGGCCTTTCATGTTTTCCTTCTATATTTTGGCTCTAGCTTTTAAAATACTTAATTTTAGATAATTGTGTAAAAACATTTTTATTAATATAATTTCAAAAGAAAGATACCTTTGCATAAATGTGTGCCTTATGTGTAAAGGCATATATTAACTACTTTATAGATCTTAATTTTTGTGTAAAGTGATTCCATTAATATTTCAAAATTATTAATTTGTTAATAAAATAATTGCATCCATTTGGTACATGTTCAAAGATAGTTTTTTCATAAGTTTTATTGTCAAATGGGACAATCTAAACTTGTAGTGAGTTGCTGGGCATGGTGGCTCACACCTGTAATCCCAGCACTTTGGAAGGCCGAGGTAGGCGGATTGCTTGAGCCCAGGAGTTTGAGACTAGCCTGGGTAACATAATGAGACTGCATCTATACTAAAAATAAAAATAAAAAAATAGCCCAACATGGTAGCACATGCGCCTGTAGGCCCAGCTACTTGGGAAGCTGAAGCAGGATGATCGGTTGAGTCTGGAAGGGTGAGGCTGCAGTGAGTCATGATTGTGCCACTGCACTCCAGCCTGGGTGACGGAGTGAGACCCTGTCTCAAAACAATTTTTAAAAAGTAGTGAGTAAATACTTTTCAAATGAAGACATGAGAACTAATAAATTTGCAGTTTTATCCCTTTTCTTCATTAGTTTCTTTTTCATTTTGAGATTTTTTTTTGAGACGGAGTCTTGCTCTGTCACCAGGCTGGAGTGCAGTGGTGCAATCTCAGCTCACTGCAACCTCTGCCTCCCGGGTTCAAGCGATTCCCCTGCCTCAGCCTCCCAAGTAGCTGGGATTTCAGGCACGTGCCACCACGTCTGGCTAATTTTTTTGTATTTTAGTAGAGATGGGGTTTCACCATGTTGGCCGAGATGGTCTCAATCTCCTCACCTTGTGATCCGCCCGTGCCCAGCCCATTTTGAGATTTTTAAGGGTCTCTGTTTACTGTTAGTATCATTCCTATTATTATTATTATTATAACTTATTATTCTACTTATCTTTTTTTTTTTTTTTTTTTTTTTGGGAGATGGAGTCTTGCTCTGTCACCCAGGCTGGAGTGCAGTGGCACCGTCTTGGCTCACTGCAGCCTCTACCTCCCAGGTTCATGCAATTCTCCTGCCTCAGCCTTCCAAGTAGCTGGAATTATAGGCGCATGCCACCACACCTGGCTAATTTTCGTATTTTTAGTAGAGATGGGGTTTCATCCTGTTGGCCATGCTGGTCTCAAATTCCTGACAGGTGATCCACCACCCGCCTCTGCCTCCCAAAGTGCTGGGATTACAGTATGAGCCACCGTGCCCGGCTGACCTCTACTTATCTTTAATCATATGTCAATTTGTGTCACTTCTTGGTCTTAAAGATGAGGCTTTGTTTAAGAGTTGTCTGCTTAGTTGAAATACTGCATGCTGATTGTTTCCTAAAACTAAAATTTGGGCTCCTAAGAAAAGATTATAGAAAAGTTCCTATATCCTTTGATGGTCACTTTTAATTTTTGTTCTATCCTTTGGAAACCTAAATATCTACAAAGACTTGACACTTTCAGTAAATTTTTTTTTATTTCAATAGCTTTAGAGATACAAGTGGTTTTTGTTTACATGAGTGAATTGTATAGTGGTAAAGTCTGGGATTTTAGTGCATCTGTCAGCTGAGTAGTGTATATTGTACTCAGGAAGTAGTTTCATCCCTCATCCCTCTCCTACCCCTACCCACCTTCTGAGTCTTCAAAGTCCATTATGCCACTCTGTATGCCTTTGCATACCCATAGTTCACCTCACACTTAAAAGAACATGTGGTATTTGGTTTTCAATTCATGTTACTTCACTTAGAATAATGGCCTCCAGTTCTTTTCAAGTTGCTGCAAAAGACATTATTTTGCTCTTTTTTTATGGCTGAGTAGTATTCCATGGTATTTATGTACCACATTTTCTGTAACCACTCATAGGTTGATGGGCACTTAGATTGATTCCATATCTTTGCAATTGTGCATTGTGTTGCAATAGACATATGTGTCCAGGTGTCTTTTTTTTTTTTTAATAGAGTCATGTTTGAAATGAGGACCAGTGTCTTTTTCATATAGTGACTTCTCTTCCTTTGGATAGGTACCCACTCGGTAGTGGGATTGCTGGATCGAATGGTAGATCTACTTTTAGTTCTTTGAGAAATTTCTATACTGTTTTCTATTGAGGTTGTACTAACTTATATTCCTACCAGCAGTGTATAAGCATTCCTTTTTCATCACTTCCATGCCAACATCGATTGTTTTTCAACTTTTTAGTAATGGCCATTCTGGCTGGAAAAAGGTGGTGTCTCAATGTGTTTTTAATTTGCATTTCCCTTATGATTAATGATTTTGAGCATTTTTTCATGTGGTTGTTGGCCATTTGTATATCTTCTTTTGCAAAATGTCTGTTCATGTCCTTGCTCACTTTTTAATGGGCGTGTTTTTTTTCTTGCTGATTTGTTTGAGTTCCTTGTAGATTCTGAATATTAGTCCTTTGTCAGACACATAATTTGTGCATATTTTCTTTGTCAGATGCATAGTTTGTGAATATTGACAATCCGTAGGTTGTCAGTTTACTCAGATGATTATTTCTTTTGTTGTGTAGAAGCGTTTTAGTTTAATTAGGTCTCATTTATTTTTGTTGCATTTGCTTTTGGGGTCTCAGTCATAAATTCTTTGCCTAGGCCAACGTTCAGAAGAGTTTTTCCTAGGTTTTCTTCCACAGTTTTTATGGTTTCAGATCTTAGATTTAAAACTTTCATTTATCTTGAGTTAATTTTTGTATACAGTAAGAGATAGGGATCCAATTTCATTCTTCTACATGTGGCTATCCACTTTTTCCAGCACCATTTATTGAATATGGTGTCCTTTCTCCAGTTTGTGTTTTTGTATGCTTTGTCAAAGATCAGTTGATTGTTAGTATTTGGCTTTATTTCTTGGTTCTCTATTCTGTTCCATTGGCCTGTGTATTCTGTTCAATGGAACAGAAACAGAATACTTTATTCTGTTCCATTGGTCCATGTGCCTATTTTTACACCTGTTCCATGCTGTTTTGGTTACTATAGACTTGCATAATTTGAAGTTGGGTAATGTGATGCCTCCAGTTTTGTTCTTTTTGCTTAGGATTGCTTTGGCTATTTGGGTTCTTTTTTGGTTCCATATGAAGTTTAGGATTGTTTTTTCTAATTCTGTGAAAAATGATGTTAGTACTTTGAGAAGAATTGTGTTGAATTTGTAGATTGCTTTGGGCAGTATGGTCATTTTCACAGTATAGATTCTTCCAGTCCACGAGTATGGGATATATTTCCATTTGCTTATGTCATCTATGATTTTCCACAGTGTTTTGTAGTTCTCCATGTGGAGATCTTTCAACTCCTTGGTTAGGTATATTCCTACATTTTTTTTTTTTTTTTTTTTTTTTTTTTTGTAGTAGCAGTAGTTATTGTAAAAGGGATTGAGTTCCTGATTTGATTATCAGCGTGGTTTTTGTTGGTTTGTAGCAGTGCTACTAATTTGTGTACGTTGATTTTGTAACCTAAACCTTACTGAATTTATTTATTAGATCTAAGAGCCTTTTGGAGGCAAAACTTGGCATTTTTAGTACAGGGTATATCAACATTATGTATTTGATGTTTCCTACATTTTATATTAATGGCCGAACTTTTGTATTTGTCTTGAATATTTACAAAATGATTGCTCAGAATTTTAGGATTAAACAGGTTGTTAAGCTCTTCATTTAAATTATGATATTAAGATTTGTTTTAAGGATTGTTAAAAAAAAAAAGATACTTAAAAGAACCTGAAATTGGCCAGGCATGGTGGTGCGTGCCTGTAATCCCAGCACCTTGAGAGGCCGAGTTGGGTGGATCATTTGAGGCCAGGAGTTAGAGACCAGTCTAGCCACCATATCAAAACACTGTCTCTACTAAAAATACAAAAATTAGCCGGGCGTGGTGGCACTTGATTGTAATCTCAGCTACTGGGAGGCTGAGGCACGAGAATTGCTTGAACCCAGGAGGTGGAGGTTGCAGTGAGCCGATATCGTGCCACTGCACTCCAGTCTGGGCAACAGAAAGAGACTCTGTCTCAAAAAAAAAAAAAAAAAAGAAAAAAAGAACTTACAATTTCTATTCAAAAGATGTCTGAGGAGATATAGCTAGTAATAATTTCTTAAATAAAATGGGTACATCTGGTTTCAAAAGTATGAGTGAGTTGCTTAGTTTATTTTGTAGTTTAAGAAAAGTGATTTTATATAATTTGGTGTGTCTGTCCTATATTAATATAACACCTGTATTGATTACTGTTTACATTATTTTCTTCTTAATGATTGATCTTAAATTAAAAATTTTTCATTTGTAGATCCCATGGACAAAACTGAAAACACATCCCATCTGTTTGGTGAGTTCTGAAACCACTTTAGAAATAAACATTTATATATATACATTATCTAGCTACTCTGTTCATAGTAATCTTTTGTTTCATGGAAATATAGTCTGGATTTTTCACCAGTTAGGTTTCATTTTATTTTGATAGGACTCAGGTTTTTCATCCTTTAAATGAGAAGCTTTAACCTTAAAGTAGGAGCATCTTTAAAGTTTTTCAGGTCTAGAATACTGTGTTCTAAATTGGTATAGTATTTTATTGCATCATTTAACTCTTTGTTGATGTACTATGGGATTATTCTTTCAGTAACATTTGATCCAGACTGTCTTTGTTTCTCCTTTTAGTGATCTAGTAAATTATGAAATATGTTCTTTAATATACTTTGCTTTTTAAGGAAAGTTGAAGAAAATTGATCATTTGTTCGTTCATTTAAAAAATACAATGATCAAGAACATGAATAAAACAAGACAGTTTCAGATAATAATAAATGCTATATATGAAATAGAGAATGAAGAATGACTGGAGTAGTGTTAGTGATGGCGATTAAGGACATTAGATCTTTCTTCAAGGAGAAAAATATTACCCTGAGAAAGAACCTTTTCCATTATGGGAGTGTTTATTTTTTTTCACATTTCCTGCTTATTTCATATTTCCCATAGTTTTGTGTCTCATAGCTCAGATCTTAGATTGTGATAAGCTTTTTGGGGTAGTTCAGTCCTACTTATTAATATATAATTTCATCAATGAATATATCTGGGAGTAGAGATTCTGTTTTCATGAAATCTGATGATTTTAGTAGTTAATGGCTATGTCTTAATTCCCCACCCCCCAACACCTGTAATACACATAGCTTTTCCACCAGATAATAAATGCCTTGAGAACTGATTGAGTGCTTTGTGTTCTTTTTTGGCATTTGTCTTTTTAGACCTGTAGAGAGGCACTTAAATGACTCTGCTCACTTTTTACTTTCTTCCTAAAGAAAAATGAAAGAGAAAATAATCTTAAATAATACTTTAATAATATACGTAGAATAAATAATCTAATTGTTTATATTTTAACGTTTTTATTAGTCCCTGGATAAAGTAATAATGGAAATGAGTACATGTGAAGAACCAAGAAGCCCTAATGGCCCATCACCAATTGCAACTGCTTCAGGACAAAGGTAAGCTACTTCCATTAATCTGCATGACTGCCAATAACAGGACATTAAAAAAAAAAAAAAAAAAAGCCTTAACCTCAAATGGCCTCTATTTCAGTCAGCTCTCCCATCAAACATTTTACAATTTTAGTTATATACATTGCAAAGTTGCAGATTTGACTTTTAACTTTCTTTATTCATCTTGCTTTCCTTGCTATTATTAAATAATAGTGATTAACTAATGGCAGAGCAGCAACAGAAAATGGAAGCAGAAGAATTTAGGCATTATATAAATCAGATAGCCTCTGATCAGTTTCTCTGCATATCATTTTCTGTGCATCAGTGGAACTTTTATGACTCTTAAGAGTTAAGTTGGGAGGCTGGGAGCGGTGGCTCATGCCTGTAATCCTAGCACTTTGGGAGGCCGAGGCGGGTGGATTCCCTGGACTCAGGTGTTTGAGACCAGCCTGGGCAAAACGGTGAAACCCTGTCTCTACTAAAATACAAAAAACTTTAGCTGGGCATGGCGCCATGCACCTTTAATCCCAGTTACTTGGGAGGCTGAGGCAGGAGAATTGCTTGAACCCGGGAGGCGGAGGTTATAGTGAGCCAAGATCGCGCCATTGCACTCCAGCCTTGGTGACAGAGCGAGACTCCGTCTCAAAAAAAAAAAAAAAAAGAGTTAAGTTGGGCTCGGTGTAGTGGCCCACGCCTGTAATACCAGCACTTTGGGAGGCTGAGGTGGGCGGATCACCTGAGGTCAGGAGTTTGCCACCAGCTTGACCAACATGGTGAAACCCCGTCTCTACCAAAAATACAAAAACTGGGTGCGGTGGTATACGCCTGTATTCCCAGCTACTGAGGAGGCCCAGGCAGGAGAATTGCTTGAACCCGGGAGGTCAAGGCTGCAGTGAGCTGAGCTCATGCCACTGCACTGCAGCCTGGGTGATGGAGAGAGACTCTGTCTCAAAAACAAAGAGTTAAGTTGATGCCTTAAATTACAGACCTTTTGGGTTACTCTAAAATTCATTAAGTTTAAAATGTTTTTGCTTTCCACAGGTTGTATTTTGATAGATGAAAATCAGATGCTAATACAGCAGAAGTATGGGGATCATTTCATAAAGTCTTTTTGAAAAGTTAGAAGTTATTAAATTTTTAAAAATATGTTGTCTGCTTTTTTGCACTCAGTGAAATTTAAATCTAGAACTATACATGATTTTTCTACAACAGGATTTCTGCATTATTTTTGCGTTCACATTAATTGTTGACATAGATTTTTAATGTGATTAATGCCTCCTCATATTGCGTAAAATAGCAGCTCTGAACATGTATAGTATTCTAGGTGTTATGTAAAACAATTGATAAAACTTTTCTTGAGGATGAATGCATTCGTGTGTGTACACAGACACACACTCACTTACTCCTGTTTTACAAAGGTTGAGCCACCTTTATGTTAGTGCATGCCATGAGAATACCTACAGTGCATGCCATGGGAATCTAATGGTGATTCGTTCCACTTCTAAGAGTTGACTAAAGGCCAGGTTTATCAGATGTGCAGTTTATATTTGGACTACAGATATTAGTGACTGGGAAAAGAGCTTTCATGTTAACTTCTTTGTAATGTAGCATCATCCTGCAACTTCAGATTTTACAGGTTAGATTATGATTTCAGTTTTCATAGAATAGTTGTTGGCCTTTAGGTTGGCTAGAGTCGGAAAGAACTAAAATGAATCATTTTGTCCTTGTGTGCTTAGTATAGTTGATAGTGTTCTTCCTAATTCTTGTTTTTATAGTATCATAAGCTTTATAATTTTGGCTTTCTAATCATGTGATGATTTAAACTATTTAAATCATCCTCATATTTTGACATATGGCAGTATGGTTAATCTATTTCAGCATTTTTTCAGACTTGCCTGATTGTAACAGTCATTTAGAGTGCTTATTAAATCTACAAAGTCTCTGAAGCTCCTTTTCTTGAATTTCTGATTCAGTAGGTCTGGAATGGATATCAATAAAATGAATACATTCATTGAGTGGTGTTCAGAGTAAAAAAAAAAAAAAATAGAATGTGAATATGTATTTTTGGGTCTCACTCTGTTGCCCAGGCTGGAATGCAGTGGCATGATCTTGGCTCACTGCAGCCTTGACCTCCCAGGCTCAATCGATCCTCCCACCTCAGCCTCCCAAGTAGTTGGGACTACAGGTGCAAGCCACCATACCTGGCTAGTTTTTTGTATTTTTTGTAGAGATGGTGGTCTCCATGTGTTGCCTAGGCTGATTTTAACTCCTGGGCTCAAGCAATCCTCCTCCCTTTGCCTCTCAAAGTGCTTGGATTATAGCTGTGAGCTACTGTGCCCAGCCAAAAAGTCTTTTACATTTTAAGAAGAGTATTAAAAAAATTTTTTTGCAGCCCTGAGAACCAGAAAAGGTTTAGAGAATGAGAAGAGCGTTTTTTTAAAAAATTATTTTTTTATTTTTATTTTTTGAGACAAGGTCTCACTCTGTTGCCCAGGCTGGAGTGCAGTGGTGCCATCTCAGCTCACTGCAACCTCCACCTCCCATACTGAAGCGATCCTCTCAGCTCAGCCTCCCGAGTAGCTGGGACTACAGGCATGCGCCACCATGCCCAGTTAACTTTTTTGTATTTTTAATAGAGACAGGATTTCTCCTTGTTGGTCAGGCTGGTCTGGAACTCCTGGGCTAAAGTGATCCACCTGCCTTGGCCTCCCACAGTGCTAGGATTATAGGTGACAGCCACTGTCACCATGCCTGGCTGAGAATAGCATTTTTTTTTTTTTAATAATTTATATGTAACTAGACTAGATTGTTGTGTCTGAGGTTTGTTTTCCTGTTTTTTTTTTTGAAATGTGATCTCTCTCTGTCACCCAGGCTGGACTGCAGTGGCATGATCACAGCTCACTGCAGCGTCAACCTCCTGGCCTCAAGTGATCCTCCCACCTCAGCTTCCCAAGTAGCTGGGACCACAGACATGCACCACCATGTCCAGCTAATTAATTAATTAATCAATTAGTTAATTAATTTTGAGACAAGGTCTCGCCCTGTTGCCCAGGCTAGAGTGCAGTGGTTTCATCTCAGCTCACTGCAACCTCTGCCTCCTGGGCTCAAGAGATCCTCCCACTGCAGCCTTGTGAGTATCTGGGACCACAGGCAAGTGTTACCATGCTCAGCTAATTTTTAAATTTTCTACGGATACGAGATCTGTCTGTGTTGTCCAGGCTGGTCTTGAACTCCTAGGTTCAAGTGGCCTCCCAAAGTGCTGGGATTACAGGCATGAGCTACCATGTGTGGCCTCTTAAAATATTTTGTGGAGACAGGGATCTTGCTATATTGCCCAGGCTAGTTTCAAACTCCAGGTTCAAGAGATCCTCCTGCCTTGGCCTCCCAAAGTGCTGAGATTACAGGCGTGAGCCACCAGGCCCAGCTTAGATTATTGTTTTAATAAAAAACATTTATTTTTTCAATATAAAAATGAATAAACTGGGCCTGGTGGCTCACGCCTGTAATCCCATCACTTTGGGAGGCCAAGGTGGGCAGATCATCTGAGGACAGGAGTTTGAGACCAGCCTGGCCAATATGGTGAAACCTGATCTCTACTAAAAATACAAAAAATTAGCCAGGTATGGTGGTGCATGCCTGTAATCCCAGCCACTCCGGAGGCTGAGGCAGAAGAATTGCTGGAACCCGGGAGGTAGAGGTTGCAGTGAGCTGAGATCATGCCACTGCACTCCAGCCTGGGCGACAGAGTTGAGACTCTTAGGGAAAAAAAAAATAATAAAATGGTGACGTGCAAATTATCTATGTATCTATGTATCTATGTATCTATGTGTCTGTCTGTCTATCTATCTATCTGTCTATATTTTTAGACAGAGTCTTGCTCTGTCACCCAGGCTGGAGTGCAGTGTTGCAATCTGAGCTAACCGCAACCTCCACCTCCTGGGTTCAGGTGATTCTCGTCCCTCAGCCTCCCAAGTAGCTGAAATTACAGGCATGTGCCACTGTGCCTGGCTAATTTTTTGTGTTTTTTTTTTTAGTAGAGATGGGGTTTCACTGTGTTGGCCAGGCTGGGCTTGAACTCCTGGCCTCAAGTGATCTGCCTGCCTCAGCCTCCCAAAGTGCTGGGAGTACAGGTATGAGCCACCATCCCCAACCAGAAATGTGCAAATATTAATAGAATTTTTAAAAATTAGTTTTGTCATTAGTGTATTTTGTTTTGCTTTGTTTTTCCAGTGAATACGGCTTTGCTGAAAAAGTAGTTGAGGGAATTTCTGTTTCTGTAAATTCTATAGTCATCAGAATTGGAGCAAAAGCCTTCAATGCATCATTTGAACTTTCTCAGCTTCGGATCTATAGTGTAAATGCACACTGGGAACATGGAGATTTGAGATTTACTCGTATTCAGGATCCACAGAGAGGAGAGGTAACATTTTTTTCTTTCTTTTTTAAATGTTTCATTTAGTGACAAGTAAAAGAGGACGATTAAAAAAATCACATCTCATGGTTGCCTTTTAACTTTGCTTTTCTCTGTATTACTTTTTTTGGGGAGGGTGCGGGGAGACAGGGTCTCACTCTGTTGCTCAGGCTGGAGTGCAGTGGCGCAATCACGGCTCACTGCAGCCTTGACCTCCCTGGGCTCAGGTGATCCTCCCACCTCAGCATCTTGAGTAGCTGGGACTAACAGCATGTACTACTGCGCCTGCCTAATTTTTGTATTTTTGGTAGAGACAGGGTTTTGCCATGTTGCCCAGGCTGGTCTCATACTCCTGGGCTCAAGCTATCCACCTGCCTTGTCCTCCCATAGTGCTCTGAGATTACAGGCCTGAACCATTGCACCCAGCTCTCTGTATTACTCTTAATCATTCATTTATAAAATGTGCACATTTTAATGTCTTTACTCTAGTAAATCTTTCCATTTAAAGCCCTATTTTAACTTCTCAGCTACTCAGAATTGAATTTTTAAATTCCCCAAACTAAAATATGTTGTTTGTTTCTTGGTAACGTGATTTCATGCATTTGAGCTTTACATTAACTGAATTACTTAGATTAAAAGTATTAACAGCTTTACATATGATGAATATGAATATGAAGAGGTGTAATTGAATTTGATGGAATAATGCAATTTACAAAAATAAAAACATGGTGAATATATCTAAAATGTCATGTGAAAATTAACTGAGAATATACATTTGCTTTGTTTTTAAAAATCTACATTTTTCTCATTCTGTTTTGCATGAGTAAGTGAAGTTAATCTCTGTGTTCTCCTTAGGTTTTGACTTTTAAAGAAATAAATTGGCAGATGATAAGAATAGAGGCAGATGCCACCCAAAGTTCACATCTTGAAATTATGTGTGCTCCTGTTCGATTAATAACCAACCAATCAAAAATCAGAGTCACACTTAAAAGAAGGGTGAGTCAACAAGATTACATTTTTGATTCATGTGTTAACTGTTGGATTTGACTTTTTGATTTGTGTGTTAACTATTAGTTAACTATAGGAAATTTTAAACAATGTCTTAGGTGAAATATTGGCATATTACCAGTGGCATATTAAAATAATGCAAAATAAAGGGAGGTATAGTTACTCAGATAATATTTATAGAAAACTGGTATAATGTTCTTCAGTCTTAGGTTTAATAGATTTTTCAAAGGTTTTTTGTTGTTCTTTTTATTTTTATCTTATTTTATTTTTTTTGAGATGAGATCTCACTATATTGCCCAGGCTTGATTACAGTGGCATGATCAAGGCTCACTGAAACCTTGACCTCCCAGGCTAAAGTGATTGTCCCACTTCAGCTTCTCAAGTAGCTGGGACAATAGGCACGCCCACTATGCCTGAATAATTTTTTAAGTTACTTGTAGAGATGAGGTCTTATTATATTGCTCAGACTGGTCTTGAGCTCCTGGAGTCATGTGATCCTCCTGCCTCTGCCTTATTTTTATTTTTATTTTTGGAGTTGGGGTCTTGCTCTGTTGCCCAGGCTGGAGTGCAGTGGGACAATCCTAGCTCACTGCAGCCTCGAACTCCTGGGCTCAAGGGATCCTCCTGCCTTAGCCTCCCAAGTAGCTGAGACTACAGGCATGCACCACCATGCCTAGCTTATTTTTATTTTTTTTTTGTAGAGACAGGGTCTCGCTTTGTTGTCCAGGCTGGTCATGAACTCCTGGCTTCAAGCAGTCCTTCTGTCTTGACCTCCCAAAGTGCTGGTATTATAGGTGTGAGCCACGATGCCTGGCCTAAACATTTTTATTTTTGGTAAATTGAATATATTTCTCAGTTGCCAAATACTTGTTGAACATTTACTGTCTTATAATTTCATTTCTTCTATTGAATCTTTGAATTAATACAAGTAATTATATAATTTATCAGCTATAAATGCAAAATTAAGTTATATAAGTGCTATATAACTTGTAAGGTACAAGGATTTGTCTGTCTTTTGTTACCACTGCATCTCTAGTACTAGGTGATATTCCTTTCATATTATAGGAACTCAGTAAATACTACTACTTTTTTTTTTTTTGAGACAGAGTTTCTCTCTGTCACCCAGGCTGGAGTGCAATGGCACTATCTCTGCTCACTGCAACCTCTGCCTCCTGGGCCAAGCAATTCTCCTGCCTCCACCTCCCAAGTAGCTGGGATTACACAGGTGTCCGCCACCACACCTGGCTAATTTTTGTATTTTTAGTAGCGACAGGGTTTCTACCATGTTGGCCAGGCTGGTCTTCACCTCCTGACCTCGGGTGATCCACCTGCCTTGGCCTCCCAGAGTGCTGGGATTGCAGGCATGAGCCACCGTGCCCGGCCAGTAAATACTTCTTGTGTGAAGGAAGAATCCATATTTCTATTCAAAAACGTTTTGAAAACATTTTTTAATACAAGCGTATTATAAGGTTTATATCTTGGCTTAATTTTATAAAACATTTTTTTTTCCTACAGTTAAAGGACTGCAATGTCATAGCAACAAAGTTAGTTCTAATATTGGATGACTTATTATGGGTTTTGACTGATTCCCAGTTGAAAGCTATGGTACAATATGCAAAGTCTCTTAGTGAAGCAATAGAAAAATCAACAGAACAAAGGAAGAGTATGGCTCCTGAACCTACACAGGTAAGCTATAAAGTTAACAGGAAAAATACTTACTTTACATGAAAATAGTTTAAAAATTAGAAGGAATTGTTGGTATTTTCTTTAAGAGACAGATTGTGAGGTTTTGAGTACAAGAATCTTCTTTATCTAGATATCTTCTATGTAATTTTATATAAGTAGTAGCTATCATATCTGTTAGTGTTTATTCTGTTTAGAGCTCTGTATTAGGCACTAAAGCTAATGATGACATAAAAGTATTCGATGTTTTAATACCTCTGTTTAGGAAGTTAAAAGAGTACAGTTTTAAAACTACTAAAGTAAAAGCAAATGAGGAAAAAACCTGGGTAATTATAGGCAAGAGAGGACGTGTGAGAGTTAACTGTGCAGAGAATCAAAGCCATAAGGAATTGCTGAAATTGAACACAAAACTTCTGTTGGAGTTGTCTGATGGCTGGGGCAAGAACAGGGACAAGCATAATGAGCTATTTATCACTTTCTTAAAAGTGATTATTAGTTTGTATGGAGCATTATTAGTTGGTATGGAGAGGAAAAGTTTTTCTGGTCTTTCCCAGTAGTAAGTTCTGAGTACCAGTACATCAAGGTCTTTATAGAAGAGACAGTGATAGTTATAATGGATAATATTTTAAATAATTTTATGCAAAGTATAAATGAATTTTTATATCTACCTCTAGTAAAAACGTAACTAAATATTATAAAATTATACACCTACGAAGCTATTTCCTTGGAAACAGTGTTATACATCTCAGATATATAGCTTGTTGGTGATCCAGCTTTGTACATGGGAATGGCATACATTTAGGCTTTATTTTTTGAAACAGTCTCCCTTTAGCCCAACCTGGAGTTCACTGGCACAATCTCAGCTCACTGCAACCTCCACCTCCCAGGTTCAAGCAATTTTTGTGCCTCAGCCCCCCGCGTAGCTGGGACTACAGGCAAGTGCCACCTCGCTGAGCTAATTTGTTTTGTAATTTTGTTAGAGATGGAGTTTCGCTGTGTTGGCCATGCTGGTCCCGAACTCCTGGCCTCAAGTGATCTGCCCGCCTTGGCCTCCCAAAATGCTGGGATTACAGGTGTGAGCCACCATGCCCGGCCTAGGCTTTCAATGAATATCACATTGGCATTATCTATTGCCTGCCTACTATTTCCTAAGGTGCAGGGGTAGGGGTAAACACTGATGTAAAAATGAATATCATCTGACCCTGGCCTGAAGGACCTCAGAGAATAATGGTGAGTCAAATATGAAACAAATCTTTATAAGTAGGGGACAGGGGCTCATGTCTATAATCCCAGTACTTTGGGAGGCTGAGGCAGGAGGTTTACTAGAGGCCAATAATTCAGGACCAGCCTGGGCAATATATTGAGTCCCATCTCTACAAAAAATTTAAAAATCACCCAAGTGTGGTGGTGGTGGCATATACCTGCAGTCCTTAGCTACTTGGGAGACTGAAGCATGAAGATTGTTTGAACCCAGGAGGTCAAGCCATTGCACCCCTGCACTTCAGCCTGCGTAACAGAGTGAGATCTGTTTCCAAAAGAAAAAAGGAAAACAAACAAATCCCCAAATCATTGTAGTTCAACATAAATGTTAGCATGAAGAAGTAAGGGAAAGGGTTCTGTGTAGGGACTACAGAAACACAGAGAGGTTTTAATTAATTGCTTGCAGGGTGTGGAAAGGTTTCACAAAGAGGTTAATAAAATTACGTCTTAGAAATGAGTAGCAGTTCACAGGCAGACATAGGGAAAAGGCATTTCAGAAGAGACAATAGAATCTGCAGAAATATAGTATTTTTAAAGATCATGATATTTTCTGGTAAAGATAAGAAATTTGGTGTTACTAGAGTAGCGTTTTTAGGAGTGAGGTTCAAATGCCTCACGATATATTACAATTTTCCAAGTTTTATATTTTAAAGAAATTGAGTTCCACACATTCCACCTTGATGTGTATTCTTTCTTAAACTTGATCTGCCAGAGAATATGGTTGCATTAAGATGTCAGGCTGGTTTTCCCTTTCCATAATGACTCTAATCCTACTTTATAAATGAAAGACATTATTACTCATCCTCAGTCTTACTAGGATGGATTTGAACAGGAAGGGGGTAAAAACTCCTCTGGGAAACAAGATAGAGTGGCAATTTGAAATATTGCTATTCATGTTGGAAATTGCAAGCCAGATGATTTTTAGTTATTTTCAACACATGTGAAGGAAGATCAAATAATTGTCAGCTATTAGAGATTATTAAAGTAATTTTTTTATAGTAGATCACTTTGTGAATCCTGGCAGGTAACTCGAAAGAATCGAGTCACATGGCTAAAACAAAACTGCTTTCCTTCCAATCTGTCTATTTATGTGAACAAGGTCTTCTAGAGCCTGTAGCCATAAAAACAAATAAACAGATATAGAATTGAAGGTAAACTCTGTATTATTCTACCAATAAATTATTCATCCATGAGGCATCTGCAGAATTCTCTGGGGGACCTGATTTTAAACGTTTGGCAAACAGACCACTGGGCCCTAACATAGAATAGTTTTCCTGGACTGGTAGCCCGAGTTGAAACAAAAGTTTGCAGTGACTGTATATGAAACATGTTGTATAATGTATTGAAGAATTTGGACATTTTCCTATGGGCATTTGGGAGCCAGTGGAAGTTTTTAAGTAAGTTGAGGATAAGGAAGAGAGAAAAGTTCAGAACTTTAGAATGACAGTTGGTAGTACCGTTAGCCAATAAGGGAAGGCAGAAGGAAGTAGATTTAAGGGAGGTGAGGGTAAGAAAAGTCATTTTGAAGCTGAAAAAGTATAAGGAAAGAAGTACAGGAGACTATTTTGCAATATTACCATCATAGACATAAATACTATTCTGTTAAGACTTGCAAGGAAGATTTTGGTAGCTTAGGTTGTGATTGGTAACAGAGATGGCAGTCGTAGTTAAAGACTAATAGATTGAAGGTTGATATTACTATATAGCTCTTATAATATGTGGATATGTTTATATAAAATGGAATATGGATTAGAAAACTAGATACATATATATTAGGAAACTAGTAACAAGGACAAAATTTTGTAATCTCACTATGCTAATAAAACCTGTGCTACCATTTTGAGGTATTTTCTTACAGGTTTTTGCCCCGGCCTATGTACTTTTTCTTAGTTGTAGTTAGTATTTTGAGGTATTTTCTTACAGGTTTTTGCCCCAGCATATGTACTTTTTCCTAGTTGTAGTTAGTGGGCATATGCAAGTTTCTTCCATGTCTTTAGTCTTTGTAGCTATTACGTTTTGTTGCTCCATAATATTTTATAGTGGATATACTTAACCATTACCACAGAATTGCTTTCTTGGGTAGTAGTTATCATGTCACTACTTCAGATATCACACAGAATGTCCTAATCTGATTGTTTCAGGTCCCAAGACAACGTGTCAGAAAGTGAATTAGTTAACAGTGTTTCTTTGCTCAACTTTACAACTAGGCAGTTGTTTTCTATTATAAGTATTTGCTTAGCTTCATTTTATTCTTCTCTAAAAGAGAAAGAAGACTATTTTGAAAATTAAGAGTTATTAACATTATTCATAGGGGCCAGGTGCAGTGTAATCCCAGTACTTTGGGAGGCTGAGGCAGGCGGATCTTTTGAGGTCAGAAGTTCAAGACCAGCCTGGCCAACATGGTGAAACCCCATCTGTACAAAAAATTAAAAAATTAGCCAGGCATGGTGGTGGGTGCCTGTAATCCCAGCCACTCAGGAGGCTGAGGCAGGGTAGTCTCTCAAACCTGGGAGGTGGAGGTTGTTGCAGTGAGCTGAGATTGCACCACTGCACCCTGTCCTGGGCGACAGAGCAAGACTCTGTCTAAAAAAAAAAAAAAAGATTTGGCCAGGCGAGGTGGCTCACGCCTGTAATCCCCGCACTTTGGGAGGCTGAGGCGGGTGGGTCACCTGAGGTCAGGAGATCAAGACCATCCTGGCTAACACGGTGAAACCCTGTCTCTACTAAAAACACAAAAAATTTAGCCGGGCGTGGTGGCGGGTGCCTATACTCCCAGCTACTCGGGAGGCTGAGGCAGAAGAATGGCATGAACCTGGGAGGCAGAGCTTGCAGTGAGCCGAGATCATGCCACTGCACTCCAGCCTGGGCAACAGAGCGAGACTCCATCTCAAAAAATAAAATAGAATAAAATACAAAATTAGGGGCCGGACGCTGTGGCTCACGCCTGAAATCCCAGTACTTTGGGAGGCCAAGGCGGGCAGATCCCAAGGTCAGGAGTTTGAGACCAGCCTGTCCAACGTGGTGAAACCCTGTCTCTACTAAAAAAATACAAAAATTAGCTGGGCGTGGTGGCGGGCGCTGTAGTCCCAGCTACTCTGGAGGCTGAGGCAGGAGAATCGCTTGAACTGGGAAGCAGAGGTTGCGGTGAACCGAGATCATGCCACTACACTCCAGCCTGGGTGACAGAGTGAGACTCTGTCTCAAAAAAAAAAAAAAAAAAAAAAAATTAGCCAGGCGTGATGGTGCACGCCTATAATCCCAGCTACTTGGGAGGAAAATCACTTGAACCCAGCAGGCGGACGTTGCAGTGAGCTGAGATCATGCCACTACACTCCAGCCTGGGTAACAGAGTGAGACTTTGCCTCAAAAAAAAAAAAAAAGGATTATTCATGAGGCAGAGAGCTTATAGTGGCCCATTTTTTTTCTTCCAGAAATAGCATCCCAAAACCTGACTTTACCATAGTATTAAGAAAAAGGTTTGTAGGTAGATAAATGTTTATATTTTTATTTTTATCAGTATTTATCTTGATAAGAGAGAAAACATAATGAAAGAAGTACCGGAGAGTATTTTAAATAGCACCATCATAGACATAAATACAGTCTTGTTATAGCTTTGAAAATGGGAAAAGCAGGAGAAAAAGTGTTTGATATCAGTTTAACAATTAATTAATAAAAAGTTTTCTGGAGTCTATAGTATTTAACGTTTTACAGCTATATTTCACTTTGTTTCTTTACTTACCTTGGGCTGCAATCATTTTCATGAAGAGATTCTCATTTACTAAGTATACTTTGCAGTTCTTTTACAGTATGATCATAGTTCTTCATAGATGTAATATGTGTAAATATATATACATGCAAAATACATATACTTTGATTTTCTTTAATTATCTTTAGTTAATAACTTGTTCTAAATTTGAACATTGTTAATTTTTAAAGTGGAAAATTTGGTCTTATAATTATTATAAAAATTCATCTACAGTTTTGTGGCTCATATGTCAGATAATCTTACATTATAGTTATGTATACAAAATAATTTTAGGCTATTAGAGGTTCATATTTATTTTTATATATCAACAGGGTTCTATACTATTTCTCTTCAGGGAGAAAAATATTTGAACTCACAACCTATTTATAAATCCTGTCTCCTTTCTGGCTTCTTTAGTTATTCAAGTTCAAAGGACATACCACATCTTTTAGGAGAGGCACCAGAGCACTTAGAGTACTAAATAATATCACAGGGGCTTCTACAAAGATGTGCTTTATTTCTATAGGATATCATATTAGTCCCTTTTCACGCTGCTGATAAAGACATACCCGAGACAGGGCAATCTACTTACAGTTCCATGTGGCTGGGGAAGCCTCGTAATCGTGGTGAAAGGCAAGGAGGATCAAGTCCCATTTTACATGGATGGCAGCAGTCAAAGAAACAATGAGGAAGCTGCAAAAGCAGAAACCCCTGATAAACCATCAGATCTCGTGAGACTTATTTACTACCACCAGAACAGTATGGGGGAAGCCACCCCCATGATTGAATTATCTCCCACCAGGTCTCTCCCACAACACGTGGGAATTGTGGGACTACCATTCAAGATGAGATTTGGGTGGGGACACAGGGCCAAACCATATCAGATATATAACAGTGTATACAGGGCCCACATTTGTTTTGTTTTTAATATATATAATATTCAAATAAACTGCCTTTAAGAGTTAACTACATTTTCTAAAACAAGGGCTATAAATATGTTAAATATAACTTCAGATATTTACTGAGATATATTGGGTTCATATTTGATTTGTGTATAGTTTTACAGTTTTTTTGTTTGTTTTTTTGTTTTTGTTTTTGTTTTTTTGAGATGGAGTCTCGCTCTGTTACCCAGGCTGGAGTGCAGTGGCACGGTCTCAGCTCACTGCAGCCTCTGTCTCCCGGGTTCAAGTGATTCTCCTGCCTCAGCCTCCCAAGTAGCTGGGATTACAGGCATGCGGCACCACGCCCAGCTAATTTTTTATATTTTTAGTAGAAATGGGGTTTCAGCATGTTAGCGAGGCTGGTCTTGAACTCCTGACCTCAGATGATTCGCCTGCCTCGGCCTCCCAAAGTGTTGTGATTACAGGCATGAGCCTAGTTTTACCGTTTTTAAATTTTAGTTTTATTCTTAGGTAATTCAGAAAATATTTTAGGGAAAATATATTATTGATGAAAAATAAGATGTACTATGGTTATTTTTCATGACTTTCGACTGAAAATACTTAGATTTTTGTGTGAAATTTCCAGTATTTAAATTGGCAGTGATAAGGCAGTTTCGAATCTTTTTAGAGCTCTACAGTAGTCGCATCTGCCCAGCAAGTGAAGACAACGCAAACTTCAAATGCTCCTGATGTAAATGATGCAATTGTGAAACTATTCAATGATTTTGATGTTAAGGAAACCTCCCATCATTTAGTGATTTCTCATCTAGATCTACACATATGTGATGACATTCATGCTAAAGAAAAAGGTAAAATAACTTGCTTATTTCAAACTATTTTGGTTTTTCTAGAATTGACTACAAAACTGGATTGTTTATTAAATCTGTTGTGTAGGATGTCCTGTAAGATAATTTGTCATAATTGTGTTCATATGAATATATAGATGAAAGGCACAACTGGAAGCATATATTGGTATGAAATTTTATTTTGCTTTAGCAGTACTTAAGCTTAATTATTTGTTAGCTATCAATGCTAACAATAAAATTAGCTTTAAAAAAATCAGACTGAATAGATGATCCTCTAGGAGGATGATGAAATATTAGACTCGCCTTTGAATTAACTTTTTGATAATGTTGAAATTGTCTCCAAATTAAATTTTAGTCCATACTTAATTCATAATTATTTGTAGATGTGTTTTCAGCATTGCAGTTTTTCTACCTATTTTGAATAGAAGCACAACTGTGCAACTATTTAACATATTTTATGGCCACCTCTCTTCCCATCCTTCCAAAATTTGATTAGGAAGCAAAATTCCAGTTAGGAATTTTCTTTTAGTTTTTGTCCCTGTTATTTTTCCTTATTTAGTAGATGTAGTTCTGTAATCTAGGCGCTGGGCGTTTTTGTTTCTCTGCTGGAGAGCATCCCTGGCCCAGAAGTGTTGGGGTTGAGTTCAGCAGGTAGGCCTACCTTAAGGACTATAATTCTCAAACTTTGGTGAGCATTAGAATCAGGCTGAAGACCTTTAAACAATAGAGTTATCTGATCTCTGTGCCTCAGATCTGAATCAGGATCTATATCTACAAAAATTTTTGCCATGTGTTTTTAAGCTGAGAAAGTGAATATTGAGACCCTGGATACTTAGCAGTAGAAGTTACCCTGCCTTCATTAGACAAGGCAGCCTAAAAGATTCCAGCCTAAAAGGTTGGAGGGGCAAAGGTGAGGAAGATTCGGGGTTTGTGGAGGGATTTGTTATCTTTTGTTCTGACTACCATTGTGTCATTTGACTTATAGTTGGCATCTTTTACTTTAGAGATTTGAAAGGAAAATCCAAAAAAGTTAGAACAAACCAAACTAAGAAAATGAGGTGGTCAAGATTAAGTAGTAAGAATGAGAATGGAGAAAGTGTTTTCTAAGGCCTTACATTCCTCACTATTCCCTGATAGAATAAATTGAATGATTTTATTTAGGAAGAAAACCTTTTCACCAAAATATCTCCTTAATAGTACAGGTCTGTAATCACTATTGTGAAATCCAAAAGGCTCTGAAATATTATAAGTTTGTGAAAAACTCATTTGGTGGCAAAACCTGACTTATGCCAATACTTTTTTTTATTCTTTGCCTGCTTCCTATAAATATTTATGTTTTGCTGCAGAATTGCTATTTTTATTAGTGCTGCCTCAGAACCTGCTGAGAGTGTTGCATGGTATATCCTGTATATACCGTATCATATTACTGTCGTGAAATCTAAACATTTCTGAATTCTGAAACATTTGGCTTTCCAAAGGTTTTACGTAAGGGATTGTAGACCTGTGCTGAAAATTCTACTAGTTGAGATAAATTGGATTTTACAAATTAATATAGGGAGTGTATACATAGCTATGTCTCAGTTAGTATTTTTCTTTCTTCTGATTGATTTGCCCATTTTGTTTTAAAATTTGATTTTTATGTTCACGTTATACCAATTTGTAATCTACTTTTGATTTTACTATAGCTGTGTGACTTTGGACAACTTACCTAACCTAACAGACTTTTAATAATTTCCCTTTTTTTTTTTTTTTTTTTTTTGAGATGGAGTCTCACTCTGTTGCCCAGGCTGGAGTGCAGTGGCTCAAACTCGGCTCACTGCAGCCTCTGCCTCCCAGGTTCAAGCGATTCTCCTGCCTCAGCCTCCCAAGTAGCTGGGACTACAGGGGCGTGCCACCATGCCCAGCTAATCTTTGTATTTTTAGTAGAGACGGAGTTTCACTATGTTGGCCAGGCTGGTCTCGAACTCCTGACCTCGTGATCCACCCGCCTCGGCCTCCCAAAGTGCTGGGATGACAGGCGTGAGCCACCGCGCCCAGCCTTAATTTCCTTTTCAGTAAGAGGTAGGATGATATGGTGTAGTGTTCAAGATTTCCTGGGTTCAAATCCAAGCTTTGCACTTAACTAGCTGTATGTCCTTGGCCTCTTTGTGCCTCAGTTTCCTTATCTTGAAGATGGGGATAATAATGATTGTACCTATCAAATGCGGTTGTTATGAAAACCAAATGAGTAAGTTTACCTAAAGTATTTAAAATAATGCCTGACATATGGGGAGGCCTTGTCAATATAAAAGTTGTGCTAGTATCATCTGTGAACTCTACCAGGGCAGGGATTCTGCTATTCTTATATTCTTACCTTTTATCCTGGTGCCTTACAAATGAGGGGGGCTCAGTAAATACTCATTGGATTGAATTATATTTCCTAAAATCCTTAATGTGCCGTCATAAAAGAGAGACAGTTATTACTATTTGGACTCCAAGTATGCTAAAATTTTTCTGTGGTAAATTAAATCTTTCTGATAATTGACTTAATATTTCCCCCCCCCCCTTTTTTTTTCCCAGAGTCAAACAGACGTATTACTGGAGGGGCAATGCAACTCTCTTTTACACAGCTAACTATAGATTATTATCCTTATCATAAAGCAGGTGTGTATAACAGCATCTTTAAAAGATATAAATGTTGTTTTCAAATTATATAGCTAATTTATTTAGTTTAGTTTTATCTTGCTTTTATTTGTTAACAAGAAATGAGATGAAGAGATTGGTATTTTTCTCCTGGCAGTATTTCATTAAGAAAGTAGAATTGCCATGGAATATAGTCATACAGTGTATATTGACATTTATATAGATTTTTAGAAATCATAATTTTTAGAAATTGACAGTTTTCCAAATAACCAATTTAAAACTTAAAAAAAAATCAGGGTACAGAGGACATGTGTTTGTGCTGTTTTGTTAGTTGTGACCAAAACAAGTTATTAATGTTTTAAATTTTTAAATGATTTATATATTTAAAAATTAGAAAAGAGTATGAAGCTAGGAATGAAAAGAGTATGAAGCTAAGAATAAGAGTATGTTTAGCTAAATTATAGGATTCCAGATTTCATAGGCTCTTAACAATCTGGTATTGGTAGATTCTTTCTCCCAAATAATGAAAAGAAAAAAAAAGTATGATTATTGTGACCAAATTAATTTGACTTTATACCGTTTTTGCCTTCTGTTAGTATTTAGCATTCACACAAGTGAGAAAAACCAAACTAGAGATCATAGAGTTTTCCAGGACATTTAAAAAATGGTAAAGTTTTTCTGTTCACACATTTTTGTTTACACGTTTTTTAACCAATGTTTGTCATTTCTATGTTGGTACCTGATTAAATTTAAAAGTTGTATGATTTTTTTTTCATTTTAAATTTTCATTGCCAACATTCAATATAATAATTCTCTTTTGAAGGATTTTGTCTTATATACTATCGTCCTGACTCATAAATTAACTTACAAATGCATAAAATTTTTAACTAGATATTTATTTTTGAAGAGGTGTGAAACATTCATAGAGTAAATTTTCTTTTTTTTTTTTGATCCAAGGCCTCACGAGTGCAGTGGTGTGATCACTGCTCACTACAGCCTCGACCTTCTGCCTCAGCCTCCCAAAGTGCTGGGATTGATTACAGATGTGAGCCACTGCGCCTGGCCTGATTTTATTGTCTTAACCCTTTTATGTGCATTTTTCTTAGTTGCTACAGAGAAGCCTAATGATTCTGATTATATATTTTTCTTCCAAAAACTAACTATGGCTGAGTACATCTTGAGAAGTTTTATTGGTTTCTTAAATGTTTTAATCATCATCATCTTATCATTTTTGTGGTTTAGGTTTTTGTTAGTTAACTTGATAACACATCTTTGAAGAAAGGATTCTATTTATTTGATAATATTTTCTGGGATTCAGTTTAATGCAGGTTTACCAGGTAATTGAGCATCCAGTGAAGGGTGACGAGTCATATGGCTTTAAATTGAATCTTAGTGATTTTCTACTAAGAATGGGTACTAGATAGAAACTCCTCCAGATGATTTGCTTTTGACATTCTTTCCCTCTGTTTCAAATGTTTTACTCATATTTCGAAATTACATGTAGGTGAAGCCTGTAAATTTTTCAGATATCAAAGTCTTTCTTGAATAAACGACTAAATCTCATTGGAAGCATTACTATAATATAATAAATGAAAGTTGTACATTTTTCAATGAAATACCTGTTGTTCATTTTACAGGAGATAGTTGTAATCATTGGATGTATTTTAGTGATGCAACCAAAACAAAAAATGGATGGGCCAATGAGTTATTGCATGAATTTGAGTGCAACGTTGAAATGCTTAAACAGGCTGTGAAGGATCATAATGTAGGTTCACCTCCTAAATCCCCAACACATGCCTCTCCCCAGCACACACAAACAGGTATTTTACCTATAATAGCATTCCCCTAATATTAAGAGTGTTTGCACTCTGTGTGTGTGTGTGTGTGTGTGTGTGTGTGTGTGTGTGTGTGTGTGTGATCATAGTATTTCCTGTAAATGAGTATTTTTTTTTCTTCTTTTTAATGTAGAGATGGGGGTCTTGCTATGTTGCCTAGGGTAGTCTCAAACTCCTGGCCTCAAGCGGTCCTCCCACCTTGGCCCTCCGCAAAGTGCTGGGATTACAAGTGTCAGCTACCATGCCCAGCCAAGTATTTTTTTTTTTTCTTTGAGACAGGGTCTCACTCTGTCTCCCAGGCTGAAGTGCAGTGGTGTGATCTCGGCTCACTGCAACCTCTGCTTCCCGGGTTCAAGCGATTCTCCTGCCTCAGCCTCCTGAGTATCTGGGATTACAGGCACATGCCACCATACCCAGCTAATTTTTGGAGTTTTAGTAGAACCAGGGTTTCACTGTGTTGGCCAGGGTGGTCTCAAACTCTGGACCTCAAGTGATCTGCCCACCTCAGCCTCCCAAAGTGCTGGGATTACAGGCGTGAGCCACCACGCCCGGCCTAAGCCAAGTATTTTTAATTAATGTCTAAAACCCCTGTATCCTTTGCTCAGACCAACATAGGCTTGTGGACCAAAGCACTTTTAAAATTAATACAACCAATAATAGTCACACCCAGGAAGAATTTTTCTAGAAGGTTTCTTTTTTTTTTAAGTCAACACATAATAATTGTACGTATTTATGAGGTACAGTGTGATACTACTACTTTTTTTTTTTTTGCTGGCCCAGTAAGCATTGAAATGTGATATTTTGATACATGTATACAAACGTATAACACTAAAAGCAGAGTAATTAGCATATTCGTCACCTCAGACATTTATTAGTTAAGTTGGGAGCATTCAAAATCTGCTCTTACTAGCTATTTGAAAAAATAAATTATTAATTATAGTCACCCTATAAATGCTAGAATTTACTTCTCCTATCTAGCTATACCTTTGTATTCACTAATCACCCATTGTCTGCCCCTCCCCTTCCCTCCCCCATACCCTTCACTTTCTACTTCTATGTAAATATGTCATTTTTAACAAGAGTCCCATTCCAGAGTTTTTGTAGAAGACTAACTTAAATGTGACATGTGTGATTCTTCTTAAAAGAATAATCATCACAATAACTTACATCCTGTATTACTTTATAATTTATAAAGTATGTCCACAAATATTATCTTGTTTGAGAAGTTAGTATTCACATATATTTCTGGTACCTGCCTTAATAATAAAAGAGTGACTGTTAAAAATAATTTTGCAATGAATTGAAAGGAGTTTTTGTTTCCAACAGAGAAGGACTACCCTCTGAAAGGGACATGCAGAACACCTTCAGTATTATCTCAACAATCAAAAGCTAAGCTAATGTCTAGTTCTGTTGTGGTTAGACTTGCAGATTTCAATATATACCAGGTATGTTTTCTTTTCCAATTAAGTTTTCTCATAAACACTTTAGTATCTCATCTAAGCAACTTAAATAACAAATGCTACCATTTTATTTAAAAAATCTTTACAAGGTTTATGAAATGGCCATATTAGATGGCATAGAAAATATCAGTTTATTAATTTTTGATTATATGGTTACTCAGTTAACCAAACTAACTTTATAGGCACAGTCCTTAAGTTTGCCTAAATGCTTCTGACACAAAACAGCATGTTCTCATTACAAAAACAGATGCATAGACCAATGGAACAGATTAGGGAACCTAGAAATAAAGCTGCACACCTACAACCATGTGATCTTCGACAAAGTCGACAATAACAAGCAGTGGGGAAATGCTTTCCTATTTAATAATGTTGCTGGGATAACTGGTTGGTCATATGCAGAAGATTGAAATTAGACCCTGTTGTTTCACCACACACAAAAATTAACTCAAGATGAAATGAAAGACTTAAATGTAAAGGCTGACACTATAGAAACCCTGGAAGACAACCAAGGAAATAGAATTCTAGAGATTGGCCTCGGCCAAGATCTCATGAGGAAGACTCCAAAAGTAATTGCAACAAAAACAAAAATAGGCAAGTGAAACCTCATTAAAGAGCTTCTATACAGCAAAATAAACTGTCAACAGACATCCTACAGAATGGGAGAAAATATTCACAAATTATTTATCTGACAAAGGTCTTAATATCCAGAACCTATAAGGAAATTGAATCGACAAGCAAAAACCAAACACCATTAAAAAGTGGGCAAAGGACATGAACACACACTTCTCAAAAGAAGACATATGTGCAGCCAACAAGCATATGAAACAGTGCTCAACATCACTAATCAACTGAGAAATACAAATCAAAACCACAGTGAAATACCATCTCACCCCACTCAGAATGGCTGTTATTAAAACACAAAAAAATAGATGTTGGTGAGGTTGTGGAGAAAAGGGAATGCTTATACACTGTTGGTGGGAATGTAAAATAGTTCAACCACTGTGGAAAGCAGTTTGGAGTTTTCTCAAAGAATTTAAAAAAGAACTACCAATTGACCCAGCAATCCCATTACTGGGTATATACCCATAGGAATATAAATTTTTCTACCAAAGATAACGTGCACTTGTATGTTCATGGCAGCACTATTCACAATAACAAAGTCATGGAATCAACCTAGATGCCCATCAGTGCAGTGGATAAAGAAACTGTGGTACATATACACCGCAGAGTACTATGTAGCCATGAAAAGAATGCAGTCATGTTCTTTGTAGCAACATGGATGCAGCTGGAGGCCATTATCCCAAGTGAATTAATGCAGGAAAAGAAAACCAAATATTGCATATTCTCACTTATAAGTGGGAGCTACACATTGAGTGCACATGGACACAAAGAGGGAAACAGAAGACATGGGGTCTTACTTGAGGGTGGAGGGTTGGGGAAGGGTGAGGATTGAAAAACTACTTAACGGGTACTATGCCCGCTACTTGGGTTGTGAAATTATTTATACACCAAACCCCAGTGACACGCAGTTTACCAGTATAACAAACCTGCACATGTACCCCCTGAACTAAAGCAAAAGTTGGAAGAACAAAAATAAAGACTTCAGACACCAACTACAACTTTGGGAGTTTCCAAAAACTACCCTCTGGTTCAAAATTCACTAGAAAGACTCACAGAACCACTGAAATATATTAAAGTCACATCCATTGTAGTCACATTATACAAATTACAACCAGCCATAGGAAGAGATGCATAAGGCAGAGTCTTTTTTTCCTCCTCTGTATTAGTCCATTTTCATGCTTCTGATAAAGACATACCCGAGACTGGGCAATTTACAAAAGAAAGAGGTTTACTAGACATACAGTTCCACATGGCTGGGGAAGCCTCACAATCATGGCGGAAGGCAAGGAGGAGCAAATCACATCTTATGTGGATGGCAGCAGGCAAAGAGAGAGCTTGTGCAGGGAAACTCCCATTTTTAAAACCATCAGATCTCATGAGACTCATTCACTACCACAAGAACAGCACAGGAAAGACCCACCCCCATAATTCAATCACCTTCAATCATAATTCAGTCACCTTCCACCAGCTTCCTCCTACAACATGTGGGAATTGTGAGAGCTACAATTCAAGGTGAAATTTGGGTGGGGACACAGCCAAACCATATCATTCTGCCCTGGCCCCTCCCAAATCTTATGTCCTCAGATTTCTAAACCAATCATGCATTCCTAACTGTCCCCCAAAGTTTTAACTCATTTCACCATTAACTCAGAAGTCCACAGTCCAATGTCCTGTCTGAGACAAGACAAGTCCCTTCTGCCTATGAGCCTATAAAATCAAAAGCAATTCAGTTATTTCCTAGATACAGTGGGGGTACAAGGCATTGGGTAAATACAGCTATTCCAAATGGGAGAAGTTGGCCAAAACAAAGGGGCTACAGGCCCCATGCAAATCCGAAATCCAGCAGGACAGTCAAATCTTAAAAGTTCCAAAATGATTTCCTTTGACTCCATGTTTCACATACATGTCACGCTGATGTTAAGAGGTGGGTTTCCAGGAGGCGGAGCTTACAGTGAGCTGAGATCGCGCCACTGTGCTCCAGCCTGGGCAACAGAGCAAGACTCTGTCTCAAAACAAAAAAAAAAAAAAAAGAGATGGGTTCCATGGTCTTGGGCAGCTCTGCCCCTGTGGCTTTGCAGGATACAGCCTTCCTCTTGGCTGCTTTCATGGACTGGTATTGAGTGTCTGCTGGCACCTTTTCCAGGCACATGGTGCAAGGTGTCAGTGGATCTACCCTTCTGGAGTCAGGAGGACGGTGGCCTTCTTCTCACAGCTCCACTAGGTGGTACCCCAGTAGGGACTTTGTGTGGGGGCTTTGACCCCACATTTCCCTTCCACACTGCCCTAGCAGAGGTTCTCCATGAGGGCCCCACCCCTGCTGCAAAATTCTGCCTGGGCATCCAGGCATTTCCATACATCCACTGAAATCTAGGCGGAGGCTCCCAATCCCCAGTTCTTGACTTCTGTGCACCAGCAGGCTCAGCACCATGTGGAAGCTGCCAGGGTTGGGGCTTGCACCTTCTGAAGCTATGGCCCAAGCTCTGTGTTGGCCCCTTTCATCCATGGCTGGAGCAGCTGGGATGCAGGGTACCAAATCCCTAGGCTGCACATAGCACAGGGAGCCTGGGCCTGGCCCATGAAACCACTTTTTCCTTCTAGGCCTCTGGGCCTATAATGGGAGGGGCTGCCGTGAAGACCTCTGACATTCCCTGGGAGATATTTTCCCCCATTGTCTTGGGGATTAACATTAGGCTTCTCTTTACTTACGCAAATTTCTGTAGCTGGCTTGAATTCTTCCTCAGAAAATGGGGTTTTCTTTTCTATCGCATTGTCAGGCTGCAAATTTTTTGAACTTTTATACTCTCCTTGCCTTATAAAATGAAATGCCTTTAAGAACACCCAAGTCACCCTTGAATGCATTGCTGCTTAGAAATTTCTTCCACAAGATAACCTAAATCATCTCTCAAGTTCAGAGTTCCACAGATCTCTAGGGCAGGGGCAAAATGCTGCCCGTCTGCTAAAACATAACAAGAGTCACCTTTCTTCCAGTTCCCAACAAGTTCCTCATCTCCATCTGAGACCACCTCAGCCCGGACCTTACTGTTCATATCACTTTCAGCATTTTTGTCAAAGCCATTCAACAAGTCTCAGGAAATTCCAAACTTTCCCAAATTTTCCTGTCATCTTCTGACCCCTCCAAACTGTTCCAACCTCTGCCTGTTACCCAGTTCCAAAGTCACTTCCACATTCAGGTATCTTTTCAGCAGTGCCCCACTCTACTAGTACCAATTTACTGTATTAGTCGGTTTTCACACTGCTGATAAAGACATACCCAAGACTGGGCAATTTATACAGGAAAAAAGTTTAATAGACGTACAGTTCCACATGACTGGGGAAGTCACAACCATGGCAGCAGAAAGCAAGGAGGAGCAAGTCATGTCTTACATGGATGGTGGCAGGCAAAGAGAGAGCTTGTGCAGGGAAACTCCTATTTTTAAAACCATCAGATCTTGTGAGACTCATTCACTACCACAAGAACAGTGCAGGAAAGACTTGCCCCCATAATTCAATCACCTCCCACCAGGTTCCTCACACAACACGTGGGAACTGTCAGAGTTACAATTCAAGATGAGATTTTGGTGGGGACACAGCCAAACCATATCACCCCCACAGTACACTGATGTAATAATAATAAAACAGCGTCTTGGAGCACTTGAAATGTGAAACTTTTCCTCAGGACTTATTAGCTTTCTAAGGATGTGGAACCCTATATAGATGTGTAAATATATGGATGGATGGATATTTAACAATATGCATGAAGTATTGGTCATGAGGTTTTACTCAATCTCTAGGTGAATTGGTAATCAGATTACCCAAAGCCCCCACCCTCTTAACGCAACTAGGCTATCAAGTGTGGCCAGCTCCACCCTGCGTCGTTTTGCTATCATAAACTATCAGCTGTGGTGTCAGGGGCTGTGTTAGGCTGTTCTTGTGTTGTTGTAAAGAAGTACCTGAGACTGGATAATTTATAAAGAAAAGAAGTTTAATTGGCTTTTGGTTCTGCAGGCTATATTGGAAGCATGATGTGGGCATCTGCTCAGCTTCTGGGGAGGAGGCCTCAGGGAACTTTTACACGTGGTGGAAGGTAAAGCAGGAGCAGGCACGTCACATGGCAAAAGCAGGAGCAAGACAGAGAGTGGCGCAGGGAGGTGCCACATACTTTTAATCAACCAGACTTTATGAGAACTCACTGTTGTGAGCACATCACCAAGCCATGAGGTATCTGCCCCCATGACTCAAACACCTCCCATCAGGCTCCACCTCCAATACTGGGGATTACAATTGAACATGAGATTTAGAGGGGACAATATCCAAACTATATCAGGGGCCAACCATAAATAGGAAATTCCAATTCCTAGTTGCTTCCCAGGAGCAGGGTCAGAGGGAGACCAATTTCCTTATTACACAGTAGTCTCTGTGGAAGGATCTAAAATGCCTTTTTTGCTTTACGGAACTACAGTATACTATATATACTGTATTGGCTATACTGTGAATATAATTCTATAGCTAAGAACTCTGTCCTATTTATACTAACAATCTTACTCAGTTTATAATCACCTAACGTGGTCTAATTGCAATGTTTGAGACCAACACGATAATATATGATCTATTCTTAAAAAATAAAAGATTTCTAGATTTATCATTTATAAATTGTTCTGGTTTATTTTGATAAGTCTGTGGCTTTGAGACTTAGTTTTATGTGAAAAGTTTTTATTTAACTCAGTGATTCCCCTCTGGGACCAATTTTGCCCCCCAGGGGACATTTGGCAATATCTGAAGATAGTTTTGGTTGTCACAACTGGACAGGGATGCTGCTGACCTCTAGTGAGTAAAGACCAGTGATGCCGCCTGTTAAATCCTACAATGTGCTGGTCAGTTCCCCACAATGAAGAATTATCTAGCTTAAAACGTCAGAAGTGCCAATGTTTAGAAACTGATTTAACAGTTATTTTCTCATTATGCAGTTACTACTTACTTTACATTCGATATACAGTCATGTGTTGCTTAACATCATTAACTGTACTTAGATGGTATGTAGCCTACTTAAACTCCTAGGCTATATGTATGGTATATCCTATTCCTCCTAGGCTTTAATCTTGTATATCATGTTACTGTATTGAATACCGTAGCAGTTATAACACAATGGTATTTGTGTATTTAAACCTTACCAAACATAGAAAATATACAGTAAAAATACAGTAAATACAGTATAAAAGCTGTGTTATAATCTTATGGGATCCACATCTTATAAGTGGCCTGTCATTGGCAGAAATGTCATTATATGGTGCATGACCATATGCTCCAGCTTTTTAAAAGACTTTAAATTTTAGGATTTAAATAAATTTATGTGGAAATGAGAAAGAGGAATCACTTATAATCCCACATGGTTGTGAGTGAAATACAGTAAGAAACCCCACATATATATACGCAACCACACCAAACACAAAACAAAATAAACAAAAGTAAGTAGAAGAACATAAGATAGTATGTTTGTCCCAATTCGAATAGGTTTTTAACTATTAGAGGAAAAAAGAATAAGCCGTTATTTGTTAAAATAAGTTGACATTTTGAATTGAAAAGAATTTGTTTCCATATATGCAGAGAAAAGCTTTTTAATTAGATACTGTAAGGAACTGACTTGAATTTATAAAGACTATACAAATTAAAATGATTGATTAAGCAATTTGGCTGGGCACGTTGGCTCACGCCTGTAATCCCAGCCATTTGGGAAGCCAAAGTGGGTGGATCACTTGAGGTCAGGAGTTAGAGACCAGCCTGGCCAACATAGCAAAACCCCCTCCCTAGTAAAAATACAAAAATTAGCTGGGAGTGATGGTGCATGCCTATAGTCCCAGCTACTTGGGAGGCTGAGGCACGAGAATCGCTTCAGTCCAGGAGGCAGAGGTTGTTGTGGGCCGAGATTGTGCCACTGCACTCCAGCCTGGATGACAGAGTGAGACTCTTATCTCAAAAAAAAAAAAAAAAAAAAAAGATTGCTGAGGCAGTTTATATAAGAGGAAACGTAAGTAAACCATTGAAAAATTATTCTACTTCATATGAGACATATACACGTCTATTGAATGATGAATGGAAAAAAAAACATCTCTGGGTATACTAAACTAAAACAAATAAATGAAACTGATAAAACTTTATTGGTTGAACTTTGTGAATATTAATATATACATTTTTGATGACATTAGCTGGTTTTGGGGGGTGAAAAAAATGTAACCAGAACCTTAAAACTAATAGTTTTTTTTTTTTTAATTTCAACTTTTATTGTAAACTCAGGGTACATGTGCAGGTTTGTTACATTTTTATATTGCATGATGCTGAGGTTCAGGGTGTGATTATCCCACCATCCAGGTGGTCAGCATAGTACCCAACAGGTAGGTTTTCAGCCCTTATTCCCCTTCCTCCCATCCTCCTTTTGGGGTCTCCAGTGTCTGTTGTTCCCTTTTTTGTCTCCATGCGTACCCAACATTTAGCTCCCACTTGTAAGTCAGAACATGCAGTACTGCAGCCTCACCAGCATCTGTATTTTGACTTTTTAATAATAGCCATTCTAACTAATGTATCTGAGATGGTATCTCACTGTGGTTTCGATTTACATTTCTCTGATGATTAATGATGATTAGTGTATTGAGCATTGTTTCATATGCTTGTTGGCTGCACATATGTCTTCTTTTGAGAAGTGTGTGTTCATGTCCTTTGCCCACTTTTTAATGGTGTTTGGTTTTTGCTTGTTGACTTTTGTTCAAGTTCCTTATAGATTCTGGATATTAGACCTTTGTCAGATGAATAATTTGTGAGTATTTTCTCCCATTGTGTAGGATGTCTGTTGACTCTGTTGATAGTTTATTTTGCTGTATAGAAGCTCTCCAATGAGGTCTCACTTGTCTATTTTTGTTTTTGTTGTGATTGCCGTTGAGGTCTTAGCCATAAATTCTTTGCTAAAGCCTATGTCCAGAATGGTATTTCCTAGCTTTTCTTCTAGGACTTTTATAGTTTGACTTCTTATATTTAAATATTTGTTCCATCTTGAGTTAATTTTTGTATATAGTAGAAGGTGTAGCCGGGCGTGGTGGCTCACACTTGTAATCCCAGCATTTTGAGAGGCCGAGGTGGGCGGATCACGAGGTCAGGAGTTCGAGACCAGCCTGGCCAACATAGTGAAACCCCATCTCTACTAAAAATACAAAACTTAGCTGGGCGTGGTGGTGCGCGCCTGTAATCCCAGCTACTCAGGAGGCTGAGGCAGGAGAATTGCTTGAACCCGGGAGGCAGAGGTTGCAGTGAGCTGAGATCATGCCATTGCACTCCAGCCTGGGTGACAGAGCTAGACTCCGTCTCAAAAAAAAAAAAAAGGAAGGTGTAGGGGTCCAGTTTCATTCTTCTAAATATGACTAGCCAGTCATCCAGGCACCATTCATTGAATAGGGTGTCCTTTCCCCATTGCTTGTGATTGTTGAATTTGTCAAAGATCAGATAGTTATAGGTGTGCGATTTTATTTCTGGGTTCTCTATTCTGTTCCATTGATCTATGTCTCTGTTTTTGTATCAGTACCATGCCATTTTGGTTCCTTATAGTATAGTTATGTAATGTCTCCAGCTTTGTTCTTTTTTCTTAGAGTTGCTTTGGCTATTCAGGCTTTTGGGTTTCATATGAATTTTTAAATATTTTAAAATTTTTTTCTAATTTTGTGCAAAATGATGTTTGTAGTTTGATAGGAATGACATTGAGTCTGTATATTGTTTTCAGCAGTGTGGACTTTTTTTTTTTTTTTTTGAAACAGAGTCTTGTTCTGTTGCCCAGGCTGGAATACAGTGGTGTTAGCTCACTACAACCTCCGTCTCCCGAGTTCAAGCGATTTTTATGCCTCAGCCTCCCAAGTAACTGGGATTACAGGCGTGTGCCACCACGCCCAGCTGATTTTTGTATTTTTGGTAGAGATGGGGTTTCGCCATGTTGGCCACGCTGGTCTCGAGCTCCTGGCCTCAAATGATCTGCCCGCCTCAGCCTCTCACCGTGCTGGGATTACAGGTGTGAGCCATCATGCCTGGCCCAGTTCTTGTAGAGATCTTTTATCTTTTGGTTAGATGTATTCCTAGGATTTGTTGTTGCTGTTGTTGTTGTTGTTGTTTGGCTTTCAGCTTGAATGTTACTGGTATATAAAAATACTGCTGATTGTTTACATTGATTTTGTATCCTGAAACTTTATTGAAGTTGCTTATCAGTCATGGGAGTCTTTTCGTGGAGTTTAGCATTTTCTAGGTATAGAATCATATTGTCAGCGAAGAGAAATAATTTGACTTCTTTTCCTATTTGGATGCCCTTTCTTTCTTTCTCTTGCCTGATTGCTCTAGCTAGAACTTCCAGTACTATTTTGAGTAGGAGTTGTGAGAGGGGGCATCCTTGTCTTGTTCCATTCCTTAAGGGAAATGATTTCAGCTTTTGCCGCTTCAGAACGATATTAGCTGTGAGTTTGTCATAGATTACTCTTACTGTTTTGAGGTATGTTTCTTTGATTCATAGTTTGTTGAGGGTTTTTATTGTGAAGGGACGTTGGATTTTATCAAAAGCATTTTCTTTGCCTATTGAGATAATCATATGGTTTTTGTTTTTAGTTCTGTTTGTGGTGAATCATATTTATTGATTTGTGTATGAAACATAGTCTTTTTGGAAAATGAATTCGAGCGATCAAACTATTTGACGGAAGTGTTTATAGCTATTATTTTTAAATTAATTTTTTATTGTGGTAAGGTATGACTGAATTTACAATAATAATTATATATATATACACACACATATACATATTTAGGTTTTTGCCATTGAAAGTAATGGCAAAACTGCAATTACTTTTGCACCAACCTAATAATATCGGCTAGGTGCAGTGGCTCACGCCTGTAATCCCAGCACTTTGGGAGGCTGAGGTGGGTGGATTGCTTGAGGTCAGGAGTTTGAGACCAGCCTGGCCAACATGGCGAAACCCCGTCTCTACCAAAAAAAAAAAAAAAATCTGTGTCTGTATCTATATATTATATAATAATTGTCGTTAAGCACATTCACGTTGTTGTGTAACCAGTACCATTATTTGTCTCCAGAATTTTTATTATCTCAAGCAGAAACTGTATATAGCTCTGTTACTTTTCATGGTAATGGAGAGATTATGGTAAAGATTATTTTAAACAGCGTACGGGGAAGCATTCTGGATTTGAGGACTTGGATCTATGTCCTGACTGCCATTTACTTATCTATATTATCTGATAGAATATCGTTATCATTTTTCTGTTGTTTTTAAGGCTCACAATAATAAGTTTGTAAGGAATATTGTACAGTGTTGATTTTGTGATTGATAAGGATCCAAAAAGATTATAGAGTTTTCTGAATAGTTGATGGGTGTTTAAAAATAATTCCATGTGAAGTTAAATATATAATAAAGTTTACACTGGAAATTAACCATTAGCAAAGTTTTGTAAGTAGTTTTAAAAGTACTGTCTGGGTTGCATAAATTATTTGGAAAGGTTTTTATTCAGTGTGATTTCAGTAAACTTATTTATCTTTTCAGGTCTCTACAGCGGAACAATGTCGTTCTTCCCCCAAAAGCATGATTTGCTGCAATAAAAAATCCCTATATCTTCCACAAGAAATGTCAGCTGTCTATATAGAATTCACAGAATATTACTATCCAGATGGAAAGGATTTTCCAAGTAAGAGAGTTTTTAATTATTATTTGTCCATTATTTGAGAAAGTATTTTTTTCTTGTTAATATTTTTGAGTTTTATAAATATGAAAAATAAATAAAACTGTATTGTTCCTTATTTATTATTAGTTTTTTGAGAGCTAGCATCTCACTGTGTTGCCCAGGCTGATCTCAAACTCCTAGGCTCAAGCCATACTCCTGCCTTGGCCTCCCAAAGTGTTGGGATTGCAGGCATGAACCACTGTGCCCAGCCCCTATTGTTCTTTATTCTTATTGTGTATAGTGCATAAGTCTAGTCTAACAGTTTTAGATGTTGTTATTATTTGTTTATGTATCCTTTTCCCTCCCTAGCTTGTAGAATCCTTGATGGCAGGAATCATGAGGTTTTTTCGTTTTTTGTTTTTTGTTTTTTTTTCAAGGCAGAGTCTCGCTCTGTTGCCCAGGCTGGAGTGCAGTGGCACGATCTCGGCTCACTGCAGCCTTGGCCTCCCAGGTTCAAGCGATTCTTGTGCCTCAGCCTCCTGAGTAGCTGGGATTACAGGCATGCACCACCAGGCCCAGCTAATTTTTCTGTGTTTTACTAGAGACAGGGTTTCACCATGTTGGCCAGGCTGATCTTGAACTCCTGACCTCAAGTGATCTGCCCACCTTGGACTCCCATAGTGCTGGGATTATAGGCATGAGCCGCCATGTCCAGCACATCTGGTATTTATGTTCATTTTATTCCAGATATTCAACTTACTTTGTGCTTAATAGCTGTTTGTTAAAGAATCAATGAAAGCTAGGTTATTTGTAGAATAAAGTCATTTGTTTCCCCTTAGTAAAACTCCATTTATATGTCAGCTATATAACTTCATTTATATATTATTGAAAAAGTAACTGAAGTTGTCCTTTTAGCTGTAGAGAATTTTTTTGACTGTTTTAAAATGCCTAAATGTATACTTTGGGCAACTTTTAGCATTTACAATTTTCAGAAATATTGAATTACATGAATTTTTATTTTTAGAAGCTTCTTTGGCTTTCTAACGTTAAAATGATTGTACATTTGTATTCTTTGAATATTAAAACTCTTTAGCTTCCTAACATTAAAATGATTGTACATTTGTATTCTTTGAATATTAAAACTCTCTGCTATTGTCTCAGTTCATCTAGAAATTCCTTTTTTTTTTTTTTTTTTTTTGGAGACATAGTCTTGCTCTGTCACCCAGGCTGGAGTGCGGTGGCGTGATCTTGGCTCACTGGAACCTCTGCCTCCCGGGCCCAAACAATTCTTGTGCCCCAGGCTTCCGAGTAGCTGGGACTACATGTGTGTGCCAACACTCCCGGCTAATTTTTGTGTTTTTGATAGAGATAGGGTTTTGTCATGTTGGCCAGGCTGGTCTCTAACTCCTGGCCTCAAGTGGTCTGCCTACCTCAGCCTCCCGAAGTGCTGGGATTACAGGTGTGAGCCACTGCACCTGGCCCATCTCGGAATTCTTAAACTAAATGTTGCCCTCTTTTCTGTGATACCTTTTTCATCATGCTAGCTGAAAATCATAGTTGAAAATATTTAGATGAAATAGGTTTTGTTATCAGAGGCATAACAAGTTTTATGTCCTTTCTTTAAAAGTAGAACTCCAAAATACTTAGACCTACTTGCCCATTTATTTAATATTGATTTATTAATATATGTTGTTTTTTTTTCTGAGACAGATTCTTGCTCTGTTGCCCAGACTGGCATGCAGTGGTGCGATCTCAGCTCACTGCAACCTCTGCCTACCAGGTTCAAGTGATTCTCCTGAGTAGCTGGGACTACAGGCATGCACCACCACATCTGGCTGATTTTTGTTAATTTTTTTTTTAGTAGAGGTGAGGTTTCTTTTCTCCTTGTTGGCCAAGCTGGTCTTGAGCTCTAGGCCTCAAATGATCTGACCTCCTTGGCTTCCCAAAGTGCTGAGATTACAGGCATGAGCCACCGCACCCACCCTATTAATATATGTTTTTAGTTTCAAAAGGAACTTCTGATCCTTATACCATAGATTTTGCCTTTGTTGCTAAATTAAGAGATGGCATCCTGGGAATTACAAGGCTGTCTATCTGTTTTATTGCTTTATTCCTAGTTTGGGTTAAACTTCTGGCATTGGCCAGGTGCAGTGGCTCATGCCTGTAATCCCAGCACTTTAGGAGGCTGAGGCGGGTGGATCACCTGAGGTCAGGAGTTCAAGACCAGCTTAACCAATGTAGTAAAACCCCGTCTACTAAAAATGCCAAATTAGCCGTGCGTGGTGGCACCTGCCTGTAATCTGTTCGCTTGAACCTGGGAGGCAGAGGTTGTGGTGAGCTGGGATCATGCCATTGCACTCCAGCCTGGGCAACAAGAGCGAAACTCCGTCTCAAAAAAAAAAAAATTAATTAATTAAAAATAAAAAACCTTCTGGCATTTAATCCTATCTTCATGTTTCAACAATCTTTTGTGGTTTTTTGTTTTGTTTTGTTTATCTGTGTGTGTTTCTCATTTGTTTCTCTCAGCTGCCTTCCTAAGCAGATGAGAAAACTCAAGATAGATGAAGGAAGACATCTGCTCTGCATCTCATAGGGAGTAAAATGGCACAGTTGAAACTCAAGCATTGTCTTGTAAATCTAAATTCATTGTTTTTTCTCCACTGTATTACACTGCTCCCCTTTGCCCCTGTATTCACCACGGCCATTGTCTGTTATTGCATAATCATAGTATTCCAGCCATGCCCCCATAATTGTTTTTCTTAAATAAAATATATCATTGAACAAGTAATTTTTAAAAATTTTATTCTATTTTATTTTTATTTAAAAAAATTTTTTATTTCCATAGGTTATTGGGGAAAAGGTGGTGTTTTGTTACATAAGTAAGTTGTTTAGTGGTGATTTGTGAGATTTTGCTGCACCCATCACTGGAGCAGTATACACTGTACCCTATTTGTAGTCTTTTATCCCTCACCCCCTTCCCACCCTTTCCCCCTGAGTCCTCAAAGTCCATTGTATCATTCTTATGCTTTTGCATTCTCATAGCTTAGCTCCCAGTTATGAGGAAGAACATACGATGTTTAGTTTTCTGTTTCTGAGTTACTTCACTTAGAATAATAGTCTCCAGTCTCATCCAGGTTGCTGCAAATGCCATTAATTCATTCCTTTTTATGGCTGAGTAGTATTCCATCATATATATACACACATACACACATGTATGTATATACATATATATACACACGCACATATATGTATGTATATACATACACACACACAAACACCCCCACCCACCACAGTTTCTTTATCCTTTCATTGATTGCTGGGCATTTGGGTTGGTTCCACGTTTTGTAATTGCGAGTTTTGCTGCTATAAACGTGTGTGCAAGTATCTTTTTCATATAATGACTTCTTTTCCTCTGGGTGGATACCAAGTAGTGGGATTGCTGGATCAAATGGTAGTTCTACTTTTAGTGCCTTTTTTGTTTTTTGAGATGGAGTCTTACTCTGTTGCCCAGGCTGGAGTGCAGCAGCACGATCTAGGCTCACTGTAACCTCCACTTCCTGGGTTCAAGCGATTCCCCTCCCTCAGCCTCCTGAGTAGCACCACTGCATCTAGCTAATTTTTGTATTTTTACAAAATTTTAACATGTTAACCAGGCTGATCTTGAACTCCTGACCTTGTGATCTGCCCGCGTCAGCCTCCTAAAGTGCTGGGATGACAGGCGGGAGCCACCATGCTCTGCCTACTTTTAGCTCTTTAAGGAATCTCCACACTGTTTTCCATAGTGGTTGTACTAGTTTATATTCCCACCAGCGGTGTGGAAGTATTCTCTGTTCACTGCATCAATGCCAACATGTACTATTTTTTGATTATGGCCTTTCTTGAAGTGAGAATGGTGATATCGCATTGTGGTTTTGATTTGCATTTCCCTGATCATTAGTGATGTTGAGCATTTTTTTCTATGTTTGTTGGCCATTTGTATATGTTCTTTTGAGAACTGTCTACTCATTGTCTCAGCCATCAATCCCTTTTTGGTGGGATTGTTTGTTTTTTTCTTGTTGATTTGAGTTCATTGTAGCTTCTGGATATTAGTCCTTTGTCAGATGTATATAGATTGTGAAGAGTTTTTCCCACTTTGTGGGTTGTCTGTTTACTCTTCTAACTGTTCCTTTTGCTGTGCAAAGCTGTTTAATTAAGTGTCAGCAATTTATCTTTACTTTTATTACATTCCCCTTTAGGTTCTTGGTCATGAAATCCTCGTGTAAGCCAATGTGTAGAAGAGTCTTTCCAATGTTATCTTCTAGAATTTTTATAGTTTCAGGGCTTAGATTTAAGTCCTTAATCCATCTTGAGTTGATTTTTGTGTAAAGTGAGAGAAGAAGATCCAGTTTCATTCTCCCACATATGGTTAGCCAGTTATCCCAGCACCATTTGTTGAAAAGTGTGTCCTTTCCCCACTTTATGTTTTTGTTTGCCTTGTTGAAGATCAGTTAGCTGTAAGTATTTGGGTTTACTTCTGGATTCTCTATTCTGTTCCATTGGTCTGTGTGCCTATTTTTATACAGTACCATGCTGTTCTGATGAGTATGGCCTTATAGTATAGTTTGAAATCAGGTAATATGATGCCTCCAGTTTTGTTCTTTTTGCTTAGTCTTGCTTTGGCCATGCAGACTCTTTTTTGGTTCCATATGAGATTTTGAATTTTTTTTCTAGTTCTGTGAAGAATGATGGTGGTATTTTGATGGGAATTGCATTGAATTTGTAAATTGCTTTTGGCAGTATGGCCATTTTCCCAATATTGATTCCACCCATCAATGAGCATTGGGATGTGTTTCCATTCGTTTGTGTCGTCTATGACTTCTTTCAGCAGTGTTTTGTAACTAACATTAATGCAGTGTTTTGTAGTTTTCCTTGTAGAGGTCTTTTACTTCCTTGGTTAGGTATATTCCTAAGTTTTGTGTTTTTTTTTAGCTGGTCCTGGACTTTTTTTTGTTGGTAATTTTTAAATTATCATTTCAGTTTGGCTGCTTGTTATTGGTCTGTTCAGACTATCTAATTCTTCCTGATTTAAGCTAGGAGGGTTGTATTTTTCCAGGAATTCTTCCATCTCTTGTAGGTTTTCTAGTATATGCACATAAAGATGTTCATAGTTGCCTTGAATGACCTTTTGTATTTCTGTGGTGTCAGTTGTAGTATCTCCTGTTTTGTTTCTTACTGAACTTATTTGGATTTTTTCTCTTCTTGGTTAATCTTGCCAGTGGTCTATCAATTTTATTTATCTTTTCAAAGAAACAGCTTTTTGTTTAATTTGTCTTTTGTATTGTTTTTGTTTGTTTCAGTTTCATTTAGTTCTTCTCTGATATTGGTCATTGCCTTTCTTCTGCTGGGTTTGGGTTTGGTTTGTTCTTGTTTCTCTAGTTCCTTGAGGTGTGACCTTAGGTTGTCTGTTTGTGCTGTTTCAGACTTTTTGATGTAGGCATTTAGAACTATGAACTTTCCTCTCAGCACCACCTTTGCTGTGTCCCAAAGGTTTTGATAGGTTTTGTCACTATAGTTGTTCAGTTCGAAGAATTTTTTAATTTCCATCTTGATTTCATTTTTGACCCAGTGATCATTCAGGAGCAGGTTATTTAATTTCCAGGTATTTGCATGGTTTTGAAGGTTCCTTTGAAGTAGATTTCCAGTTTTATTCCATTGTCATCTGAGAGAGTGCTTGATATAATTTCAACTTTCTTAAATTTATTGAGGCTTTTTTTGTGGCCTATCATATGGTCTGTCTCTTGGAGAAAGTTCCATGCTCTGTTGAATAGAATGTATATTCTGCAGTTGTTGAATGGAATGTTCTGTAAGTATCTGTTAAGTCCATTTGTTCCAGAGTATAGTTTTTTTTTTTTTGAGATGGAGTCTTGCTCTGTCGCCTAGGCTGGAGTGCAGTGGTGTGATCTCGGCTCACTGCAAGCTCTGCCTCCTGGGTTCACGCCATTCTCCTGCTTCAGCCTCCAGAGTAGCTGGGACTACAGGTGCCTGCCACCCTGCCTGGCTAATTTTTTGTATTTTTTTTTTTTTTTTAGTAGAGACAGGGTTTCACCGTGTTAGCCAGGATGGTCTCAATCTCCTGACCTTGTGATCTGGCTGCCTTGGCCTCCCAAAGTGCTGGGATTATAGGCATGAGCTACCACGCCCGGCCGGAGTATAGTTTAAATCCATTGTTTCTTTGTTGACTTTCTGTCTTGATGACCTGTCTAGTGCTGTCAGTTGAGTATTGAAATCCCCCACTATTATTGTGTTGCTATCTATCTCATTTCTTAGGCCTATTAGTAATTGTTTTATAAATTTGGGAACTCCAGTGTTAGGTGCATGTATGTTTCGGATTGTGATAGTTTACTGTTGCACAAGGCCTTTTATCATTGTATAATGTCCCTCTTTGTCTTTTTTAACTGCTGTTCCTTTAAGGTTTGTCTGATACAAGAATAGCTACTCCTGCTTGCTTTTAATGTCCATTTGCATGAAATGTCTTTTTCCACCCCTTTACCTTAAGTTTGTGTGAGTCCTTATTTGTTAGGTGAGTCTCTTGAAGGCAGCAGATGGTTGGTGAATATTGGGGGAACCTGTCCCCAGTATTTCAATGTAGGTTCTTTCTGTTTTCCCTAAGTGTCGGCCAATCTGAGAAATAAAGAGAAAGAGTACAAAGAGAGGAATTTTACAGCTGGGCCGCCAGGGGGTGACATCACATGGTGGTAGGACCGTGATGCCCACCTGAGCCGCAAAACCAGCAGGTTTTTATTAAGGACTTCAAAAGGGGAGGGGGTGTATGAACAGGGAGTAGGTCACAAAGATGACATGCTTCAAAGGGCAAAAAGGAGAACAAAGATCACATGCTTTTGAGGCCAATAAAGATCACAAGGCAAAGGGTAAAGCAAAGATCACAAGGCAAAGGGCAAAATCAAAAACTCCTAATAAGGGTCTATGTTCAGCTGTGCATGTATTGTCTTGATAAACATCTTAAACAACAGAAAACAGGGTTCAAGATCAGATCACTGGTCTGACCTCAAATTTACTGGGGAGTGGTCTTTTCCCAACCCTCATAAGCCTGAGGGTACTGCAGGAGACCAGGGCATATTTCAGTCCTTATCTCAACCGCATAAGACAGACACTTCCAGAGAGGCCATTTATAGACCTCCCCCCAGGAATGCAATTCCTTTCCCAGGGTCTTAATTATTAATATTCCTTGCTAGGAAAAGAATTTAGCGATATCTTCACTACTTGCACGTCCGTTTATAGGCTCTCTGCAAGAAGCAAAATATGGCTCTGTTCTGCTCAACCCCGCAGGCAGTCAGACCTTATGGTTGTCTTCCCTTGTTCCCTGAAAATCGCTGTTATTCTGTTTTTTTTTTTCAAGGTGCACTGATTTCATATTGTTCAAACACACGTTTTTCAATCAATTTGTATAGTTAACGCATTCATCACAGTGGACCTGAGGTGATATACATCCTCAATTTACGAAGATAACAGGATTAAGAGATTAAAGTAAGACAGGCATAAAAAATTATAAGAATATTATTAGGGAAGTGATAAATGTCCATGAAATCTTCACAATTTATACTCCTCTGCTGTGGCTCCAGCTGGTCCCTCTGTTCAGGGTCCCTGACTTCCCACAACAGGTGAATTCTTATCTGTTTTGCAGTTCTGTATTTTCTAAGTGGAGCATTTAGGCCACTTACATTCAATGTTAGTATTGAGACGTGAGGTACCATTCCATTCATCATGCTATTCGTTGCTTGTATACCTTGTTTTTTTTTTTTAATTGTTAATTTTTTAATTTTTTTTTTAATTTTTGTTTTATAGATCTCTGAAATTTATGCTTTAAAGAGGTTCTGTTGTGTTTCCAGGATTTGTTTCAAGATTTTGAGCTCGTTTTAGCAGTTCTCGTAGTGGTGGCTTGATAGTGGTAAATTGTCTCAGCATTTGTTTTTCTGAAAAACACTGTATCTTTACTTGACATGTGAAGCTTAGTTTCACTAGATAAAGAATTCTTGGCTGATAATTGTTTTGTTTGAGGAAGCTGAAGATAGGGCTGGAATCCCTTCTAGTTTCTAGGGTTTCTGCTGAGAAACCTGCTATTAATCTGATAGATTTTCCCTTACAGGTTACCTGGTGCTTCTGTCTCACAGCTCTTAAGAGTCTTTCCTTCATCTTAACTTTAGATAACCTGATGACAATGAGCCTAGGCAATCATCTTTTTGTGATGAATTTCCCAGGTGTTCTTTGTGCTTCTTGTGTTTGGATGTCTAGGTCTGTAGCAAGGTCAGGGAAGTTTTCCTCAATTATTCCCCCAAATATGTTTTCTAAACTTTTAGATTTCTCTTCCTCCTTAGGAACACCAATTATTCTTAGGTTTGGTTGTTTAACATAATCCCAGACTTCTTGGAGGCTTTGTTCATGTTTTCTTATTCTTTTTTTCTTTGTCTTTGTCGGATTGGGTTAATTCAAAGACCTTGTCTTCGAGCTCTGAATTTGTTTCCTCTACTTGTTCAATTCTATTGCTGAGACTTTCTATAGCATTTCGCATTTCTATGAGTGTGTCTATTTATTCCTGAAGTTTTGATTGGTTTTTATTTATGCTATTTCCTTGAATATTTCTTCTTTCACTTCTTGTATCATTTTTTGGATTTCCTTACATTGGGCTTTGCCTTTTTCTGGTGCCTCCCTGATTAGCCTAATAACTAACCTCCTGAATTCTTTTTCAAGTAAATCAGGGATTTCTTCTTGGTTTGGGTCCATTGCTGGTGAGCTGTTGTGATTTGTTGGAGGTGTTAAAGAACCTTGTCTTGTCATATTACCAGAGTTGTTTTTCTGGTTCTTTCTCATTTGGGTAGGCTCTCTCAGAGGTAATGTCTAGTACTGAAGGCTGTTGTTCAGATTCTTTTGTCCCATGGCATGTTCCCTCGGAGTGGTATTCTCCCTTTTTTTCTTTTCCTTTTTTTTTTTTTTTTGAGACGGAGTTCACTCTTGTTGCCCAGGCTGGAGTGCAATGGCACAATCTAGGCTTACCGCAACCTTCGTCTCCTGGGCTCAAGTGATTCTCCCGCCTCAGCCTCCCGAGTAGTTGGGATTACAGGCACCTGCCACCACACCAGGCTAACTTTGTATTTTTAGTAGAGACAGGGTTTCTCTGTGTTGGTCAGGCTGGTCTTGAACTCCCGACCTCAGGTGATCCACCCACCTTGACCTCCCAAAGTGCTGGGATTACAGGCGTGAGCCACTGTGCCTGGCCGGTATTCTCCCTTTCTTCCTGTGGGTGTGGATTCTGAGAGCCAGGCTGTGGTGATTGTTATCTCTCTTCTGGATCTAGCCACCCAGCAAGTCTACCAGGCTCTGGGCTGGTACTGGGGGTTGTCTGCACAGAGTTCTGTGATGTGAACCATCTGTGGCTCAGCTGTGAGTACCAGCACAGTATTTGGGTTGTCTCTCAGGTCCTGCAGGAGCAATCTGCTTCTTTCAGAGGGTCTACGGGTCCTCCCAGTTTTCCTGATTTATTCCTGTAGTGATTCTGGAGCAAAAATTCACTATGTGAGCCTCCACACACTGCTACGTCCATCCGAGTCGGAGCTGCAAACTAGTCCTGCCTCCCGCCTGCCACCTTGTCCCTGAACAAGTAATTTTTCTTCAGAGTTAAGAGTAGTTTCCAGTATTTATGACTTCTAAGCTGTTTTTTTTTTTTAAATTCTTTTCTTTTTTTTTGAGACAGCCTCACTCTGTGCCTGGGCTGGAGTACTGTGGCACAATCGTGGCTCACTGCCGTCTCAAACTCCTGGACTCAAGTGACCTTCCCACCTCAGCCTCGCTAGTAGCTAGGATTATAGGCATGAGCCATCATGTCCAGCTAATTTTAAATTTTTTGTAGATACAAGATCTCACTCTGTTGCCTGGGCTAGTCTCAAACTCCTGGGCTCAAGCCATCCTCCCACTTTGGCCTCCCAAAGCGCTGGGATTACAGACATGAGACAACACTCCCAGCCATCCAGGCTTATTTATACAAGCTTTGTTAGCATGTACCAAAGGAATTATAATCTCATTCTATAATCTGTACTTTTTTTTCTGAAAAAAGTTACAAAATTCCTTCCTTGCATTTTAAACTTGACCCCTGTAGATACCTGGTAGTGGAATTGCTAGATTAAGTTTAACTGTTTTTTAATTTAATGTTTTCTTAGAGAAATTTTCAAAAATAAACAAAAGTAGAGAATATAGTATGTTGCACCCTCATGTAGATGAGTTAATTTTCATTCTTCATTATCTCTGTTTTGAACAAAACTAAATGATCCAACTTTTATAATCTCTTAACTTTCGTTTTACCATTGTGAAAGTAACGTACACATTGTATTTTAACAATAAAGAAGAAAAAGCCAAAACAATGCTTGTACGCTTGCAGTTTTAGATATCTGCTCAAACGTAAGTATATTCATTTGTTAGGGCTGCTATAACAAATACCACAGACTATGCAGCTTAAACAACAGAAATTTATTGTCTCACAGTTCTGAGGCTAGAGGTCCGAGATGAAGACTTCAGCAGGATTATTTCTTCTGAGACTGCTCTCTTTGTAGATGGTCATCTTTCCCCTTTGTTTTCACATGGTCTTCCTTCTGTGTATGTGTGTATGTCCCTCCTGTTCGGTTCTTATAAGAATATGAGTCATAATGGACTAGGGCCCACCCAGTGAACTCATTTTACCGTAATTGTCTGTTTAAAGGCTTTAGCTCCAAATACATTCTGAGCTACAGGGGGATAGAATTTCAGTAAATGAATTTTGGAGGGACACAATTCAACCCATAGCAATAAGTATAGCATTGTTAGTCTTGTTTTTAATGCATGTATTTCTTTTACATATTTAATTTGCACCCTGCTTCTTTCCCTTCGTGATATCAGAATATTCAAAGTTTCTACAAGCTGCTTTTAAGTATTATTAACTACATACTAATCTGTTTTATAAGTAGACTTCTGTTGGAAACTGCATATAGATCTTTCTTTTTTTTTTTTTTTTTTTTGAGACGGAGTCTCGCTCTGTCATCCAGGCTGGAGTGCAGTGGCGCGATCTCGGCTCACTGCAAGCTCCACCTCCCAGGTTCACACCATTCTCCTGCCTCAGCCTTCCCAGTAGCTGGGACTACAGGCGCCCGCCACCACGCCCGGCTAATTTTTTGCATTTTTAGTAGAGACGGGGTTTCACTGTGTTAGCCAGGATGGTCTCGATCTCCTGACCTCGTGATCCACCCGCCTCGGCCTCCCAAAGTGCTGGGATTACAGGCGTGAGCCACCGCGCCGGCCCTGCATATAGATCTTTCTACTGCTTAGTGTCCTGGGTTCCTTTTTCAGTCCCACATCTGCTATCGGGGTTCTTTCTGTGCTCTAGTCTTGGGCAGCATTTGCTCCCTAGTCTACTCTGTGACTACCATCATCAATCAATCTACGTTGAGATATTCCCTTTACTTCCTTTCCTTCCAGAGTGTGATGCAGTCTCTGCAGCACCCACTTTATTTCTATTCCCAAAAGGCAGGCACCTCCACTTCACAATTGCATGTCTCTGATAGACTTAAATTGTAATTTTTCTCTGTTTGTATATGTCTCATGTAATAAACTACGAACTTTTAAGGAAAAAGGACCATGCCCTATTTTTTTGTTTTCTTTGTGCTTAGGGTAAGACAATGTAGTTGACATTCAGTGAATCTTAAAGGAAAGTGAATGAATAAATAAATAACATAAGCAAATAAACCATATTCAGGACATTGTTACAGTGTTCCCTCTCCACTGGTATCTCACACCTTTGATTTATTTTTCTTAAATTTAGTCTAAATGCTCTAGATATGCATAACTTTAGCTTTTGTAGGAATAAATATGTCTGAATTTTTAGAATAAAAGATCTTCAAGGTGCTCTGAAAACAAAATGTCTTTTATGGTAGAAAAATATGTATATTTCAGGAAGTGATATACCCTCTAATTGTAAATATTAGTTTATTTTAGGAGAGCTATGAAAGAGTGAATTCATTTTATTATTCAGGAGATACTTGGTTTTTACATTACTCCAAGCACTATTATAGGCCTTGATTAAAAGTGGGGAATAAATTTATGCACGGTCCCTCCTTTCAAGGAGAACCTGCTAGCATAGCACTTTCATAAGAAATTGGTTAACTTAGCTCTCTCATTTTAGAAGATATAGATTAAGATTCAGGTTGTAAAGTCTACAGAAATATGTGATCGAGGACCACTTTGATGTGATACTTCATCAAGAAGGTAATGTTTTTAGAGGTTTGCTTCTTGGTAAATACAACCTTAGGAAAGAAATTGAAACAGTGCTTCCTGTTTTATGCAGTTAGTTTTAGATTAATTTATATATTCAAAATATTCATGTGTTTTATATATTTATATGTTATAGATATTTTGAAATATTAAAACATTTTTTCAGTTAGGCATGGGAAATTTTTTTTGTCTATCTAAATGTGTTTGTTATCATTCCAATGTATCACTTTGATTTTGTAAATAATACCTCAAATTTGTTTTATCTTAAGAAAGAATAAAACTGACTAAACATGTATTTTTTGTTCTCAGGGAAGATTTAGAACCATCCAATTAAAAATTTTTAAAAAACATCTTGTCTCCACAGTTCCATCTCCCAACCTCTATAGCCAGCTGAATGCACTACAGTTTACTGTGGATGAAAGAAGCATTCTATGGTTAAATCAATTTCTGTTGGATTTAAAACAGAGTCTTAATCAGTTCATGGCTGTGTACAAGTTGAATGACAATTCAAAATCTGACGAGCATGTTGATGTTCGAGTTGATGGCTTAATGCTAAAGGTATCATACAAACAAGTAGTAGTAATGATTTAATTTTGTTCTTTTTATTTTATGATTTGTGCGTATATGTATGTTACATTGATTATTAATTCATGTTATGTTTTTTAAAAAGATTCTCTTCTTAGTGGTCATGTAAGTCCCCTTTACTCAATTTAATAAGATTTGAGGGGAAGAGTTAGTGTTTTACGTCTTAATAGGAAAGTAGTATTTTGGGGGAAAGGTCAAGAAAAAGAATTTCTGAGCTAAGTCATGTTCTTTTATCTTCAAGATGTATGGATTTGCCAGTTGGATGAGATTAATTTTTCTTCTCTTCTAGTTTGTCATTCCTTCTGAAGTGAAATCTGAATGTCATCAAGATCAGCCACGTGCAATTTCTATTCAGAGTTCTGAAATGATTGCCACAAATACAAGGCACTGTCCAAACTGTCGACATTCTGACCTAGAAGCTTTGTTTCAAGACTTTAAAGATTGTGATTTTTTTAGTAAAACATATACCAGCTTCCCCAAATCTTGTGACAATTTTAATCTTCTACATCCAATTTTCCAGAGACATGCTCATGAACAAGATACCAAAATGCATGAAATTTATAAAGGAAATATTACTCCCCAATTGAATAAAAACACTCTTAAAACTTCTGCTGCCACGGATGTTTGGGCTGTGTACTTTTCTCAATTTTGGATAGATTATGAAGGGATGAAAAGTGGAAAAGGACGGCCAATAAGTTTTGTAGACTCATTCCCTCTTTCCATTTGGATTTGTCAACCAACAAGATATGCAGAGTCACAAAAAGAGCCGCAGACTTGTAATCAGGTATCTCTAAATACATCACAAAGTGAATCTAGTGATCTGGCTGGCCGATTGAAGCGGAAGAAGCTCTTGAAGGAGTATTATAGTACAGAGTCTGAGCCTTTGACAAATGGTGGTCAGAAGCCTTCTTCATCAGATACATTTTTCAGATTTTCCCCTTCCTCGTCAGAGGCAGATATTCATCTCCTAGTTCATGTTCATAAACATGTCAGTATGCAGATTAATCACTACCAGTATCTGCTTCTACTTTTCCTGCATGAGTCACTTATCCTGCTTTCAGAGAACTTAAGGAAAGATGTAGAAGCTGTAACTGGCAGTCCTGCTAGTCAGACATCCATTTGTATTGGAATTTTACTTAGAAGTGCAGAACTGGCTCTTTTGCTCCATCCAGTGGATCAAGCAAATACTCTTAAGTCTCCTGTTTCTGAAAGTGTGAGCCCAGTGGTACCTGATTATTTGCCTACAGAAAATGGGGATTTTTTGTCTTCAAAAAGAAAACAAATTAGTAGGGATATAAATAGAATTAGAAGTGTAACTGTTAATCATATGTCAGACAACAGATCTATGAGTGTTGACCTTAGCCATATCCCTTTAAAGGATCCTTTGCTTTTTAAATCAGCTAGTGATACAAATCTGCAAAAAGGCATTTCTTTTATGGACTATTTATCAGATAAACATTTAGGGAAAATAAGTGAAGATGAAAGTAGTGGACTTGTTTACAAAAGTGGCTCAGGAGAAATTGGATCAGAAACAAGTGACAAAAAGGATTCATTTTATACAGATTCAAGTAGTATCTTAAACTACAGAGAAGATTCGAATATACTTTCATTTGATAGTGATGGTAATCAAAACATACTTTCAAGTACTTTAACTAGTAAAGGAAATGAAACCATAGAGTCCATCTTTAAAGCTGAAGATTTGCTTCCAGAAGCAGCTTCACTCTCTGAAAACCTGGATATCAGTAAAGAAGAGACCCCCCCAGTTAGAACACTTAAATCACAGTCATCTTTAAGGTAACAACATTTTATTGGCCTTTTTAAAAATTAATTTATTTTGTGGAGCGTGTGTGCCTATGAGTGTATTTTGTTTTGAGGCAGAAAAGCTCATGACAAAATATGGCATTGTTAACATGTAGAAGAGTAGATGTTTCAAAATATGAAAACACTTTGAGCTTATACGTTTAAATATAATTTCAGCTATGGATGCTATATACATATTTTAATTCTCTTAGAAGTATTTTTTAGATAGAATTCTTTTCTCTATATGTAATAATTTTCTAATAATTTTGTTAACAGTGGAAAGCCTAAGGAACGTTGCCCACCCAACCTGGCTCCTCTCTGTGTTTCTTATAAGAATATGAAAAGAAGCTCTTCACAAATGTCATTGGATACCATTTCACTTGACAGCATGATATTGGAAGAACAGTTATTAGAAAGTGATGGAAGTGATAGCCATATGTTTTTGGAAAAAGGTAAAGTTATGATACGGCTTAAGAATTCATATTACGTACATACACCTTAGGAGAAAAGGGATGCTTTTAGTTATATTCAGTAATTGTTAACTGTACCCATGCTTTTTAAAGTTACTGAACATAACTAAAAATAACTGAATATTTCTACTTATATTTAGTAATTGTTAATTATTAATAATATTTAGTTATTTTTAGATATATTCTAATTGTTCATTATAGCCCCCCAAAAAGACTTATTTATACATACAGGGACTATGCAAGAGTACCTAACTTTCCTCTAATGGTTGTTCCATTGTTTCTTTTAACCAGATACTCCTGCCTCTCTATGGCTGAGATCCAGCAATTATATGTATGCAGTCATTTAGACCATAAAGCAGGCGACATTAAGGCTACCAGCCTCTATTACAGAGACTCCTATATTTGGAAATTTGATTAGGTGGGCTTAATTTGCATGGTGAATTCTACTGATTTACAAAATTAGGATTCTTTCACATATATGATAGTATATGGTGTAACTACATGATTTTCCCATTTTATTGAGAGACAACCAATGCCCCAGTAAAGACTGCTAGAAATGACTTAGAAGGTGTTAGTTGCATCTCCCTCATTAAGGCATTAAGGAGTTTGTAAACAGGAATTAGAAGCATGGGCCATAGTCAGAAAGTAGTTGCTGCAGACACAAAAACATAGGATACCAGAGGCAAATATGAATTACTTTCTTTTTTCTTTCTTTCTTTTTTTTTTTTCACTCTGTCGCCCAGGCTGGAGTGCAGTATTGTGATCTCAGCTTACTGAAACCTCTGCCTTCGGGTTCAAGCAGTTCTCCTGCCTCAGCCTCCCAAGTAGTTGGGATTGCAGGCATGCACCACCATGCCTGGCTAATTTTTGTATTTTTACTAGGGATGGGGTTTCGTCATGTTGGCCAGGCTGGTCTCAAACTCCTGACCTCGAATGATCCGTGCACCTCGGCGTCCCAAAATGCTGGGATTACAGGCATGAGCCACCATGCCTGGCCTGAATTACTTTCTGTTTGAAAGGAAATAAGCCCACTGATTTAGATGAAAAGCTTAGATTAGATAATTAGTAACATAATAAATATAACAAGTATATAATAAGTAATAATATAATATGTATTATTGATGTAAGTACCATAGTGGTAGCTACCATTTATTGCCAAGCAATGTCTGTTTTGTTCTATCACAGAATACCACAGACTGGGTAATTTATAAAGAACAGAAATTTATTTCTCACAGTTCTGGAGGCTGGGAAGTCCAAGATCAAACCTCATCAAATTGTAAGCGTTGCATTTTGCAGTCCTCTGGAGGTCAAGAGAAGCTACCTGAAGCCTCTTTTTTAAGGGTCTTAATCCCATTCATGTAGGGGTAAGCTCTCATGGGCTGATCATCCTTTAAAAGCCCTACCTCTTAGTACTATCACTTTGCCAACACATGAATTTCAAAGGGACGCATTCATACTGTTGCAGGTGCTTAAATAGTTTACTTCTTTTAATTTGAGTGACAACTCTGTAATAATAGAAGCTAACATTTATTGAGCATTTACTTTGTGTTGGTACCATTCTATATGCTTTGTATATATATTAATGAATTTAAACCTCACAATTCTGTCAATAGTATACTGTTATCTTCAGAGAGTGGTTAAATAACGAATCCAAAGTAACACAGCTAATTAGTGGTTTAAATTCAGACATAGAGCCTATTGTCTACTATGTACCTGATTGCCTCAACCCTGTGAGGTATAAGTGCTTATTCTTATCCTTCTTTTACAGATAAGGAAACTGAGGCTCCTGAAGTTTAAGTAGTTTTCCCATAGTCACATTATTGTACGCAGAACTGGGATTGTCTTTCTTGTTATTCTTTTTTTTTTTTTTTTTTTGAGATGTAGTTTTTTTCTTGCTGCCCAGGCTGGAGTGTAATGACATGATCTCGGCTCACTGCAACTTCTGCCTCCTGGGTTCAACTGATTATCCTGCCTCAGCCTCCCGAGTAGCTGGGATTACAGGCACCCACCACCACGCCTAGCTAATTTTTGTATTTTTGGTAGAGATGAGGTTTCACCATGATGGCCAGGCAGATCTCAAATTCCTGGCCTCAGGTGATCCTCCCATCTCAGCCTCCCAAAATGCTGGGATTACAGGTATGAGCCAACATGCCTGGCCTCTTGTTTGTTATTCTAAGCTAATATTTACTATACCAGTTACTATTTTAAGCGTCTTACATGTATTTAATCTTCAAATAAATTGAGGTAGGAACTGTTATCTTCATTTTAAAGGTGAGGCAAACAAAGCCTAGGGAGGTAAGCAGCTTGCCCAAAGTTATGCAGCTAGTAAGTAGTAGAGTTTAGCATTTGAACCCAGTTAGTCAGACTTCAAAGTCTGAGCTCTTCTATCTGACACAAACACGTCTTCTTAAAAAAATTTACTCTTTACATAAGTCAGAGAAAAATCTCTCTACTAGATTCCAGTTTACTTTATCTTGGTGGGAGACACTAGTCAGTTTACCTTACATGATAGATGATATTTAATAACAACAATAGCAAACATTTATTAAACCACCCTTAGTCATGTTGCCAAGTGCTATAAAACACATTAATTTATCTAATCCTTAAGACCATCATATGAGGTGGTTATTATTATTGATCACTTTTCTATAGATTTAGAAACTAAAGCTTAAAGAAATAAGGTATCTAGTCCAAAAGTTTTAGCCAGGAAGTAGTAAGAGGCAGAGTTGTCAGCTAGTCTGACTGATGAGCCCAAGTTTTTAACAAGCCGTTAAGCTATTCTAGCTCCCCAGACTTGGGGAATGTGTACCATACATAAACAAAAATTCTCTGTCTAACTCTGTTATAATTCATAGCAATCTTCTTTCCAGCATATCACTTAAATGTAGAAGAGGTACTAATGTGTGTCATGAAAATCTATTCTAGATTCGCAGATAACTCTAGTTCCCCCGTGCCCCCTTTATGATTTAAAATCCTACCTTAATAGAGGATTTTTGTCCTATGATCAAAATATATTTCAAAAACAATGTTCTTCTGGCAGATAACCCTACTTAATCTGAAAGCATCAGTGATTTTATTATTTCTAATAATTAAATAATAAGTAAAAGTGACTACCACTCAATGTGGAAAACTTGGAAAATACAACCACAATTTGGAGAATAAAATCACCAAAAAGTCTCACATTCACAATATATCAACTGTTATTTATTTTATGAATTTGTGTATGTACCCATATATATGTATGTTTGCTGTCATATTATGTATTTGGCTTGTAACCTACTTTTTATCATCTGTAAGTATTCTCTAATATTATTTAAACTCCTTTGAAAATATTTTTAAGCCTATATAAAATTGTCATAAGAATGTACCATAGCCTTTTAAAGATTTCCCTGATGTTGGATGTTTAGATTGTTTATAATTTATCAGTTATAAAAGTGCTATAATTATATTATTGTTCACAAATTTTTGTCTGCATTTTTGATGACTATCTTAGAATAGATTCCAGCAGTAGACTATTTTTAGGATCTTAAAAAGTGTAGACTTTGTGTGTAACATTTTAATGATATACATTCCTGGTTCTTTTGAACAGTGACTTATTTTTATGTCAGGGTCATTAATTTTCATTGGAAGGAGACTCTTGGTATTTTGTTTTGTTTTAATTTTACAAGAAATATATGAGTATTCTCTCATTTAAAAAGGAGAATAAGGGAGATACTAATGTGATATCTTCAATTTTTTACTCTAGGCATTTCCATAAACCAGATAATATGGAAATCCCTAGAGTAAAAATTGAAGTTATCACCTTAGTATCATATCACCCTTACTGTCTCCTTGATATCATTCCCCACTGCAGAAGTAACTACCGTCAACTTTTGGTGTATATGCTTCCAGGCTTTTATCTATGTATTTTTATATACGTGTGTGGGTGTGTCAGATACATACAAAGGTATGTGTATACAAAAAGATATGTATGTGCATGCGTGCATGTATACATATTTGTGAATGTATGTACATATTTATGAACACATATAAACACATAACTGGACTATCAGCCTACCTCTGGTCCCTAACTAGTCTTTCCACATCTCTTCTTATCCATTTGCAGTTCATTCTTTATTCTGTAGCCAAAAAATATATATATTTTTGATACCAAGTCTCACTCTGTTGCCCAGGTTGGAGTGCGGTGGTGTGATTTCAGCTCACTGCAACCTCCGCCTCCTGGGTTCAAGTGATTCTCCTGCCTCCTCAGCCTCCTGAATAGCTGGGATTACAGATGCGTGCCACCACACCCGGCTAATTTTTGTATTTTTAGTCGAGATGGGGTTTTACCATGTTGGCCAGGCTGGTCTCGAACTCCTGACCTCAGATAATCCACCCGCCTCAGCCTCCCAAAGTGCTGGGATTATAGGTGTGAGCCACTGTGCCTGGCCAGGCAAAATACTCTTAAAAAACACAAATTTGGCCGAGCGCAGTGGTTTACACCTGTAATCCCAGCATTTTGGGAGGCCGAGGCGGGTGGATCGCGAAGTCAGGAGATGGAGACCATCCTGGCTAACATGGTGAAACCCCGTCTCTACTAAAAATACAAAAAATTAGCCAGGCATAGTGGCACACGCCTGTAGTCCCAGCTACTCAGGAGGCTGAGGCAGGAGAATCGCTTGAACCCGGGAGGCGGAGGCTGCAGTGAGCAGAGATCGCACCACTGCACTCCAGCCTGGGTGACAGAGCGAGACTCTGTCTTAAAAAAAAAAAAAAAAAAAAACAGAAAAGAAAAAATAACAACAACATAGATTTGATCATGTTGTTTTCCACTGTACTGCTGATAACTTGTAATTGCTTTAAGGCTATTAAGTTAAAATCCTTAACATTACTGACAATGCTCTGTGTGATGTGGCCCCAGCTTACTTTTTCTGATGTTTTCCCATGTGCTCGTTATACTTCAGATGGATCATAGTTTATTTCAGTCTTTATCTCACTTTCTTTACTGTGATAAACTTTTCCATCTCAGTCTGTTGTACCTGTTTCTGGAATGCTCTTTTTCTTTCTGTTTATTTTATTATTTTTAATTTTAATTAGAGTGGTTAAGGATAACTCTTCGCTTTATTTTTCCCACTCATTATTTTATCCACTCAGTGTTTTTCAGAGTGTCTTTTTGCTCTCCTTGCAATTATTCTTTTCCATGTAAATTTTAAAAAAATTTGTTTAGAGGGGGCCAGACACAGTGGCTCACGCCTGTAATCCTAGCACTATGGGAGGCCAAGGCAGGCAGATCACTTGAGGTCAGGAGTTCGAGACCACCCTGGCTAACATAGTGAAACCCCGTCTTTACTAAAAATACAAAAATTAGCCAGGCGTGGTGGCGTGTTCCTGTAATTCCAGATACTCGAGAGGCTGAGGCAGGTGGAGGGTGCAGTGAGCTAAGATCGCACCACTACACTCCAGCCTGGGCAACAGAGTGAGACTCCATCTAAAAAAAAAAAAAAATTTAAAGGGAATCTTTTTTTTTTTTTAGATGGGGTCTCACTCTGTCCTAGAGTGCAATGCAATGGTGTGATCTTGGCTCACCGCAGTCTCTACCTCCCAGGCTCAAGTGGTCCTCTGCCTCAGCCTCCCAAGTAGCTGGGACCACAGGCGAGTGCCACTACGTCTGGCTAATTTTTTGTATTTTTGGTAGAGATGGGATTTTGCTGTGTTGCCCAGGCTGGTCTTGAACTTCTGGGCTCAAGTGATCCTCTCTCCAAAGTGCTGGGATTACAGACGTGAGCCACCACACCCAGGCTTGTTCACTTTAGTGGAAATATTATTTTATCAGAGATGTCTTCTTAACCCCTGATGATGTTAGGAACCCCTTATGAAATGCCTTTATTAGCCCCTCATACCACAAATGTATTCACAGGTATTTTCCCTGGGCCATTTTTTTAATAATGTATTGAGCACCTACCACATTGCCAAGCACTATGTTAGAAGCTGACTACAGAGTAGTAAATACAATAATAAATTGAGACTTATGTTTTGTATGTCTTTAGGTTTTCTTACCTAATTTTTCTATTAATTCATTTTTATGGCATTTTTTAAAAGTATTGATCTGTGATGGCTACTGAATTTTAAAAAAAATTGTCTTTTACCACAGATAGTTTGAGAAATATTGAATTATAGCACATTCATTGTTTGCTAACTAATTACAATCTAATTTTTCTTGGTCCATTTTTTAAAGGAGGCAGTGCTTGAGAAAGAGTTGAAGGGATAGTCCATTTTTGTTAAATAAGCATACAGTGTTAGATCATGTGTAAAACTGACTTTAATTTATTAATTTACTTTTGTGTTATTTCAGGAAATAAAAAGAACTCAACTACAAATTACAGGGGCACAGCAGAAAGTGTGAATGCTGGTGCAAACCTACAGAATTATGGTGAAACTTCTCCAGATGCCATCAGTACAAATTCAGAGGGTGCTCAGGAAAATCATGATGACCTGGTAATAATCATTTCAGAGAGATTCTATGAAGATAAATGCCACCAACTTTATTTCATATTTGACATGTATATATTTTGAGACATTCATATATAAAATGAATTCTTAGATGGTGGGCAATTCAATTTGCAGCTTTTGTTCTTGAAAATGCCTCCCCCCAATCGTTTTTCCTTTGATTTTACTTTTCTAAATTTGTTTTATTCATATTGAGGAGTGGAGGCTCTTTCTTTTTTCTGTATTGCTTTTTGTATTTTTATTTTTATTTTTTTAGAGACAGGGTCTCACTCTGTTGCCCAGGCTGGAGTGCAGAGATGTATCCATAGCCCACTGCAGCCTTGAACTCCTGGGCTTAAGTGATCTTCCTGTCCCAGCCTCCCTAGTAGCTGGGACTATAGGTGCACACCACCACACCTGGCTGTTTTAAATTTTTTTGTAGATATGGGGTCTCACTGTGTTGCCCAAGCTAATGGTTTCTTTTAAGCCCTCCTGATGCAGTGAAATACTTCTGGGAGACTTGAAAAATATATTATGTCTAGCTTTTAATGAAAAACATTTTACAATCCTTGTGACCTAATTTTTTTTTTAAGTAAATGAAAGGTTTTCACTATAATGTAACAACCGTGTTCTGTAGGTCACAAGTATACTTTTGGTCTGGTAGGTCACAATTGTATTTTTAGAGGGTAATGGTAGTTTCCTATATTATTTCTTAAATTTTGTTTTGAACTGCTTGGCATACTAATATTATTTATGCAATCATTAATAGATGTCCGTTGTGGTATTTAAAATTACTGGTGTTAATGGGGAAATTGACATCCGAGGGGAAGATACAGAAATCTGTCTTCAAGTGAACCAGGTGACACCAGACCAATTAGGCAATATCAGCCTTCGGCATTACCTTTGTAATCGTCCAGTTGGTAAGTTTTTTTTTTTAATTATTTTTCATATACAATGGTTTAATATGTTTTAACTTTTATATATGTCTCACCAGCAATCCTATCTTGGCTATAATTGAATTCAAGGAAAATTACATTTACTTATTATTAGTAGTTAGTGGTTTTTTCTATAGTGTGTGGAGCTTCAATAGGAAGACATAGCTTAATGGTTCCATGGTATAAGGGGTAGTAGAGAGGAGTGATTTTGATGAAGAAAATTTTTGTTTTGTTTTATTTCGTCTCCAAAAAACTCATTTTGTTTGAAATTATTCCTGGCTTTACTCCATGGGATGAGAATGTGTGTGTGTGTAGACCTAGACAGATAAAAAGGCAAAATAAAATCACATTAATCAAGTTGTTTGTTGGCAAGTTCTCTTGTTCAGCAAGTTCACTCTTGTTTTTCTTGCTATGGGAAAGAACACTAACCATTACCAATTTGTGGCTGTTTCTTTTACCTTCTATTTTAAAAAATAAAAATATTTGAATTTTGAAATATTTAAATAATTCTTTGGAGTTAGATTTGAACTCTTGCATTATTTTCTGGAATGTTAATAAGTAGTAATAACACTAATTAAATATAATTCTGTACCTGGAATACAAGATTCAAGAGCAATTCTCCACCTGGAATTGTGAATGGAGACCTATCCTTGGTGTAAATAAATACACACATCTTTAATTTCTTGCAAATCTCTCCCTTTCACACACATGCATATATTTGACCTGTTTAAGACTAGTCACACCCATGCTGAAGAAAAATAAAATACCTTCTCATTATGAATTTTTAAAACTCCATCATGAATTGATATAGCAGTCTTCTTATGAGGACCTGTGGGATAAATAACTTTCATACCTCAGAAACTGAAACAGCTTCGCCTTTCCAGGACGAGTTTGTTTTTATCTTAAAGGTTATATGAGTTGCAAAACTGATCATATTTTTATCTTTTTTGCTAGGGAGCTCATTTTTGGTCCACCTTTTGGTATAGGAATTTAAATAATGCATTTTGGGTTATTAATCTTACCAACTACTTTTCCCCTTTTCCCTTCCATCCTTACTTTTTTCCATGTCTCCTCATTTTTTATCAGATTATACCATGTGCATATTGCCTCTTACCCATTTTGGAACCAATTAGCATAAAACAAATAAGCAAAATGGTTACCCTGAGTGTGAGTTTACAAGTAATTTACTTCAGGGGTTTCACTAGGAACTTTTGTTTTTTAAGTTAGATATTCTATTATTGGAATTTTAAAATTTGTTTTTAAACTATGTGTTTATACCTCTCTAGGCCATCTATAAATTTTTTGGGGGGACAGGGTCCAGGCATAAGTAAATGTAATTTTACACACACACACACACACACACACACACACACACACACACTCACTCTCACTCTCTCTCTCTCTCTCTCTCTCTCTCCCCCCCCTTACTATAATTTCAGTTTTTGGTTTGCCTTCTAAAGAAACAATTTAATGAGGTCTTTTCTGTTTACTTTTCCATTATTTGAGGACCCAATTTAATGAGGTTATTTAAGGACCCAATTTAATGAGGAAGGTGCAAAACCTCAGGCTTTTGTTACTTCTTGAGAAATGGCTTAAGAGTCACTTTAAATGTCTGACTTATTTCTGCTTCACAGCCAACATTTGAATGTATAGTTAGGTACACAATCAAACACACACTAAGTATCTGAGGCATGTATCACACCTTAGTTCTATCATAATGTGTTTTTCTTGTTATCAAAAAAACAGAAAATACAGAAAAATCAACATTATTGTAGTAGAAAGTTGCCATAAAATATTGAAATTAGTGTGTGTACGTATATTGTATATGTACTATAGAGTATCATTTAAACTAGGGGGAAATAGTAAAACTAGTATTATTTTAATGTACTACATGGCACATAATTGTAATATTATTGAATAATGCTACAAACATTTTTGTATGTTCATTTTCCTTAGGTTCCGATCAGAAAGCTGTAATTCATTCCAAATCCTCTCCTGAGATTTCTCTGAGATTTGAAAGTGGGCCTGGTGCTGTAATACACTCTTTACTTGCAGAAAAAAATGGATTTCTGCAGTGCCACATAGAAAACTTCAGCACTGAGTTTCTTACATCTTCTCTTATGAATATTCAACATTTTTTGGAAGATGAAACTGTTGCAACAGTAATGCCAATGAAGATACAAGTTTCTAACACGAAAATAAATTTAAAAGTATGTTAATAAATAATTTTATATTTTCATGTTCCTTTTCCTTATCTGGACTTTCATTCATGTCTAAGAATGTGCCTTCTCTATAAAATATATTCTATCAGCATTTATTAAAATGATTTTGTCTTTTTTGGTAAATGATGTAGAGATCTTTTTTGGAAATTAGGAAATATATAACAGGCAAAATATAACAGGCAGTTTTCTCGCTATATCAGCTGAAACATATAAAGATACATGTGTTATCTTTAACTCATTAAAAATATGACCGAATGAAGTAACATGTCAATGTTATTTTTCTTTCCTGTAGGATGATAGTCCCCGGAGTAGTACAGTATCCCTTGAACCAGCTCCTGTAACTGTACATATTGATCATCTTGTGGTAGAGAGAAGTGACGATGGCTCTTTTCATATCAGAGGTATATATGAAAAACTATTTGTTTATTTATGAGATGGAATTTTGCTCTTGTTGCCCAGGCTTGAGTGCAATGGCACGATCTCAGCCTACTGCAAACCTCTGCCTCCCTGGTTCGAGTGATTCTCCTACCTAAACCTCCCGAGTAGCTGGGATTACAGGTGCCTGTCAACACGCCCAGTTAATTTTTGTATTTTTAGTAGAGATGGGGTTTCACCATGTTGGCCAGGCTGGTCTCAAACTCCTGACTTCAGGTTATCTACCCACCTCAGCCTCCTAAAGTGCTGGGATTACAGGTGCGAGCCACCTCGCCCAGCCGATGAAAACCCATTTAAATGAACACCTACTCAAATTTCGAAGTTAAATTGTTTACCTACTGATTGTTTCTTTTCACTTATTATATTTCTTATATGTATATACATATGTAGTAGTGGAAGATTGAGGGACACCTTCAGTACATTGTAATAAAGTATCATCTATATATGTACTGGCCTCTACCCTGGAAAAAACCTCATATATAGTTGGTTTAGTACCTGTTGTACAAATGTGTTTTGAATGTTGTAGAAAGTGAGAGAGGCCTTTGATCTTGCTTGTGTCTCTCAGTTGATCTCTTTCTTAGCTTTATTTCCTACTTATACTCCTTATAATGGTACTTACCTTGCACTTCTCTGCACTTTGCACGTCTCTACGTTCTTATTTGCCTTGTTATTTCTCATTGGAATTGCTCATCATTATGTGGATTTTATTCATCCTTCCATTGTTCTCTCAACTGTCTTCTTTATAGTGACACTTCCTTTTTATTATTATTATTATACTTTAAGTTCTAGGGTACATGTACCCAACGTCCAGGTTTTTTACATAGGTATACATGTGCCATGTTGGTTTGCTGCACCCATCAACTCATCATTTACATTAGGTATTTCTCCTAACCCTATCCCTCCCCCCAGCCCCCACCTCCCAACAGGCCCTGGTATATGATGTTCCCCTCACTGTGGCCATGTGTTCTCATTGTTCAACTCCCACTTATGAGTGAGAACATGCGGTATACAGTTTTCTGTCCTTGCGGTAGTTTGCTCAGAATGATTGTTTCCAGCTTCATCCATGTCCCTGCAAAGGACATGAAGTCACCCTTTTTTATGGCTGCATAGTATTCCATGGTGTATATGTGCCACATTTTCTTTATCCAGTCTATTATTAATGGACATTTGGGTTGGTTCCAAGTCTTTGCTATTGTGAATAGTGCTGCAATAAACGTATGTGTGCATATATCTTTATAGTAGCATGATTTATAATCCTTTGGGTATATAGCCAGTAATGGGATTGCTGGGTCAAATGGTAATTCTAGTTCTAGATCCTTGAGGAATCGCCACACTGTCTTCCACAGCGGTTGAGCTAATTTACACTCCCACCAACAGTGTAAAAGTTTTCCTATTTCTCCACATCCTCTCCAGCATCTGTTGTTCCCTGACTTTTTAATGATCACCATTCTAACTGACGTGAGATGGTATCTCATTGTGGTTTTGATTTGCATTTCTGTGATGACCAGTGATGATGTGCATTTTTTCATATGTCTGTTGGCTGCATAAATGTCTTTTGAGAAGTGTCTGTTCATATCCTTTGCCCACTTTTTAATGGGGTTGTTTGATTTTTTCTTGTAAATTTGTTTAAGTTCTTTGTAGATTCTCGATATTAACCCTTTGTCAGATGAGTAGACTGCAAAAATTTTCTCCCATTCTGTAGGTTGCCTGTTCACTCTGATGATAGTTTATTTTGCTGTGCAGAAGCTCTTTAGTTTAATTAGATCCCATTTGTCAATTTTGGCTTTTGTTGCTATTGCTTTTGGTGTTTTAGTCATGAAGTCTTTGCCCATGCCTATGTTCTGAATGGTATTGCCTAGGTTTTCTAATCGGGTTTTTATGATTTTAGGTTTTACATTTAAGTCTTTAATCCATCTTCAGTTAATTTTTGTGTAAGGGGTAAGGAAGGGATCCAGTTTCAGCTTTCTACATATGGCTAGCCAGTTTTCCCAGCACCATTTATTAAATAGGGAATCCTTTCCCTATTGCTTGTTTTTGTCAGGTTTGTCAAAGATCAGATGGTTGTAGATGTGTGGTGTTATTTGTCAGGCCTCTGTTATGTTCCACTGATCTATGTATCTGTTTTGGTTACTGTAGCATTGTAGTATAGTTTGAAGTCAGATAGCGTGATGCCTCCAGCTTTGTTCTTTTGGCTTAGGATTGTCTTGGCTATGTGGGCTCTTTTTTGGTTCCATATGAAATTTCAAGTAGTTTTTTCCAGTTCTGTGAAGAAAGTCAGTGGTAGCTTGATGGGGATAGCATTGAATCTATAAATTAACTTGGGCAGTATGGCCATTTTCACGATATTGATTCTTCCTACCCATGAGCATGGAATATTCTTCCATTTGTTTGTGTCCTCTTTTATTTAATTGAGCAGTGGTTTGTAGTTCTCCTTGAAGAGGTCCCTCACTTCCCTTGTAAGTTGGATTCCTAGGTATTTTATTCTCTTTGTAGTAATTGTGAATGAGAGTTCACTCATGATTTGGCTCTCTGTTTGTCTGTTAATGGTGTATAGGAATGCTTGTGATTTTTGCACATTTATTTTGTATCCTGAGGCTTTGCTGAAGTTGCTTATCAGCTTAAGGAGATTTTGGGCTGAGATGGTGGGGTTTTCTAAACATATAATCATATCATCTGCAAACAGAGACAATTTGGCTTCCTGTTTTCCTAATTGAATACCCTTTATTTCTTTGTCTTGCCTGATTGCCCTGGCCAGAACTTCCAATGCTGTGTTGAATAGGAATGATGAGAGAGGGCATCCTTGTATAGTGACACTTTTTTATAATCTGATGTGAGTTCTTCCACTTCTTTTGGCACTTTTCTGTACGTTAGTTACTTTCGGTGTATTGCCTGTGTACTTAGTTCACCTTTAATGTTTGCATCTCCACTCTAACAAAAGTTTTAAGGTCGCTAATGTAAGGTCTGTGTCTTTTAAGGTAGTGAGTAGTGGAAAGAGCATGAGTCAGTAGATTTATATCTTCTGGGCTTCACTATTTTAGTAGCCAGTTGAGGGAATGACATGTGCATCTGTTTCATCTCCTATCAAAAACCTCATGAAATGACAGAAAATGTGTCAACTGAAGAATAAAGTCATTAACAGTGCTACAGAAGAAAGGACAGGACAATTTCAGATATAGGAACAGTTAGTGGGAGCCTTCTAAAGAGTCTTTTCCTCTGTAGTTTGGGAACAACTGGAGACAGACATAGGAGAAAGGCCAACAAAGATCAAAATGGTAGCTTCATTACTGATAATAGCTCAGGTGAAGAGGATAGCTTAGGTCTGTGAGAAGACTCTGCCCAGCCCTCTTTCCCAAATGTGTTAGCTCCCAAAAATTCAGGTCTGTCTTATTAAAAAAAACAAAACAAAACAAAACAAACAAACAGAAAAGAATGCACCCTCTTGGCAGGAGTTACAGCATATACCAAAGCAAGAGACTGAACCACATATATATAGTTCTTTAAAAAAAAGTCAATCAGATAAATCATACCTTCTTCCCTGGGAAGCAGTGAGAAACAGGACCAAAAGAATCCAAGAGGACTGCATGACTGAAGTTCCTCCTCAAAAATAGGAGGAATCTCCCCAACAAGATACTGAGGTTAGAATTAGCCCCTGAGGCAACAGCATGAATAATATGGGCATTCCTTTTTGGGATCCTCCCCTGTGCCTGTGCCCAGTAGTAGACTTCAGTAGGGTTTGCATATAGACTAAAATATTGAGGGTAGATTATGCAGCTGCTAAGCCCCCAGGAAGGGAATGATTCCCTATCTAGTTAACAAACTTGGTGTATCTCACCCAGAAGAGCAAGCTTTCCTTTCCCACAGTCACTAGAGGTCAGCTATGGCAAATAGAAACAGCATTTATAGGCAAGAAAATGGGATAAACATGAACAAGAAAATAGGAAAATACAAGACATTCAACAATTCTGAAACATTTGAAAATAACAGTACTAATCAGCTTTTATAATTATAAGCTAGAAATGCTCTCTAGCTGATTGAGTAGAAAAGGAGCTTGGCAAAAGATAATTGGAATGAATTGAATTGAGAGTTCAGAGATAAACTCTTACATTCATTGATCTTTGGCAAGGCTGGCAAAACAAGTCAATGAGGGAAAGAATAGCGTTTTCACAAGTGGTGATGGAATGACTAGATAGCCACATGAAGGAAGCTGAACTTCTTCCTTATGCAGGCATACTTTAAATATATTGCTGATTGGGTTCCAGACCACCACAATAAAGTGAGTATCACAGTAAAGCAAGTCATAAAAATTTTTCAGTTTACCAGTGCATATGAAAGTCATGTTTACACTATTATTATGTCTAAAAAATGTACATAGCTTAATTTAAAAATACTTGATTGCTGGCTGGGCGTGGTGGCTCACGCCTGTAATCTCAGCACTTTGGGAGGCTGAGGCAGATGGATCACCTAAGGTCGAGAGTTCAAGACCAGCCTGGCCAACATGGTGAAACCCTTGTCTGTTAAAAATACAAAAATTAGCTGGGTGTCTTGGCGCACATCTGTAATCCGAGCTACCCTGGAGGCTGAGGCAGGAGAATTGCTTGAATCCAGGAGGCGGAGGTTGCAGTGAGCCAAGATCGTGCCACTGCACTCCAGCCTGAACAACAGAGCAAGAATCCATCTCAAAAAACAAACAAACTTGATTGCTAAAAAATGCTAATGATTATCTAAACCTTCAGTGAGTCATAATCTTTTTGCTCACGCCTCAAGGTTGATGGCTGCTGACTGATGACAGCCATGGTTGTTGAAGGTTGGGGTGGCTATGGCAATTTCTTAAGACAACAGTGTTCAACTTTTCTGTTTTCTTGCCTGTGCTTTGGATGTCCTGTATAAGAGTCCATGGCCAAATCTGAGGTCATGATGATTTTCTCATGTTTTCTTTTAAGAATTTTATAGAATTAGCCGTTAAATTTAGCTCTTTAACTCAAATGTTCAATTTGAGTATGGGTAAGGATTAAAGACACATGGGTTTATTTCTGGATTCTCAATTCTATTCTACTTGTCTGTATGTCTGTCTTTGATACTACCACACTGTCTTGATTACCAACTTCCTTTAGAGTAAGTTTTAAAATTGGAACATGTGAGTCGTCCAACTTTATTGTACCTTTTCAAGATTTTTTTTTGACTCTTTTGGGTCCCTTGCAATTCCATATGAATTTTAAAATCAGCTTGATAATTTCTACAAAGAAGCCAGCTCAACTTATAATTTCTACAAAGACGCCAGCTCAACTTCTGATAGGGATTGTGTTAAAGCTGTAGATAAATTTGGGGAGTATTTCCATTAAATCTTCCAATCCATGAACAGTGGGAATTTTTTCCATCTATTTAGATCTATTTATTTCTTTCAACGATGTTTTATAGTTTTCAGAGTATAGTAAGTTTTGTGCTTCTTTTGTTAAGTTTATTTGTATTCTTTTTGACAGTATTTTAAATCGAATTGTTTTCTTTCATTTGTGGATTCTTTATTACACATTATAGAAATGTAGTTTATTTTTGTATATTGATTTTTATCCTGCAACCTCACTGAACTTGATTATTTCCAGTAGGTTTTTAGTTGTTTCCTTAGTTTTTTTCTATACGCAAGATCATGTTTAGTAGAGAGAATTTTACTTCTTCCTTTCCAATCTGAATGTCTTCTATTGTTTTTCTTGCCCAGTTGCCCAGGTTAGAACCTCTAAAACAATGTTGAATAGAAGTGACAATAGCAGGCCGGGCGCGGTGGCTCACGCCTGTAATCCCAGAACTTTGGGAAGCCGAGGCGGGTGGATCACCAGGTCAAGAGATTGAGACCATCCTGGCCAACATGGTGAAACCCCATCTCTACTAAAAATGCAAAAATTAGCTGGGTGTGGTAGTGTCCACCTGTAGTCCCAGCTACTCGGGAGGCTGAGGCAGGAGAATCACTTGAACCCAGGAGGCGGTGGTTGCAATGAGCCGAGATTGTGCCACCGCACTCCAGCCTGGCGACAGAGTGAGACTCCGTCTCAAAAAAAAAAAAAAAAAAAAAAAAAAGTAACAATAGCAGACAGCCTTGTCTGGTTTCTGATTCTGGCCAACAGGAAAAGAGTCTAGTCTTTCACCACTAAGTATCATATTAGATGTGGGATGTTTATACATGATGACCTTTTATTAGACTGAGGAAGTTCCCTTCTATTTCTAACTTGGTGAGTGTTTTTATCATGGAAAGGTATTGGATTTTGTCAGATGCTTTTTCTGCATCTATTGAGATGATCATGTGGCTTTTGCCTTTTATTCTGTTGATGTATTACATTAGTTACTTTTTGGATGATAGATACATTTGCATTCCTGGGATAAATCCCAGTTGACCATGCTTTATAGTTATGTTTGTATGTTGCTGGGTTCAGTTTACTAACATTTTGTTGATGATTATGTCTATATTCTTCAGCATATTGGTCTTAGTGTTCTTGTGGGGTTTTTTTGTTTGTTTTGTCTAGATTTGATATCAGGGTAATACTGCCTTCATAGAAAGTTTGGGAATGCTCCTTTTGTTTTTTGGAAGAGTTTTTAAAGATTTGATATTATTCTTTAAATGTTTGATAAAATTCTCCAGTGAAGCCACCTGGGCCTGGGCTTTTCTTTGTGGGTAGTTTTATGATTACTGATTCAGTCTCTCTCAGCTATAGGTCTATTGACATTGTCTTCTTGAGGCTATTTAGGTAGTTATTGTCTTTTTAAGAATTTGTCTGTTTCATCTAAGTTACATAGTTTTTTTTTGTTGTTGTTGTTGTTGTTTTTGAGACGGAGTCTCGCTCTGTCGCCCAGGCTGGAGTGCAGTGGTGAGATCTCAGCTCACTGCAACCTCCGCCTCCTGGGTTCAAGGGATTCTTCTGCCTCAGCCTCCAGGCTGCCTTCTGCCAGGCTACAGGTGTGCACCATCATGCCTGGTTAATTTTTGTATCTTTAGTAGAGATGGGGTTTCACATGTTGGCCAGGCTGGTCTCAAACTCCTGACCTCAGGTGATCCACCCGTCTTGGCCTCCCAAAGTGCTGGGATTATAGGTATGAGCCACTGTGCCAGGCTTAAGTTACATAGTTTTTTGTATTTTTTATTTTTATAGAGACAGGTCTTGCTACATTGCTCAGGCTGGTCTCCAACTCCTGGTCTCAAGCAGTTCTCCCAGCTAGGCCTCCCAAAGTGCTGGGATTACAGACATGAGCCACTGTGCCTGCCCTAAGTTATCTAATTATTGACATACTGTTGTTTATAGTATTCCTTTATAGTGTTTTATTTCTGTAAGGTTGGTAGTAATGTCACGTCTTTCGTTTCTGATTCTAGTAATTTCTTTTTCTTGGTCAGTCTAACTAAAAGTTTATTAGTTAATCTAATAATAAGCCTTTAAATTAAATCTATTAAATCGAATAAACCTTTAATATAAAAACATAATAAATTATGTAATTAACTTAGATGAAGTTGACAAATTCTTGGGAAGAATTCTTAGGAAGAAAAGTTTATTTAGTTGATCTTTTCAGAGAATAAGCTTTTGGTTTTACTGGTTGTTCTATCTCATACTACTATCCTCATAACTAATATATATAGATATTTAGTTTTAAATTAGATTTTCACAATGGAACTTTTAAAGATTTATCAAGTATTTGGAAATGTTATCTGAGCATGTTATTTGTTTGATCAGATTCTCACATGCTTAACACTGGAAATGATTTGAAAGAAAATGTCAAAAGCGATTCAGTGCTGCTGACCAGTGGAAAGTATGATCTGAAGAAACAACGCAGTGTCACGCAAGCCACTCAGACAAGCCCAGGGGTTCCTTGGCCTTCTCAGTCAGCTAACTTTCCTGAGTTCTCCTTTGACTTCACTAGGGAACAGGTAATGGGAAACCTAATTCAGATTCAGCTTCAGCAATTAAATAACTAGGTATTAAGATACTAATAGTTAAAACATTGTTTACTTATTTTAATAAAATGTACCGAGTGCTTGTTATTGTGCCCAGGTGCTTTGCTAGGTGCTATGGTTAGAGTGTTGAGCAAAAAATAAAGAAAAATTTAATACCTTCTGCCTTCCTCCAGTGCTATCTCAGTATTTTTGTGATTTTTCCTTGTAGATTTTTTATTTGAAAAAATTAATATTCAAGTGTACATACTATATAATTTTACTTAATTGTTTAACAAAATTTTTTCATATTGCTGTATTTGCTTAATTTTTTTTAATGGCTTAGTAATATGGTTTTGGGTATGCTATCATTTCTGAAACTTCTATAAACATTTATTAACATTCAAGTTGCTTTTGATTTTTTTTTTTTGCCATTATAAAGAAACAAAATGTTCAGCAGAGTTTTAATCTGTATGATAGAACCATAGAATGAGTTAATGCATCTGTTCAATGAGGATTTATTCAATGTCAGCTCTGAGCTAGGGATATAGAATTCAGCAGTAGATGATCCGTGACTATTGAAGAACTCAAAGTCTAGTGGGACAAGAGTGTTCAATTGGTAGTCACAACGTACTGTGTCAGATGCTATACTACAGATGAAGAGAAGTATAGGAAACTACCTCACTTGGTCGATAAGGCAAGAATTCTTAAGCTAGATTTAGAAGAAGTTTGAGAACTATTTGAAATTAACTGCATATATTTTAATGTATCTATGTGACGCAGAAAGTTCTTAGTTTTATATCCCCGTACTTAGGAATGGCTATATTTGCTCTAATATATTTGCTCTAATATAGCCATTCCTAATTATGAGGGAATGGCTCTAAGAGGATAAAATACTTGAACTAAGTCTTAAAAGGGTGGTGGAGGAGACGTATTGGCCATCTAGATGAAAATGTCTGTAGGGCGCTGTGGCTCATGCCTGTAATCCCAGCACTTTGGGAGGCCAAGGCGGGCAGATCACCTGAGGTCGCGAGTTCGAGACCAGCTTGACCAACATGGAGAAACCCCATCTCTACTAAAAATATAAAAATTAGCTGGGCATGGTGGCGCATGCTTGTAATCCCAGCTACTCAGGAGGCTGAGGCAAGAGAATCACTTGAACCCGGGAGGTGGAGGCTGCAGTGAGCTGAGATTGCGCCATTGTATTCCAGCCTGGGCAACAAGAGCGAAATTCCATCTCAAAAAAAAAGAAAATGTCTGATGACACATTCAGAATTTGAGTCTGGAGCTCAGGAGAGAGGTTTGTGCTAGGTGAGTCTATGATAGTTGGAGCCATGAGAGATAAGATCATCCAAGAAAGTGACTCAATACAAGAGAAGACGACCGAGCAATGGAACTAACAGAATGTCAAATTTTAAGAGTTCTTAAAAAGTAGAAGAAAAGATGAAAAGGGCATACATAGGTTGAAATGGATAAATATGAAACAGCTGTGGCATAAAAGCCAGAAAAAGGAGAGAGGCTGAGAAAGTAGGTGTAGCTCAGCAATGTCTAAAGCCATAGAGAGGTCCAGGAAAATTCATATGAAATGAAGTCACTATTAGACTAGGAAATTAGGAGTTAGTATTTTGTATTGCTGGGTCAAAACATGGGAACATTTTTTAAGTGCTTGATACATGTTTCCAAATGTTGTCTCAAAGCAGTTTTCAGCTTAAGTGCACTCTCACCAGCAATGGGCATTTTTACTATCCCAAGTGTCATACCTTTGGATACTATATAAATAGTCTGTATTTCCTGAAATGATTAAATTATCTTATCCCCCCGCCATTTATCATTTCAGCTCATGGAAGAGAATGAATCTCTTAAACAGGAACTGGCTAAAGCTAAAATGGCTCTTGCAGAGGCTCACTTGGAAAAAGATGCTCTTCTTCATCATATAAAGAAGATGACAGTTGAATAGCAGGAGTGGCAGTCAAAACTGAAATTATAGCTCTGGAGTAGGAAGGTTATATTTATAATGTGGATGTTACCAGTTAGGGGAAGACTTTTATTTTCATGAAAAGACAATAAAACAAAATGGAATGTGATGAAGTGGTGACTATTTCAAAGCCAGTTTAGAAAGTATTAGTACGGGCATTACAATCTTTTGGTTGTTTTGTGTTTTGGGGCTTAACCCTCTTTTAAGCTGTTGTGATCTAGGGAAGTCAACACATAGTGTAAAATAATTACATGCCTAATGAAAAGAAGATGTCATTTCCTAATTTTGATATCTCATTTTCGGCATTTTTTAAAATGTAAAAGGAAAACCTCTTGTGTTCACACAGATTGCTGAATTGATTTCTCCATATTTGTTAATAATTTACTATTATTTACAAAGATTCAAATGCTTTTATGACTAATGTAAAATGAAAAGAGGCTTACATTTTAAATGTTATTAAAATTATGTACTTAAATCTATAATTATTTAATTATTGTAAAAAGTCCAAGCAGATCAATAAACTATATAATTAATGGGTTTGGAAAATCATCACCCTACTGAACTTACAAAATATCTTGAAAATGTGAAAAATATCATTTTAAATAATGGGTACATTGTATAAGTGGAAGCTATAATTTTCAACAAAAAGATGGTACAAATGTAAAAGTAAAAAGCACAAACTATACAAAAGCAAAATCTATGGCCAAGTGATTTAAAAGCATTACTTGTACATTCCTTTAAACATTTGTTGTTAGAAGCAAAAGAGTAATTTATCCTGCTAAATTTGGCACCATTTGTAATTATAAAAATTTTGATTAATACTATTTATATTAATTTCTTTACCTTCATTTTTTCTCCTTAAGGAGTTGATTGTTTTTGGAAATGTTTTTTTCCTTGCACATAAGACAGTTTCATACCATTCTTATAGAATCATATTAGGTGGGTGTTTGCACATACTAAATTTATAAAGCTAGTTTTGATTAAAGCTCTATGTGAGATATATATACATACACAAGTCTTCTATAATAAGAGTCGTTGGTGAATTTTGAATTCTATTTTGTTAGGAATTAAGGTTGAAATCAACATGAAAGAATCTCAATCATGCATTATAAAATAAAAGTACATGGGTGTTAAGAAACAAGAGACTTTTAAAGATTTAAAATATATTTCTGATAGAATTTAACTAAGTGGTGTGTATTTTAAAATTCACATTCTTAAACATAAATCTATCCAAGATAGAAAATGAAATAGCTGGACTACTCTTTCTTTAAGATACTTGAAAATTTTAAACCACATTGCAACACTTTATGGTGCTTTGCGTGTTTGGCATGACATACACAGTGGTCCTGGTATATAAGTGCTTGGGGGAAAATACATATTTTGTTTACATTAAATTTTGAAGTGATTTAGGCTTTATTGAAAACAATACTGGCCTTCCCTCCCCTTCTCTAACATCCATTTTCATTTACGTTATTTAAAATATACAGGCACTGTTTTGGGTACAGAGGATATAGCCAAGAGCAAATTGATAGTAGTTTACCTCAGAGTATTAAAAAAATCATAATAAGTCATGTTAATCTAAAACTATATAATAGCCTTAGATTAAATGTGCAGATGTCTAATTAAAGATTTAAAATGTATAGCGTATGTCCTTAGAACATTTGATTTTTAGGTATACATTCGGCAAAAACAGTCTGTTATGGAAAAGAAGGATTGATGGGACATTAACTTCTTCCGAGCTAACATTGTTTCTGAAGATTGACCTATTCTATATAAATTTAAATTTTTCTATGTTTTTCTTTTTTTTTTTGCGATGAGGTTTCGCTCTTGTTGCCCAGGCTGGAGTACAATGGTGTGATCTTAGCTCACCGCAACCTCCGCCTCGTGGGTTCAAATGATTCTCCTGTCTCAGCCTCCTGAGTAACTGGGGTTACAAGCGCCCACCACTACGCCCAGCTAATTTTTGGTATTTTTAGTAGACACAGGGTTTCACCATGTTGGCCAGGCTGGTCTTCAACTCCTAACCCCAGGTGATCCGCCCACCTCGGCCTCCCAAAGTGCTGGGATTACAGGCGTGAGCCACCGTACCCGGCCTCTATCGTATATTATAATTGCTTATTGTTATAGAAGCTGAATGTTTTACTTACTACTTTTAAATTTATTTGGTCTTCCCAAGGAAATCATACAAACGGTAGAGATTATGATAATCTGAGCATTCTGTGTGCTTAGTTTGATTTTTTTATTTATAAGCAGTACTATTTTTATAGATGTTTAAAATTCATAAAACACTGTATTCTGAGAGGTAGGTATTATTCAAATGTTAGAAATTTTTTTTAAAAAAATGCCCTGAGGCTTAGAAAGGACAAATGACTGAAATCACAATTAGTAATCTGGTCTTTAGACTTAAAGCCTAGTTATATGCTTTTATTATAGCTTAGTCATTAATTCACACATTTTCCCTTATCTTTTTTATCTTTTAAAGGTGACCATAAAACTTTAAATTGTGTGTGTACGTCTATGTATGAGGTATATGTTACCCTGTTTGTGTTATTCAAACTACCTAAAAGATAGGATGATTTTTGTTTAAGTGAATCCCAAACTAGCAGTCTGAGAAATACAGGAAAGCCTGATAATTGACTTACCAGAGTTGGCTTTTTTTTTTTAAGTTACCATAATTTAGATATAAAGTTGTCATGTCCTGGAATTTAAAAAAGAAATCTCTAGCTGAGAGATGTTAATGGTCAGGAGTTGAAAATGACAATTGTGCTTTGCTTTTTATTTTTATTTTTTGTTTACTTTTGAGTTTTTTGGAGTTTTTTTCCTATATTTTTAATTGAGAAGTAAAAATTATATATTTATGGTGTACAACACGATGTGATACATGTATACCTTGTGGAATGGCTAAATCAAGCTGTCTAACATGTTACCTCACAAACTTTTTTTGTAGCGAGAACACTTAAAATTTTGTAACAATTTTCAAGTATACAGCATATTGTTATTAACTGTAATCACGTGATATACAGTAGATCTCTTGAACTTATATTTACTAACTGCAATTTCGTGTCCTTTTACAAACATCTCCCCATTTCCCCATCCCCCAGCCTCTGATAACCAGAATTTTACTCTCCATCCCATGAAGTTGACTTTTTTTGCACTCCGTAAGTGAGATCATCTAGAATTTTGGCATGTCTTTCTGTGCCTGGCTTATTTCACTTAACACAGTGGTCCCCTGTGTAGCTGGGACCACAGGCGTGTGCCACTACACCCAGGTTTATCCATGTTGTCAGAAATGACAGGATTTCCTTTTTTTAAAAGTTGAATGGTATTCTCTTATGTATATTTTCCACATTTGCTTTTTCCATTCATCCATTGATGGACAGTTAAATTGATTCCATATCTTGGCTATTGAGTAATGCTGCAGTGAACATGGGATTGCAGATATCTCTTCCACATACTGATTTCGTTTCCTTTGAACATATACCAAATAGTGGGATTGGTGGATAATATGGTAGTTCTATTTTTTAATGTTTTGAGGACCCTCCATACTGTTTTCCATAATGGCTATAATAATTTACATTGCCACCAACAGTGTACAAAGCTTTTCTTTCCTTTTCTCTGCATCCTCTCCAACACTTCCCTTTTGTCTTCTTGATAATAGTCATTCTAACGGGTATGATTACAGTAGCTTTGTAGTGGGTTTTCTGTGCTGTGCTTTTTAATTTCATGTATGTAAAAAACATTGGGTATTTTGAATGTTTTTCTTTTCTCACCTTATCCTAGAACTTGAGGCTGGGCGCGGTGGCTCATCCCTGTAATCTCAGCACTTTGGGAGGCCAAATTGGGCAGATCACTTGAGGTCAGGAGTTCGAGACCAGCCTGGCCAACATGGTGAAACCCCATTTCTACTAAAAATACAAAAATTAGCCAGGCGTGGTGGTGCACGCCTGTAGTCCCAGCCAATCAGTAGGCTGAGGCACGAGAATCGCTTGAACCCAGGAGGCCAAGGCTGCAGTGAGCCACGATTGCACCACTGCACTCTAACCTGAGCAACACAGACTCCATCTCAAAAAAAAAAAAAAAAAAGAACTTGGAAATGCCCCCATATATACTAGTTGTGATGAAGCATTATTTTTAGTTAAGTCATATAAGAATGACTGTGTATGACCAAAGGCAAATATATGTGGAAGAAACTCACCAGGAATTCTTTTGTGGGTTTTTATTCAATACATGTCAGTAGGGGAGTTATACCCCCTTTTTAATAAGTTTGTGTTAACCTACAGTCTAACCAAGGCATCTTATCCCAGTGAATGCCACCACCATTCACCCTGGTTCCCAAACTGGTAACATAGAAATAATCTTGACATATCTTCCTATCACTTTGTCATCAAGTCCTGTCATTTTTACCTTGTAAACATCTCTTAAATGTGTCTACTTCTCACCACACCCTAATCTAAGCTACCATCAGCACCTTTTGCCTGCATGACTGCAGTTGTCTCCTAACTGTTCTTCCTGCAGCGACTCTGGCCCTCCCTGTATTCACTCGACTGCAAGCAGAATTCTCCTTTTTGTTCGAAGTTCAATTTTAATCAAGACAACCCACCTACCTGCACTTGCACCCCTAGCTTAAAATGCTCGAATGGCTTTTTATTGTCCTTAATGATGAAAAGGAAATATTTTATGTGACCAAATATATTTGACCTATGAGGTCAGATATATTAGGGCCACTATCTAAAGCATAGTTCCAAGCATTAAAATAGTTACTGTCTCAGATTAAAACAGTGGCTGGCACATCACCTCAATAGAGGTTACCTATTCTTGTTGCCACTTAGCCTCATATGTACCATGTTTTACTTAATACCTTCATTGTCCTTTAAGTATTCGGAATGAGAATTACAGTGCTTCATTCAGCATAAGACTTTTGTTCATGCTGTTTCTTTGGCCTGAAATATCTATCCCTTCCCAATTGCCTAATTAATTCCTATTTGTCTTTCAGATCTTAGCTAGTTCATCACTTCCTCAGGGAAACATTCCCTAATTTCTGTCACAGAGTAAGACCCGTTGTTATACGTCTCACCTGACCATGTACCTCTACTTAGCATTTAACACGTGTAATTTTGTATGTATTGGTTTGATTAATGTCAGAACCACTAGATTGTAAACTCCATGAGGACCGGAATTTTGTTTCTGTCATTGTCATTGTTCAACTTTGTATTTTTTATGCCTCATACAGTGCCTGGCACATAGTAGGTGCTCAATTAACTTTATTGAAAGAATAAAATGAATGGATGAGGTATCAAGGATGTTTTTCAGATATCAAATTCTTCCTTTCAGTTTGATTGAAGGGAGATGAAACACAGAAAACTAGTTGCTGGTAGTTATTAAAAGGGGGGCAAACTTCTTGAATCCAAAGGAGAAAAAAAGATGGGAGGGTGGAATGGGAATATTTGCCATACTGTGGGCTTCTGGATTTTGAATATGTGAACTTACAGTTGATTTATCACAAAACAAAATTAGCATATCACTTAATGGTACTACAATGCCAGAATGTCATCTGGCTTTGATTGTAACATATGATGTGGCTGTTGCGATCTGCCAATATTCTCAGCTAAACAGATGGAAGTAAGTCCAAAAGAGTAGTGGGTGAAGTAGTTTCTCCTTGGGAAATTGACTAATACTCAGAATTAATTTCAGCTGTGCCTAATTCCTTACGGTCCAAACAATCTCCTTTTAGTCTGTACTTTGAAGTGCTATAGAAAGTAAATTTTGTTTCAATTTTCCTTTTAGAATATATAAATACCAAAAGGTAGAGATACACAGTATGTAGAAGCAGTAGTGTTTTTAAAATGCAAATTTCATTAAATTATAATACTTGATTTTTTTTTTTTTTGAGACAGGATCTTGCTCTGTCACCCAGGCTGGAGTGTAGTGGCACAATCATAACTCACTGTAGCTTCCAGCTTCCAGCTCAAGCAATCCTCCCCCGTCAGCGTCCCATGTAGCTGGGCCTACAGGTGTGTGCCACCACACCCAGCTATTTTTTTTTTTCTTTGTAGAGATGGAGTCTCACTCTGTTGCCCAAGCTGGTCTTGAACCCCTGCCTCCCAAAATGGTGGGATTTCAGGCATAAGCCACCATGCCCAGCCAATACTTGATACTTTTTTTTTTGTTTGTTAGGTGGAGTCTTGCTCTGTCACCCAGGCTGGAGTACAATGGCACAGTCTCGGCTCACTGCAACCTTTGCCTCCCAGGTTCAAGCAGTTCTCCTGCCTCAGCCTCCCAAGTAGCTGGGACTACAGGTGCACGCCACCACACCCAGCTCATTTTTTTTTTGTATTTTTAGGCGAGAGGGTTTCACCATGTTGGCCAGGCTGGTTTTGAACTTCTGACCTCAGGTGATCCGCCTGCCTCAGCCTCCCAAAGTACTAGGATTACAGGCGTGAGCCACCACTCCCAGCCACTTAATACATTTTTAATTTTTGGGTTCTTAAGATCGATTTTTTGAGATGTAAAAAATGAAAGCGTGAAACAATGTAAGCATGATGATTTTTTATAAACCATTAGATGTTAGACAATAATTGTAAATTTTAAAGAAATTCATGTGAATGTTAAAATACTGAAATTTAGCATATATGTTGTCAACAGTATTGTTACAATCTTAGCAGGTTTGAGAATTTGAAACCTTTTAGGGAAGCATATTAAAAAATACAAACTCAATGTTTTTCCTGCTATATATATAGTATTATAAATTATGCACAATAAATTTTTGGTCCCAGAAAAAACACATCACTTAATAAAAATAGTAATCTGGGTTTTTTTTTAATTCTGAAATCATTTAGACAGAAAGGTAATATTATATAACTTATAAGTTAGTTTTTATTTTCAACATGCTGTCATTAACAAAAAAATTTGTTATTTACAAACTATACTATTTGAATGGTAAGTGAAATTTCTTGTATTATTTTAAAATTTATTGGTTAATTTATTGACCCAGTTTACCTGAATTTCTCATATTAATTCTTCATTGTGTTTAGGAATACTTGAGCATTATGAAGGATAGGAAAGTATATAGCGAAGTGATGAACCTTTCTTGCAACCATTCAGCAGAAGCATTTTGATTTATATGACAAGAACTCAAATACTCAAAATGTCATCAAGAATGATAATTTTTTTGAAGAAAAATAGACATGCAAATAAATGTTTAAGAAAAAGATGGCCAGGCATGGTTGTTCACACCTGTAATCCCAGCACTTTGGGAGGCTGAGGCGGGTGGATCACTTGAGGTCAGGAGTTCATGACCAGCCTGGCCAACATGGTGAAACCCCGTCTCTACTAAAAATACAAAAATTAGCCGGTCATGGTGGTGCTCATCTGTAGTCCCCGCTACTTGGGAGGTTGAGGCAGGAGAATTGCTTGAACCTGGGAGGCAGAGGCTGCAGTGAGCCAAGGTCGCACCACTGCACTCCAGCCTGGGCGACACAGCGAGACTCTGTCTCAAAAAAAAAAAAGAAAAAAAAAATCAGAAGTGTCTAGGCCGGCACGGTGGCTCACACCTGTAATCACAGCACTTTGGGAAGTCGAGGCAGGTGGATCATTTGAGGTGAGGAGTGTGAGACCAGCCTGGTCAACATGGTGAAACCCTGTCTCTACTAAAAATACAAAAAAATGAGCTGGGCGTGGTGGCACACACCTGTAATCCCAGCTACTTGGGAGGCTGAAGCACGAGAATTGCTTGAACCTGGGAGGCAGAGGTTGCAGTGAGCTGAGATCATGCCACTGCACTCTAGCCTAGGTGACAGAGTGAGAAGTTGTCTCAAAAAAAAAAAAAAGTATCACTGAAGGATATGGGTAAAATAAATGTATAGGGGTATGATGAAAGTCCATCCTTCATAATATTTAAAATCACTCCAAGCCCGGGCTCGGTGGCTCATGCCTATAATCCCAGCACTTTGGGAGGCTGAGGCAGGCGGATCTCCTGAGGTCAGGAGTTTGAGACCTGCCTGGTCAACATGGTGAAACCCTCTCTCTACTAAAAATAGAAAAAATTAGCTGAATGTGGTGGTGAGGGACCTGTAATCCCAGCTACTCAGGAGGCTGAGGCAGGAGAATCACTTGAACCTGGGAGGTGGAGGTTGCAGTGAGCCAAGATCATGCCACTGCACTCCAGCCTGGGCGACAGCAGGATTCCATCTCAAAAAACAACAAAACAAAAACACTCCAACTAAAATAGATACACAGTATAATCAGAGCAGGGGATTTTGAAATTACTGAACAAGTCAAGTATAAGGAAATATGTTGAACAAAATTCCAATAATTAAACACTTGTGAAAGATCTATAATAATTCACTTGGCATGTGCATCATTTGAATTAAAACCTAAAGCATGTTGGTTGTGGTGGCTCACACCCAAAATTCCAGCGCTTTGGAAGGCTGAGACAGGAGGATTGCTTGAGCCCAGGAGTTTGCACCCAGCCTGGGCAACATAGACCTTGTCTTTACTAAAAATTTAAAAAATTAGCTGGGCATGGTGGCACAGGCCTGCAGTCCTACCTACTCAGGAGGCTGAGGTAGAAGGATCGCTTGAGCCCAGGTATTCAAGGCTGCAGTGAGCTATGATTGTGCCACTGCACTCCAGCCTGGGCAACAGTGAGACCCTGTCTCTGGAAAACAACAGTAACAACAACAACAACAACAAAAAACCCTAAAGCAAATAAATTGGCACATACAGAAATTCTTCAATTTAATGTAAAAAAAATGGCATATGCAATTTAATTTTTCATTAAATGATATACCCACAAGGGTATATCTATTGGAATCTTATGGTTCCAATTTGACATGAAAAGTGAGTCTGGACTCTCACTGCTATCATTATACCAATAATGTTGGGGCAATTTAGTGTTTATTTGAATTCAGTATAGTTACTTTATAATTTATTATCATAATTGGCATAGCTATGGTAGCCATATTTGTTGCTTTTTTCCACCAGTTTATTTTTACTCCATTTCTTGCAGTTGAACAAGAGATTTTTCAATCAAGACTTTGGAACTACGAAGATGGAAGAGATTTGAAGAGGGATATAGAATGAGTAAATTAAGCAACTTTTTAATATCCTATTTCTATAAATATCCAGAATTTAAAACATTCCTGTATTATAATATCTAAAAACATGCTAAGGCTAAGTATATCTTTATTTTAAATGTTAAGTTTTTCCTAGCAAAGATATTTGAGAATTACTATATTCATATATGTAATCCTTTTCTGTAAATCTTATTGGGGGCGCAGTTAACACTTTGCAATTTTTATGTGTATCAATACTTCTACCCCCTCCTTTTTTTCTTTTTTTGCCTTCAGGAACAATTGAGTTTCTTGTTAGTACTCTTTACTGAGTATCCTTCAATTTTGATTTTCTGGGGTAGTTCCATAAATATGTCCAGAGGCTATTATAGTGCCACCAATTTTAGAGATTGAAGCATGAATAATATATACACTGGCAATTTTATACTTCCAATCATCCCTCCATGTCCATGGGAGATTTGTTCTAGGGTCCCCTTGGATACCAAAATCCAAGCATCTTTAAGTCAGGGAGTTGGTTCTTTGGATCAACAGATTTCATATCTTCATTTGGTTGTGGATATGGAACTCGTGGATATGCATGGCTGACTGTATTAATTGAAAAAAAAATTGCGTGTGAGTGAACTTGTGCAGTTCAAGCCAATGTTGTGCAAGGGTGAACTGTACTCTTCCTCCCTGCTTGTACAATTATTGCAGTACATGTCACGAAGTCAGATAAAATTATGGCATCTTAAGGGTTGGAAGGAAACAGAAGTTCTGTTGCTCAGCCTCACACCAAAGCAAATCCAGAATGCTCACAACAGGGAGTCACCAAATTACAGCTGAAGTTCTTAACAAGAAAACATACTACCCCATAAACCTTTCTGTTTTAAGTAGTTCTAGTTTGACCTTTTTTCTCCTATTTGTGAATTAATGTAGCTCCCCATTACCACACTTGGTCCTAGGTTTTTCATTCACATTACAGAAGAGCTGTTATATCTCATGCCAAGTCTTCTTTTTTCTAGACTTTACATCCATAATCCTTTATTCCTCAAAAGACATGGTTTCCAAAGCCTTCACCATTATTTGCCATTTAGATGTGCCCCAATTTGCTAAAGTTCCGCTTAAAATGTGGTCACTTGCATAAGTTAGCATGCTTCTGTCTACAAGTAAAGGAAAAGCCAACTAAAAGTGTTACCCTATTCACATAAGGAAACATCTGGCGATGGGGTGGTTCCAGATGCTTACTGATGATGACGGACCCTAGCTCTTTCTGTCTTTCATCTCTGCCATCCTCAATGCAGGGGATTTTTATCCTCATGTTCATGGTTGCAAGCAGCTTCTAGCAAAACCTCTTTAAACATAGGCACATTCAAAGGCAGAAAAAACTCATTTTCCTCACACTTTTCTTTTTAAGTAAATCTCTCCTTTCCAGTAATGGCTCAGTTGACTTCCCTTTACATGTCACTGTACCTAAATGCATCACATTCCCTCCTGAACCATCTGGTTAAGATAAATCACCCTGGGCTGGGCGTGGTGGCTCACACCTGTAATCCCATCACATTGGGAGGCAAAGGTGGGTGGATCACCTGAGGTTGGGAGTTCGAGATCAGCCTGAGCAACATGGAGAAACCCCGTCTCTACTAAAAATACAAAATTAGCCGGTTGTGGTGGTGCATGCTTGTAATCACAGCTACTTGGGAGTCTGAGGCAGGGGAATCGCTTGAACCTCGGAGGCGAATTTTGCAGTGAGCCTAGATCGCACCATTGCTCTCCAGCCTGGGCAACAAGAGCGAAACTGCATCTCAAAAAAAAAGAAAAGATTAATCACCCTAAGGACTGGAGTACTGATTCTTCCGAGTACGTGGCCACAGAGGAAAGAACCCAGTTAAAACTAGGGATCTGTCTACCAGAGGGTAGGGAAGGGGATAGATTTGAGCAGGGAATTCAGTCTGCCAATTACCAAAACTGAAAACAGGTCCTGCATAATGACATTTTGGTCAACAACAGACTCATTATAGGAAGGTGGTCCCATAAGATTATAATGGAACTGAAAAATTCCTATCGCATAGTGACATCCTAGCTATCTTAACATCATAGCACAATGCATTACTCATGTGTTTATGTTGATGCTGGTGTTAACCTATTGTGCTGCCAGTAGTATAAAAGTATAGCATGTCCTGTTTAGATTTCTTCCAAGCATACTTTCCTTTCTTTCCTGTTCTAAAGCCTTTTTAAATAAACTTCCATTCCTGCTCTGGAGGAAAAAAAGTATAGTACAATTATGTACATAGTACTTGATAAACATTTGATTTAAACTTGATTACTGGCTTATGTATTTATTATGCTACTGTTATTTTAGAATGTACTACTTATTAAACAATTTTTTTTTTTTTGAGACAGGGGCTCACCCTGTTTGCCCCAGACCAGAGTGCAGTTGCCATTATCACGGTTCACTGTAACCTTGACTTCCTGGGCTCAAGTGATCCTCCCACCTCAGCCTCCCAAGTAGCTGGAACTACAGGTATCTGCCACCATGCCCAGCTAATTTTTGTACTTTTTGAAGAGACGGGGTTTCACCATGTTGCCCAGGCTGGTCTTGGACTCCTGGGCTCAAGCAACCAACTGTCTCAGCCTCCCAAAGTGCTGGGATTACAGATGTGAGCTACTGTGCCTGGCCTAAACAAAAAATTCAACTGTAAGCAGCCTCAGGCAGGTCCTTCAGGAGGTATTCCTGAAGAAGGCATTGTTGTCATTGGAGATGACAGCTCCATGATATTGCCCCTGAAGACCTTCCAGTAGGACAAGATGTAGAGGTGGAAGACAGTGATATTGATGATCCTGATTTTGTGTATGCCAAGGCTAATACATGTGTTAGTGTCTTTGTTTCAAAAGTTTACAGTTTAAACAATTTTTAAAAATAGAAAAAAAATCTAGAAAAAGGACCTAAGGAAAGAAAATATCCTTGTATAGTTGTATAATGTTTGTGTTCTAAACCAAGTGTTATTATAAGAGTTAAAAAGGTATAAAGAGTTAAGTTTATAAAGTAAAAAAGTTACAGTAAGCTAAGTAAAGAAGTATAGTAAGCTGAGGTTAATTTATTATTGAAGAAAGAAAGGTTTTTTTATAAATTTAGTGTAGCCTAAGTGTACAATGTTTATGAAGTCTACAGTGGTGTGCAATAACATCCTAGGCCTTCACATTCACTCACCACTCACTGACTCACCCAGAGCAACTTCCAGTTCTGCATGCTCCATCCACGGTAAGTGCCCTATACAGGCATACTATTTTTTTTTATCTTTTATACTGTATTTTGACTATATTTTTTGCATGTTTAGATACACAAATACTTACCATTGTGTTGCAATGACTACATTATTCACCAGAGTAACATGTTCTACAGGTTTGTAGCCTAGGAGCAATAGGGCTATACCATATAGCCCAGGTGTGTGGTAGGCTACACCATCTAGGTTTGTGTAAATATACTCTACGATGTTCACACAATGACAAAGTCACCTAATGACACATTTCTCAGAATGTATCCCCATTGTTAAGTGACACATGACTATACTTATACTATGCAGTCTAACTGATAAGGAATATAATGGGGCTGTGGCATTCATTTAATGAACATGTTAAAAAACTGTTATGTGGCAGGCACTGGGCCTGGTATTGGAATACCATCTACCTATCTCTGCTTACAGGATTCATCTAGTGGGGCAGATGGACAAATAAAGAAGTAATTTCAGTATGATATGTTAAATGCCATGATAAAGTAAGTAAGTACATGGAACCCAGTTTTGGGGAATCAAAGAAGGCTTTTCAGAGGAAATGATATCTAAGCTGAAGTCTGACAGATAAGTGTAAATTAACCACTGGTTAGAAGGTGCTAGGCAGAGAACAGTTTGGAGACAAGAGTATATATTGAAGAATGGTTCATACAGGAGAACTGTAACTACTGGTCCAGATATTGTTTCTTTTAGGGTAGTCTAAGCGTATGTTTTCTTTTTTTTTAAGCACTTTTTCCTTCCTTATATAATTTGTGCTGATTTGTAACCATCAAGATTTTTTCATTCAAGCACATTTCTTGCCGAGTCAGGTCTCTCCTATTCTGTATATTTGCAGGTAATTTTTTTCCACCTTAATATAAGTATTTCTGTTTACTTCATTGTGTTTAGGTTCAATATATATTGGGCCAGGAGTCAGCAAATTTTTTTCTGTATAAAGGACAAAATTAAGTATTTTGTGAATCATATGGTCTCTGTTGCAGCTACTTAACTCTGCTATTATAGAATGAAGTTAGCCACAGACAATATGTAAATGAATGGGCATGGCTATATTCTATAAACTTTATTTACAAAAATAGGCAGTGGGCCATTGTCAGCCAACCTCTGATCTAAACCTAGACTGCCAGTATTATTCCAGTCCCAGGGTAACTTACCCCCAGCACAAGGAAAGTGAACTTCCATCTCTTCGCAGCCCATCTTCCATGTAGAGAGCCTGACCCAGGAAAGAAGTGATCTGTGGATCTGTAATTAAATGATTTTATTAACCATATTGACTTAACCGGAGTTAGCAGGCAAAGCTACACCCCACATACCTAAGCCCACAGGTTGGTTCTTCCTTTATTATTTTTCTTTTCAATAGGTTTTTGGGAAACAGGTAGTATTTGGTTACATGGATAAGTTCTTTCATGGATTTCTGAGATTTTGGTGCACCCATCACCTGAGCAGTGTACACTGTACCTAATGTGTCATCTTTTGTCCTTCACTCCCCTCCCATCCATTCCCCCCAAGTTCCCAAAGTCCATTCTTTTTTGTGTGTGCGTGTGAGACAGAGTTTAGCTCTTGTTGCCCAGGCTGGAGTGCAATGGCACAATCTCGGCTCACTGCAACCTCCGCCTCCCGAATTCAAGCGATTGATTCTCTTGCCTCAGCCTCCCAAGTAGCTTGGATTACAGGCATGCGCCACAATGCCTGGCTAATTTTGCATTTTTAGTAGAGATGGGGTTTCTCCATGTTGGTTAGGCTGGTCTCAAACTCCCAACCTCAGGTGATCTGCCCGCCCCGGCCACCCAAAGTGCTTAGGATTACAGGCGTGAGCCACTGCACCTGGCCCCAAAGTCCATTCTTATGCCTTTGTGTCCTCATAACCTAGCTCCCACTTATGAGAATGAGAACATACAATGTTTGGTTTTCTATTCCTGAGTTATTGCACTTAGAATAATGGTCTCCAGTTCCATCTAGGTTGCTGCAAATGCCATTTTGTTCCTTTTATGGCTAAGTAGTATTCCCTGATATATACATACCATATTTTCTTTATCCACTCATTGATTAATGGGCATTTGGGCTGATTCCATATTTTTGCAGTTGCAAATTGTGGTGCTATAAACATGCGTGTGCAAGTATCTTTTTTTTTTTTGAGATGGAGTTTCATTCTCGTTGCCCTAGCTGGAGTGCAATGGTGCAGTCTCAGCTCACTGTGACCTCTGCCTCCTGGGTTCAAGTGATTCTCCTGCCTCAGCCTCCCAAGTAGCTGGGATTACAGGTGCCTGCCACCACGCCCAGTTAATTTTTTGTATTTTTAGTAGAGACAGGGTTTGCCATGTTGGCCAGGCTGGTCTCAAACTCCTGACCTCAGGTGATCTACCCACCTCGACCCCTCAAAGTGTTGGGATTACAGGCATGAGCCACAACGCCTGGCTGCAAGTATCTTTTTCATATAATGACATCTTTCCCTCTGGGTAGATACCCAGTAGTGGGATCACTGGATCAAACAGATCTACTTTTAGTTCTTTAAGAAATCACACTGTTTTCCATAGTGGTTGTACTAGTTTACATTCCCACCAGCAGTGTAAAAGTGTCCCTTCTCACCACATCCACATCAACATCTATTATTTTTTGATTATGGCCATTCTTGTGGGAGTAAGGTGGTGTCATATTGTGGTTTTGATTTGCATTTCTCTGATCATTAATGATATTGAGCATTTTTTCATATGTTTGTTGCACTGTATATCTTGTTGCATTTGCTTTTGGGTTCTTGGTCATGAAGTCTTTGCCTAAGCCAATGTCTAGAAGGGTTTTTCCAATGTTCCCATCTAGAATTTTTATGGTTTCAGGTGTTAGATTTAAGTCTTTGATCCATCTTCAGTTGATTTTTGTATAAGGTCAGACAGATGAGGATCCAGTTTTATTCTTCTACATGTGGCTTGCCAATTATCCCAGCACCATTTGTTGAATAGGGTGTCCTTTCTCCACTTTATGTTTTTGTTTGCCTTGTCGAAGATGAGTTGGCTGTCACTATTTCGCTTTATTTCTGGGCTCTCTCTTCTGTTCTATTGATCTACGTGCCTCTTTTTATACCAGTACCATACTGTTTTGGTAACTATAGCCTTGTAGTATAGTTTGAAGTTGGGTAATGTGATGCCTCCATATTTGTTCTTTTTGCTTAGTTTTGCTTTGGCTATGTGGGCTCTTTTTTGGTTCCATGTATTTGGTCCCCTATATTTCGCTCACCTCTCTAAATTTGTCTCAGCTTCAGGTAAGGTCAAATCCTCCTGTGATCTGGACCTTCAGGTTACCCAGTGAGGATGCGTGTTTCAGGGGCGATGTTCCCCCTCTCACACTATGAGCGCTCACAGTTTTTCAGCTGTCTTACGGAGCCTGCAGTGGCAAGCCGCTTCCTTCAAAGAGTCTGTGGATTCTCCCTGCTTTCCTGGCATATTTCTGCGTTAGCAAAAGGCCATGATGTAGGTCTCCATATGCTGCTCTGTCCATTCAAGAGGGAGCTGCTAGTTAGTGCTGCCTCCTATCCACCATTTTTTCAACAATCATTATCCTTTATATGTAATCACCCTTTTCTTAGTTACCTCTCTTAATTCCCCCTAGCTTCCCAAGAAGACTTTCTTGGATAGCCATACAGTTTCTTTGATTATCATATCATTATATAACAGAGAGAGGTTTGGTGCCCTTGACAATATTATTTTGTCCTTTTCCAGCCCTTCTTTGGTGATAACTCTGATACTATTAAGTGTTCTTCCAGGGTATGCATATGATGTCTCTATGATCAAATATCTGTGAAAGCTAGATATTCCTTTCCACTTACAGATCACAGAGGCATTTGTTGTTAAATTGACCTTCTAATTTTTACCCTCTGTATTTTCTATTTTTGTAAAACATTTAAATAATTTTTATTTATTTATTTATTTATTTTTTGAGATGGAGTCTCACTCTGTCACCCAGGCTGGAGTGCAGTGGCGCAATCTCGGCTCACTGCAAGCTCTGCCTCCCGAGTTCACGCCGTTCTTCTGCCTCAGCCTCCTGAGTAGCTGGGACTACAGGTGCCTGCCACCACACCTGGCTAAGTTTTTGTATTTTTTAATAGAGACGGGGTTTCACTGTGTTAGCCAGGATTGTCTCAATCTCCTGACCTCGTGATCCGCCCGCCTCGGCCTCCCAAAGTGCTGGGATTATAGGCGTGAGCCACTGCACCTGGCCTAAATAATTTTTAAATAAATTATTTAGTTACTTATTTTAGAGACAGGTCTCATGTCTCCAGGCTGGAGTGCCGTGGTACGGTAATGGCTCACTGCAGCCTCGAATGCCTGGGCCCAATCACTCCTTCTGCTTCAGCCTCTGGTGGGGTGTAGCTGAGACTACAAGCCTGCGCCACCTTGCCCAGCTCTGTGTATTAGTTTTCTATTGCTGCCATAATAAATTACCACAACTTTATTATTTCACAGTTCGAGTTGGAGGTCCTGGTATAGCGTGGCCCAGGTGGGTCCACTTCTTAGTCACACAAGGCTGAAATCAAGGTGTCAGCAGGGCTGCACTCCTTTCTGGAGGCCCTAGGGTAGCTCTGCTTCCAAACTCATTCAGGTTTCAGACCCAGATTAGTTTCTTGTAGTTTTAGAACAGAGGTTCCATGTCCTTGGCTAGCCGTGGTTCTCAGCTGAGAGGGAGTCATTCTCAGCTTCCAGAGGCTATCACATTCCTTAGCTCTGAACCCCCATCCTCCATTGTCAGAGTCAGAAATAATGAGTCTAGTCCTTCTCACATTTCAAGTTCTTCTGACCTCCCCATTCTGTCTCATCTCTTTTGCTGCCACCTGGAGAATGTCCTCTGCTTTTAAGGACTCCTATGATTAGCCCTTAGGTAATTAGCCCTTGGGATCACTTGGATCATCCAAGATAATCTCCCTCTCATAAAGTCTGCAGCCTTAATTGTGTCTGCAAAATTTCCCTTTTGCCATGTAACAGAACATGCACAGGTTTTGGGGAGGAAGATAAACATCTTTGGGACCATTATTTTGCCTAATACAACCTCCTTGTACTTTTGGTTTTATTTTGGGTTCAGGGTGTTTTTTAGTGCAATCACTTGGATTGTCTATTTAATTCTAAAATAGCTTTTAAATATATTTTATCAGTATTTTTTTGGTTAATGTTACTCGTCATTCTTTTATTTGCTAATTATACAATTGCTTGGCATTTATATTTATGTAATCATGAAATAATTTTTCTCCTTAATAATATATCATGAACATTTCCCCTTGTGATTATGAGTTCCTTATAAATATAATTTTAATTATAGCATGATATTTCATTGAATAGATAGACTAACATTTATTATCAGTTGCTCTATTATTCATCATTTGGGGTTTTCCCAATGTTTCTCTATTGGAAATAACTCTGTAATGAACATCTTTGTGCCAAAAGATTGTCTACATGTTGGATTATTTTTGTAGGATAGATTCCCAAAACTAGATTAACTGCATTCCCAAAAGTAGATACCAAGGACATTAATTTCCTAAGGTAAAAATTGCTTTTCTAAGTGTTGACAAAATGTATATTCTCAGAAGCACACTTACCAGTGGTGAATATCAGAATTAATAGCAAAGCAAATAAATACTTTTTTATGGTAAAATTGATAGATAACTCTATATCTTGCTCTCTTAATTTACTTCTTATGATTACCAGGAAGGATAAAGATGATATTTAATTAAGTGTGCTATAGTTTATATATTATTTGTTTTTGCTCTTTGCCAATTTATGTATTGGGACCTTGGCGTGATGCCTCTCAATTTTATGAGGTTGTGAAAGGAAAATAAAAACTCAGGACCTTGATTCACTATACCAAAAGGAAAAAATAAGCTGAAAACTGAGTAGTGCAAGAAGCTGCCTTTCCTTCTGTTCCTAAGCAGACAGCTACAGATAAAAAGTTAAATTATCTCCACAGGTGGCTACTCTATGTTCACCTTATCTTATGTAAAATCCTGATTTACCGAGCCTGAGATGAATACATAATTGACTATTTCCCTACCTGCCCCTTTTCTCTTGCTACATGTGGATTCAGTAGTGTAACCATACCCTCCCTCCTTCCCCTCCAGCCTGCTTTTCCCCTTTAAATATTGAAGCCCTGAAAATCATCTTTTGAGAGATACACAGACCTGTCTCCTGGGTGCATGTCCTTAACCTTGGCAAAATAAACTTCTAAATTGATTGAAACCTGTCTCGGATACTTTTCGGTTTATAAGCTCTTTATATATACAGTGTTATAGCTACTAACTATATCACATTTACTAAAAATATGACCCAATACACTTCATACACATTTAATACTTCTAAATTTCACTGAAGAAAAGAGCCCAAGAGAAACCTGTATAATAATTTTAGACTTAAGCATTTTTGTTATTCTTTAACTTTCTCATCTCCTTTTACTATTATTCAATTATATTTTTAAAGTAAAATTGTTTTCTTTTCTTTTCTTTCTTTTTTTTTTGAGACAGAGTCTTTCTGTGTCATCCAGACTGGAGTGCAGTGGTGTAATCTCAGCTCACTGCAACCTCTGCCTCCCCAGTTCAAGCAATTCTCTTGCCTCAGCCTCCTGAGTAGCTGGGATTACAGGTGCGCGCCACCACGCCAGGATGATTTCTGTATCTTTAGTAGAGATGAGGGTTCACCATGTTAGCCAGGCTGGTCTTGAACTCCTGACCTCACGTGATCTGCCCGCCTTGGCCTCCCAAAGTGCTGGTATTACAGGCATGAGCCACCGCACTTGTCCAGTAAAATTGTTGTCTAATATTATTTTTCAAATCTTGTAGAAAACTTGAAAATTACTGTGCTAGTTGTTTTCAAATATTCTTTCTCCCCTTCTCCCATAATAGAATCTCCCATGATTATCTGATTGCCCAGGGGAAAAATATGTATGTGTGTATATATACATATATATATATCACATGTATAGGTACGTGTGTGTGTATATATATATATATATATTACATATATGTATATATAAATACAATTTATGTATAACATATATATGTGTGTATAAATAAATTTGTATTTTTAAAAATATATGTATAAAATGCAATTCCAAGACTCTTTTGCAGCTAAGGGTGGCCATATGACCAAGCAGAAGAGGTATGTACTGCTTCTGGGAAGTTTCCTTAAAGGGAGGGACCCATTTTTACTTATTATTTCTTTCCTCCTACCAGCTAGAGCAAAGATACGGTTTCTCCTGAGTAACAAAAGGAGAATCAGGAGAGTATGGTGCCTTTAAAACCAAGCAAAAAAGTTATTTAAAGATGGAAGGAATGATTGGCTATGTCAAATGATATTGAAAGGTCAAAAAGGTGAGGAATGAGAATTGACAATTAGATTTAACAACGTGGACATGGTTGATGACCTTGAAAACAGCAGTTTCAATGGAATATTGGGGGAAGACCTGTTTGCAGTGGGGCTCAAGAGAGAAAACAAGGTGAGAAATGGGAGAGAATGAGTTCTATATTAAAAGATAAGCTATCCATATATTTACAATCCAAACTAAAACACATTTGAAAAGGCCACCATTAATAATTGAATGATGATTTAATTAATTAATAATGAAGCATAAACTGGAACTGTCATGTCAAATGAGTAAATGTCATTTTGGGAAAGAAAGGAAAGAGATAGGGTTGTGACTGAAAGTGGGATCAAAAGAATGTTGGTTTGTTATTTTATTTTATTTTTTTAATGAGTAAGAAATAGTAGCGAATGAGAATGATCTAGTAGAGAGGTATACTTTTATGATGGAGGGGAAAAGATACATTTTTGGAGCAATGTCCTTGAGTAGGCAAGAGGGGATTGTATATAGTCCAAAAGTGGAAAGGCTGGTTGGCAGAGAATATGGGGACAAATGCAGATAGGTAGGCTTATGTGGTCATGGGAACCTTTGTAAATATTTTTATGAGGTTTTGTGTTTTCTCGTTGAAATAGGTAGTGAGGTCATTAGCTAGGATTGAAGATTAGGAAAGAGGTATTGGAGGTTTTCAGAGAGAGAAGATATGAAATAGTTTTGGCCAGGCGTGGTGGCTCATGCCTATAATCCCAGCACTTTGGGCAGCCAAGGTGGTGAATCACTTGAGCCCAGGAGTTTGAGACCAGCCTGGGCAACATGGTGAAACCTGTCTTTACTAAAAATACAAAAAAATTAGCTGAGCGTGGTGGCATGTGCCTGTAATCCCAGCTACTCAGGAGGCTGAGGAAAGAGAATTGCTTAAACCCAGGAGACAGAGGTTGCAGTGATCTGAGATTGCGCCATTGCACTCCAGCCAGGGTGACAGGGCAAGACTCTGTCTCAAAAAAAAAAAAAAAAAAAAATCATGTGTTGTAAGTGACACCAATCAACATAGTTTTGTGTTTTGCTCTGTACAGGTTTCACTGTGCAGGTATAGTCATGGAGAGGTCTGAAAACTGGATTTAATGAGTTTTTTTGTTTGTTTGTTTGTTTTTAATTATACTTTAAGTTCTAGGGTACATGTGCACAACGTGCAGGTTTGTTACATAGATATTCATGTGCCATGTTGGTGTGCTGCACCCATTAACTCGTCATTTACATTAGGTATATCTCCTAATGCTATCCCTCCCCCCTCCCCTCACCCCACGACAGGCCCTGGTGTGTGATGTTCCCTGTGTCCAAGTGTTCTTATTGTTCAGTTCCCACCTATGAGTGAGAACACGCAGTGTTTGGTTGTCTGTCCTTGCGATAGTTTGTTCAGAATGATGGTTTCCAGCTTCATCCACATCCCTACAAAGGACATGAACTAATCCTTTTTTATGGCTGCATAGTATTCCATGGTGTATATGTGCCACATTTTCTTAATCCAGTCTATCATTGATGGACATTTGCTATTGTAAATAGTGCCGCAGTAAACATACATGTGCATGTGTCCTTATAGCCACATGATTTATAATCCTTTGGGTATATACCCAGTAATGGGGTGGCTGGTCAAATGGTATTTCTAGTTCTAGATCCTTGAGGAATTGCCACACTGTTTTCCGCAATGGTTGAACTAGTCACAGTCCCACCAACAGTGTAAAAGTGTTCCTGTTTCTCCACATCCTCTCCAGCACCTGTTGTTTTCTGACTCTTTAATGATCGCCATTCTAACTGGGTTGAGATGGTATCTCATTGTGGTTTTGATTTGCATTTCTCTGATGGCCAGTGATAATGAGCATTTTCTTCATGTGTCTGTTGGCTGCATAAAATGTCTTCTTTTGAGAAGTGTCTGTTCATATCCTTTGCCCACTTTTTGATGGGGTTGTTTGATTTTTCTTGTAAATTTGTTTAAGTTCTTTGTAGATTCTGGATATTAATCCTTTGTCAGATGGGTAGGTTGTAAAATTTTTCTCCCATTCTGTAGGTTGCCTGTTCACTCTGATGGTAGTTTCTTTTGCTGCACAGAAGCTCTTTAGTTCAATTAGATCCCATTTGTCTATTTTGGCTTTTGTTGCCATTGCTTTTGGTGTTTTAGTCATGAAGTCCTTGCCCATGCCTATGTCCTGGATGGTATTGCCTAGGTTTTCTTCTAGGGTTTTTGTGGTTTTAGGTCTAACATGTAAGTCTTTAATCCATCTTGAATTAATTTCTGTATACAGTGTAAGGAAGGGATCCAGTTTCAGCTTTCTACTTATGGCTAGCCAGTTTTCCCAGCACCATTTGTTAAATAGGGAATCCTTTCCCCATTTCTTGTTTTTGTCACGTTTGTCAAAGATCAGATGGTTGTAGATGTGTGGTGTTATTTCTGAGGGCTCTGTTCTGTTCCATTGGTCTATATCTCTGTTTTGGTACCAGTACCATGCTGTTTTGGTTACTGTAGCCTTGTAGTATAGCTTGAAGTCGGGTAGCATGATGCCTCCAGCTTTGTTCTTTTGGCTTAGGATTGTCTTGGCAATGTGGGCTCTTTTTTGGTTCCATATGAACTTTAAAGTAGTTTTTTCCAATTCTATGAATAAAGTCATTGGTAGCTTGATGGGGATGGCATTGAATTTATAAATTACCTTGGGCAGTATGGCCATTTTCACAATATTGATTCTTCCTATGCATGAGCATGGAATGTTCTTCTATTTGTTTGTGTCTTCTTTTATTACATTGAGCAGTGGTTTGTAGTTCTCCTTGAAGAGGTCCTTCACATCCCTTGTAAGTTGGATTCCTAGGTATTTTATTCTCTTTGAAGCAATTGTGAATGGGAGTTCACTCATGATTTGGCTCTCTGTTTGTCGTTAATGGTGTATAAGAATGCTTGTGATTTTTGCACATTGATTTCGTATCCTGAGACTTTGCTGAAGCTGCTTATCAGCTTAAGGATATTTTGGGCTGCGACAATGGGGTTTTCTAAATATACAATCATGTCATCTGCAAACAGGGACAATTTGACTTCCCATTTCCTAATTGAATACCCTTTATTTCTTTCTCCTGCCTGATTGCCCTGGCCAGAACTTCCAACACTTTGTTGAATAGGAGTGGTGAGAGAGGGCATCCCTGTCTTGTGGCAGTTTTCAAAGTGAATGCTTCCAGTTTTTGCCCATTCAGTATGATATTGGCTATAAGTTTGTCATAAATAGGTCTTATTATTTTGACATACATCCCATCAATACCTAGTTTATTGAGAGTTTTTAGCATGAAGGGCTGTTTAATTTTGTTGAGGCCTTTTCTGCATCTATTGAGATAATCATGTGGTTTTTGTCTTTGGTTCTGTTTATATGATGGATTACGTTTATTGATTTGCGTATGTTGAACCAGCCTTGCATCCCAGGGATGAAGCCAACTTGAACATGGTGGATAAGCTTTTTGATGTGCTGCTGGATTTGGTTTGCCAGTATTTTATTGAGGATTTCTGCATCGATGTTCATCAGGGATATTGGTTTAAAATTCTCTTTTTTTGTTGTGTCTCTGCCTAGCTTTGGTATCAGGGTGATGCTGGCCTCATAAAATGAGTTAGGGAGGATTCCCTCTTTTTCTATTGATTGGAATAGTTTCAGAAGGAATGGTACCAGCTCCTCTTTGTACCTCTGGTAGAATTCAGCTGTGAATCCGTCTGGTCCTGGACTTTTTTTGGTTGGTAAGCTATTAATTATTGCTTCAATTTCAGAGCCTGTTATTGGTCTATTCAGGGATTCAACTTCTTCCTGGTTTAGTCTTGGGAGGGTGTATGTGTCCAGGAATTTATCCATTTCTTCTAGATTTTCTAGTTGATTTGCATAGGGTGTTTATAGTATTCTCTGATGGTAGTTTGTATTTCTGTGGAATCAGTGGTGATATCCCCTTTATCATTTTTTATTGCATCTATTTGATTCTTCTCTTTTCTTATTAGTCTTGCTAGCGGTCTATCAATTTTATTGATCTTTTCAAAAACCAGCTCCTGGATTCATTGATTTTTTGAAGGGTTTTTTGTGTCTCCATCTCCTTCACTTCTACTCTGATCTTAGTTATTTCTTGCCTTCTGCTAGCTTTTGAATGTGTTTGCTCTTGCTTCTCTAGTTTTTTTAATTGTGATGTTAGCGTGTCAATTTTAGATCTTTCCTGCTTTCTCTTGTGGGCATTTAGTGCTATAAATTTCCCTCTACACACTGCTTTAAATGTGTCCCAGAGATTCTGGTATGTTGTGTCTTTGTTCTCATTGGATTCAAAGAACATCTTTATTCCTGCCTTCATTTTGTTATGTACCCAATAGTCATTCAGGAGCAGGTTGTTCAGTTTCCATGTAGTTGAGCGGTTTTGAGTGAGTTTCTTAATCCTGAGTTCTAGTTTGATTGAACTGTGGTCTGAGAGACAATTTGTTATAATTTCTGTTCTTTTACATTTGCTGAGGAGTGCTTTACTTCCAACTTTGTGGCCAATTTTGGAATAAGCGCAATGTGGTGCTGAGAAGGATGTATATTCTGTTGATTTGGAGTGGAGAGTTCTGTAGATGTCTATTAGGTCTGCTTGGTGCAGAGCTGAGTTCAATTCCTGGATATCCTTGTTAACTTTCTGTCTTGTTGATCTGTCTAATGTTGACAGTGGGGTGTTAAAGTCTCCCATCATTATTGTGGGAGTCTAAGTCTCTTCGTAGGTCTCTAAGGACTTTCTTTATGAATCTGGATGCTCCTGTATTGGGTGCATATATATTTAGGATAGTTAGCTCTTCTTGTTGAATTGATCCCTTTACCATTATGTAATGGCCTTCTTTGTCTCTTTTGATCTTTGTTGGTTTAAAGTCTGTTTTATCAGAGACTAGGACTGCAACCCCTGGTTTTTTTTGTTTTCCATTTGCTTGGTAGATCTTCCTCCATCCCTTTATTTTGAGCCTATGTGTGTCTCTGCATGTGAGATGGGTCTCCTGAATACAGCACACTGATAGCTCTTGACTCTTTATCCAGTTTGCCAGTCTGTGTCTTTTAATTGGAGCATTTAGCCCATTCACATTTAAAGTTAATATTGTTATGTGTGAATTTGATCCTGTCATTATGATGTTAGCTGGTTATTTTGCTCGTTAGTTGCTGCAGTTTCAGCATTGGTGGTCTTTACAATTTGGCATGTTTTTGCAGTGGCTGGTACCGGTTGTTCCCTTCCATGTTTAGTGCTTCCTTCAGGAGCTCTTGTAAGGGAAGTCTGGTGGTGGCAAAATCTCTCAGCATTTGTTTGTCTGTAAAGGATTTTATTTCTCTTTCACTTATGAAGCTTAGTTTGGCTGGATATGAAATTCTGGGTTGAAAATTCTTTTCTTTAAGAATGTTGAATATTGGCCCCCACTCTCTTCTGGCTTGTAGAGTTTCTGCCGAGAGATCCGCTGTTAGTCTGATTGGCTTCCCTTTGTGGGTAACCCGACCTTTCTCTCTGGTTGCCATTAACATTTTTTACTTCATTTCAACTTTGGTGAATCTGACAATTATGTGTCTTGGAGTTGCTCTTCTCGAGGAGTATCTTTGTGGCATTCTCAGTATTTCCTGAATTTGAATGTTGGCCTGCCTTGCTAGGTTGGGGAAGTTCTCCTGGATGATATCCTGCAGAGTGTTTTCCAACTTGGTTCCATTCTCCCCGTCACTTTCAGGTACACCAATCAGATGTAGATTTGGTCTTTTCACATAGTCCCATATTTCTTGGAGGCTTTGTTCGTTTCTTTTTAATCTTTTTTCTCTAAACTTCTCTTCTCGCTTCATTTCATTCATTTGATCTTCAATCACTGATACCCTTTCTTCCACTTGATCGAATTGGCTACTGAAGCTTGTGCATGCATCATGTAGTTCTCGTGCCATGGTTTTCAGCTCCATCAGGTCATTTAACATCTTCTCTATGCTGTTTATTCTAGTTAGCCATTTGTCTAATCTTTTTTCAAGGTTTTTAGCTTCTTTGCGATGGGTTCGAACATCCTCCTTTAGCTCAGAGAAGTTTGTTATTACTGATTGTCTGAAGCCTTCTTCTCTCAACTCGTCAAAGTCATTCTCCGTCCAGCTTTGTTCCGTTGCTGGTGAGGAGCTGCGTTCCTTTGGAGGAGAAGAGTTGCTCTGATTTTTAGAATTTTCAGCTTTTCTGCTCTGTTTTCTCCCCATCATTGTGGTTTTATCTACCTTTGGTCTTTGATGATGGTGACGTGCAGATGGGGTTTTGGTGTGGATGTCCTTTCTGTTTGTTAGTTTTCCTTCTAACAGTCAGGCCCCTCAGCTGCAGGTCTGTTGGAGTTTGCTGGAGGTCCACTCCAGACCCTGTTTCCTGGGTATCACCAGCAGAGGCTGCAGAACCGCAAATATTGCAGAACGGCAAATGTTCCTGCCTGATCCTTTCTCTGGAAGCTTCATCTCAGAGGGGCACCTGGCTGTGTGAGGTGTCAGTCGGCCCCTACTGGGAGGTGTCTCGCAGTTAGGCTACTCAGGGGTCAGGGACCCACTTGAGGAGGCAGTCTGTCCGTTCTCAGATCTCAAACTCCATTCTGGGAGAACCACTACTCTCTTCAAAGCTGTCAGACAGGGACATTTAAGTCTTTAGAAGTTTCTGCTGCCTTTTGTTCAGCTATGCCCTGCCTCCAGAGGTGGAGTCTACAGAGGCAGGCAGGCCTCCTTGAGCTGCGGTGGGCTCCACCCAGCAATGGTGGATGCCCCTCCCCCAGCCTCGCTGCCACCTTGCAGTTCGATCTCAGACTGCTGTGCTAGCAGTGAGCGAGGCTCCATGGGCATGGGACCCTCCGAGCCAGGCATGCGGGATATAATCTCCTGGTGTGCCATTTGCTAAGACCGTTGGAAAAGCACAGTGTTAGGGTGGGAGTGTCCCGATTTTCCAGGTACTGTCTGTCATGGCTTCCCTTGGCTAGGAAAGGGAATTCCCCGACCCCTTGTGCTTCCCGGGTGAGACGATGCCCCGCCCTGCTTCAGCTCACACTCCGTGGGCTTCACCCACTGTCCAACAACCCCCAGTGAGATGAACCTGGTACCTCAGCTGGAAATGCAGAAATCACCCGTCTTCTGCATCGCTCGCGCTGGGAGCTGTAGACTGGAGCTGTTCCTATTTGGCCATCTTGGAATGAAGTTTTATTATTTATCCAAGATAAAGGCAAGAGAATTCAGGATATATGGAAGGAGATGGATTTCATCATTTGGCCATATAATACATTTATCATAATTTTATAATTTGACCATGTGTAATTTAACCTGATGTGTTAGTTTCCTAGGGCTTCTATAACAAAGTACCATAAACTTGGTAGCTTAAAACAAAATAAATGGATTGCCTCAGTATTCTGGATGCTATAGGTCTGAGATCAAGATGTTGGCTGGGCTATGCTCTCTCTGAATTTTCTAGCAGAAGATCATTCCTTAACGCCTGCAGGTTCTGGTAACCCCAGGCCTTCCTTAGTTTGTGGTAGCACAATTCTGATCTCTACCTGTATCTTCACATGGCTCTCTCTCTCTCCCTCTGTGTGTGTGTGTGTGTGTGTGTGTGTGTGTGTGTGTGTGTGTGTCTGTCTGTCTGTCTGTCTGTGTCCAGATTTCCCTTTTATAGGGACATGAGTCATATTGGATTAGGGTCCAACCTAATGACCTCATCTTAACTTACATTAACTCAAATTAGAGTTCTTGGTGCCCTTCTCCCATATCCTTTCCCCAGCTGCAACCTGTTAATCTTTTGGTCCTTACCTTTTTAGTAAGTGGCACTACCACCCACACAGCCAAAAGCTTGGCTTCTTTTGATTCTACCATTTCCCTCAACTCATCCTCATACATCTGCAATCCTTCAGCTTGTCTTATTGCATATCTCTACATGTATTTCCAATTTATCAATATCTTTTCGTTTTCACACTCCTGCTCAGTATGAACAACATAATTTCTCACCTTCAGTAGCTTCCTAACTTCCACCCTTGCCTTGCTCTCATCAGTCTTTTTAAAGAGAAACCAAATTTCTACACACACTGGAAGATGGGGGTCCTCTTTCCTTGCTTAATGCAGCCATGACTTGTGATCCCAAGAAGCATCTGAAGTGGGTAGCAGCTCCAAAGCATTGGATGCTGGATAAGTTGACCAGTGTGTTTGATCCTCGTCCATCCACCGGTCCCACAAGTTGAGAGTGTGTCTCTCCCTCATCATCTTCCTAAGGAACAGACTTAAGTATGCCCTGACAGGAGATGAAGTAAAGAAGATTTGCATTCAGCAGTTCATTAAGATCGATGGCAAGGTCCAAACTGATATAACCTACCCTGCTGGGTTCATGGATGTCATCAGCATTGACAAGACGGGAGAGAATTTCCATCTGATCTGTGACACCAAGGGTCGCTTTGCTGTACATCATATTACACCTGAGGAGGCCAAGTACAAGTTGTGCAAAGTGAGAAAAATCTTTGTGGGCACAAAAGGAATCTCTCGTCTTGTGACTCATGATGCTCGCACCATCCACTATCCTGATCCCCTTATCAAGGTGAATGATATCATTCAGATTGATTTGGAGACTGGCAAGATTACTGATTTCACCAAGTTTGACACTGGTAACCTGTGTATGGTGACTGGAAGTGCTAACCTGGGAAGAATTGGTGTGATCACCACAGAGAGAGGCACCGTGGATCTTTTGACGTGGTTCACATGAAAGATGCCAACAGCAACAGGTTTGCCACTCGTCTTTCCAACATTTTTGTTATTGGCAAGGGCAACAAACTGTGAATTTCTTTTTCCTGAGGAAAGGGTACCCACCTCACCATTGTTGAAGAGAGAGACAAAAGACTGGCGGCCAAACAGAGCAGTGGGTGAAATGGTCCCTGGGCGACATGTTAGATCTTTGTATGTAATTAAAAATAATGTGGCATGATTAAAAAAAAAGAGAAAGAAACCAGTATGATCTTCTTAAAATAGAATGAGATATGTGACTACTATACTTAAAACACTAGCAATGTTCAGTCTGCTTAAAATAAAATTCCAAATCCCTAACATGGCACACAAGGCTCGGTGTGATCTGACACCTTCCTAATCTATGTTATGCTTATTTCCGCTCCAGCCTTAAGGAAATGCTCACATCATTCCTTCTGTCTGGCATGCTCTTCTCTCAACTCTTTACCTGTCTAAATAATTTTTAATTTTCAGATCCTAGCTTAAATGTCATTTAAGTATTTAGTTTTTAATGTAATTTGCAGGTATTCTTCTTAAAAACAATTAAAACAATCAGATTTAACTTGTGTTATTGAATTCGTTGATCACTATCAGTTGTTTCATAACATGACTTCTTTATGAGTTGTCTTATTCTTCTCTCAGTTATCTATAATATTTTCAAGAAAGATATATGGGTGGTATATTTTCTAAGTATGTTTATTTCTGAGGATTGTACCCTCAATAAAAAAATGATAGTTTTGCTGGATTTTTAAATTTACAAGTTACAATATGTTCTTCCTCTCATAGAAGTACTGTTGATTGCCTACCCAGCAGCCATTTCTCCTTTTTTCTTATTAAGAAAATTCTGATTTTGTTTGGCCAGTCCACCCTTCTCTACCCCGACGTGCTTTAAATCAATTGCTTTCCCGTTAATAGTGATTGGCTTTGGAATGGGCATGTGACACAACTCTAGCCAGTGAGATCTTCTTTCTTATTCTGCTCGATATTGTCATGTCTGCTTGTAATGCCTGGAACTGTAGGACCGACTCATGAACAAGGGGATGAGTAACTCAGAATAAGCTGATCTCCTGAGCCTGGCAAAGCAGAAAAATGGAAGAAACCTAGGTCTTTGAGCCACTAAATTAACCAATCTCAGAGCCAAATTAGAAATTCTTATGTGAAATAATAAATCTGCCTTATTGTCTATACTATTTATATTGGGTTTTCTATTTCTTAGGGCTAAGAATCTTCTGATGCACAACTTTTATATGTTTTATGTTTTATATTTTAAGAGTACGTTTTGTTGCTTCTTGAATAAAATACGAGACCAGCATGGTTCTTGCTTCCTTACATGTAGTCTGTTTTTGTTGACTAATTGCTAGCAATATTTTAAAAACCAAAAGTCTTCTTCAGTTCTTTCTATAATTCTTTCTTCTTTTGCTGATCTTTCTTCTGTTGATATTGCTTTAAATTTAAACACTACTAAATAAATTATCAGGGCTGCCTAATAATCTCTCTGTATTCACTCTTGCAGTCTTCAAGTCAGCTGCTTCATGTTTTCTCCTCTTGCTAGAAACCTCCAACACTCTTTCTCCCCTCAACTCATTCAAGCTGATGACTTTGCTTATTACTTCACTGTTGATATAGTTTGGATATGTATCCCTGTCCAAATGTCATGCTGAAATGTAATCCCCAAAATTGGAGGCAGGGCCTGATGGGAGGTGATTGGAGTATGGAGATGGTTTTCTCATGAATGGTTTAGCACCATCCACTTGGTGCTGTCCATGCATTAGTGCATGAGATCTGATTGTTTAAAAGTATTTGGCACACCACCGCACCCCTTGCTCCTGCTTTCACCATATGACATGCCTGCTCCCTGTTCACCTTTTGTCTTGATTGTAAGCTTCCTGAAGTCTCTTTAGAAGCAGACGTTGCTATGCTTCCTGTACAGCCTGCAGAACCAGGAACCAACTAAACCTCTTTTCTTTATAAATTACCCAACCTCGGGTATTTCTTTATAGCAATGCAAGAATGGCCTAATGCAACTGTGAAGATGAAAGTAAACAAAAGAGAATTTCTACATCTTCCTATTCTGTGTCAGACATGAAGATGTGCCCACTCAGCTCTCCCTTCAATAAAAGGCTAGTTGTCTATTTGCAAGGATTGTGCTTAGCTGCTAGCTTCCAGCAATTAATCCCTTCAGGGTTCCCTTCTGCTTTCAAACTGACGCCATAGGCTTCTTTTGTGGCCTTCAGCCAACAACTGAGCAAGGCAATGTGCAAGGGTCTGTTCATTTCCATCCAAGGATCCAAGGTGGGACTCCTCTAACAGGCAATCTTGACTTTGGAGCTGGACCGGCAGAGACTGTTAGGACAGCATCATAGAAGTCTACATTGTTGTCTGATGGCTCCAGCTGACTCATGCCTTTTCCATTTACAGGAGTCACTCCCCAGTAAACATTTTAGGCTCCTCACTCTGTCTTAGTGTCTGCCTTCTGGGAAAACTAACCTGCAACACCTCCTAAATCTATTGGTCTAACAGTATGGGGTCCTACATACACTGCCTTGCATGGGCGAGTTGTGTAGGCTGCATCTCACACCAGATATTCCACTTGTGATGCCTCTAAACCATTCAAGAATATTTCTCCTGAAATTGTTTCCTCTCTTCTACATCATCAATTTTTCTCTTTCTATGGAATTATTTTTCCCAGCATACAACGTGTTATAAAATTTGTCATCCTAACAACAACAACCAAAATTTCCTTGAACTTACATTCCCTTTCAGCTTCAGCAATATTTTCCTACTCCTCTCTATACAAGAACTCTTCAAAGTACTGTTTGTCTCTCTTTTATCCTTTCTCATTCTATCTTGAACTAACTCCAATTAGGCTTTTGTCAATTAGGGACAAAATATGCTCTTGTCCAATCCCCACTTTGCTTCAGTTCTCAGTCCTCATCTTACCTGACTACTCAGCAGCATTTGCTGCAGTCAATCATTTCCTCCTTTTCAAACATTTGCTTCATTTAGCTTTCAGGATCTACTTTATCCCATGTCTCTTTCCCCTCACCTCACTGGCTGTACTTCCTCATTCTCTCTCTCTTTTTTTTTTTTCAGACAGAGTACTGCTCTGTCGCCCAGGCTGGAGTATAGTGGCGCGATCTCAGCTTACTGCAATCTCTACCTCGAGGGTTCAAGCTATTCTCTTGCCTCAGCCTCCCGAGCAGCTGGGACTACAGGCGCTGGCACCACGCCCAGCTAATGTTTTATTTTTAGTAGAGATGGGGTTTCGCCATGTTGGCCAGGTTGGTCTCAAACTCCTGACCTCAGGTGATCTGCCTGCCTCGGCCTCCCAAAGTGCTGCTTCCTCATTCTCTTTTAATGAATAAATTCCTGGTTGTTCCAGGACTCAGTCCTTGGCTTATCTCCTCTGTCCATATTCTCTTCCGTGGTGGTCTTTTCTGATGTGATGGATTTAAATACCACAAATGCATTGACTATTCCCAAATTCCAGCCCTGACTTCTTCCCTGGACTCTAAATTCATATATTTAACTTCCACTTGGGTATTTTCTAGTTTATACTTTGTGTCACCAGTGCTGCCACATACAGAGAAGGAGCTATCAATTTTGACAACTTGAGATGAGTCCATTTCATCTAGATTTTCTTTTCTTTTTTTCTTCTTTTTTAAAATATATTTTGAGACGGAGTCTTGCTCTGCGCAGGCTGGAGTGCAGTGACATGATCTCGGCTCACTGTAACCTCTGCCTCCCGGGTTCAAGTGATTCTCCTGCCTCAGCCTCCCAAGTAACTGGGATTACAGGTGCCCGCCACCATGGCCAGCTAATTTTTGTATTTTTAGTAGATATGGGGGTTTCACTATGTGGGTCAGGCTGGTTTCAAACTTCTGACATCAAGTGATCTGCCCACCTTGCCCTCCCAAAGTGCCGGGATTTCAGGTGTGAGCCACTGCGCTCAGCCAAGATTTTCTTTTCTTTTTCTTGTTTTCTTTTTTTCTGAGACAGGGTCTCACTCTGCCACCCACGCTGGAGTGCAGTGGTGCGATCTCCCAGATGCAAGCAATTCTCCTACCTCCCTAGTAGCTGGGACTACAGGCACGCACCACCACACTTGGCTAATGTTTTTGTTTCTGATTTTGTTTTGTATTTTTAGTAGAGACTGGATTTAACATGTTGGCCAGGGTGGTCTGGAACTCCTGGGCTCAAGTGATCTGCCTGCCTCAGCCTCCCAAAGTGCAGGGATTACAGGCATAAGCCACCACACCCAGGCCAAAATTTTCTATTTTTAACTGTAGAATTATGCATAATATTTAAAACATAATTTTGTGTAGTTTTCTCTGTTTTTGACTTCATTTTCTTTCTTTGTTACAGAATTTGCCAGAGACAGGTTTGAGGTTGGTTTGTTTTTTAAAAATATATTTACTGGATACTTACAATAATTCAGCATTTTGTTAGCCATTTTCAGGTATATAATTTAAGTAATTTAGTTTGATGAAGAAACAATTTTATCTTCTACTGATGACTTGAAAAGATGTTGATAAACTATATGCTTCATCTGTTCTATAATTTTGCCAGCTTTCAATATCATGCTTATTAGCATTTAGTTTCTGGAATTCATTTTTTATGTTTTGAAAATGGAAACATCTGTGCATCTTCAGTCTTCTGGCAACTCTTGTGTTCTCCACTTCTCAAAATTACTGATGATAGTTCTATGGTGTATTAGTTCGTTTTCTGTTGCTTATAACAGAATACATGAAACTGGGTAATTTATAAAGAAAAGGAATATATTTATTATGGTTATGGAGGCTAAGGGGATGTATCTGGTGAGAGCCTTCTTACTGGTGGGGACTCAGCAGAGTCGTGAGATGGTGCAGGGAATCACATGGCGAGAGGCTGAGAGTGCTAGCTCAGGTCTCTCTTCTTGTTCATATGAAGGCACCAGTTTCTCTCCCATGATAACACTTTAATCCATTAATCCATGAATGGAATAATCTATTCATTAGTGTAGAGCCCTCATGATCCAATCACCTGTTACAGGACCCACTTCTCAATACTGTCAGTTGGGGATTCCACATGAGTTTTGGAGGGGACAGTCAAACCATGCTTATGGTTACATCATAGTATTATGTTTTATACGCAAGAATGTAATTCACTGGTGGCTGAAAAGACCTGAACCAGTTTAAAGAAACTAGGTGTGTTCTTGCTATGCTTTCATTGTCTCATAATAATGTTTATATACCTCTTAAATTTGCAAATTGTTCTTCATGATGAATATAATCAATGCAGCAGTTATTAGCAGTGGCTTATTTCCTTAAACAATAGGATTTTCTTTTCTAGTTTTTTCTAGATTCAGTAAAATATCCAAAATGATTTAATTACCATTTTATTTTAAACTGTGTGGTAAAAATACATTTTAAAGAACCAGTAATTGTCCTTGTTTGCCTATTATCATATTTAAATTTTGATAAATGATAAGCTTCAGTGGACAGCATTGAACATATATATTTTTCTCTAAATATTACCCTCTTCCAAAGGATTAAAAATGAAAGGTTTCATAAAGATAGACATATAGATGAATGGAACAGAACTGAGAATCCAGAAATAAATTCACACTTATGTGGTCAATTGATTTTTGGTAAAGGGGCCAGATAAATTAAATGGGAAAAGAATGGTCTTTTCCAGAAGTAGTGTTGGAATAACTGGATATCCACATGGAAAGGAAATAAACTTTGAATCTTTCTTCACATTATACACCAAAATTAATTCAAAATGGATCATTGTCCTAAATGTAAGGGTAAAAACGTGTGTATTCCAGAACAATGCATAGGAGAAAAACCTTTGTGACCTTAGGATAAGTCGCAAAAAGCATAAGCCATTCATGAAATAATTAATAAATGAACTTCAGAAAAATTAAAATCTTTTGCTTGTTTAAAATCGCTAAGAAAATGAAAAGACAAGCTCCAGCTTGGGAGAAAATATGGGCAAAATATTTATCTGACAAAGCACTTGTATCCAGATCTAATTAAGAACTTTCATAACTCAGTAATAATATAAACAGCTCAATTTTTAAAAACAGGCAAAAGATTTGTATAGGCACTTAACAAAAAGATGCTCAACCTCATTGGTTATTGGGGAATGCAAATTAAAACCACAATGAGATACTACTACACATCTTCTAGACTACCTTAAAAGGACTTGAAATGCCAAGTGTCAGTGATTAGATGGTATAACTGGAACTCTGATACATAGCTGGTAGAAATGCAAAGTGATGTAGCCACTGGAAAACAGTTTGGCAGTGTCTTAAACACAAAAACATATATCTACCACATGACCCAGCAATTACACACTCTTAGATGCTTACTTCAGAGAAATGAAAATAATATGTCCACCCAAGGCATTGTACACAAATGTTCTTAGCAGCATTATTTATAATAACCAAACAACAGAAACAACTTAAATAGCCATCAACTGGTGAATGTATAAACAACATGTGGCATGTAACGTTCAGCAGAATACAGGTCAGCAAATAAAGCCGAAACTACTGATATTCAGAAAAATGTGAATGAATCTCAAAAACATCACGGTAAGTAAAAGAAATCAGACACAAAAGACATATAAAATATGAATTTGAAATTCTGTGAAAGGCAAAAGTGTAACAGAGAGGAGGTAAGTGCTTGCCTTGCAGCTGGGGGTGGGGGATGACTGGAAAGGGGCGTAAGGGAATGTTGGGGGGTGATTAAAGTGTTCTAAAACTTTATTCTGGTGGTAGTTGCAGAACTCTGTACATTTACTAAAACTCATACAATTTATACTCGAAATGAGTAAATTTTAGGGTATATAAATTATGCTTTGATAATGGTTTTAAGGGTGTATACATTAAAACCCAAGGTGGTTTCTCTTAAAGAAAAAATGATTGCTATTCAGCAAGTAAATTGTCCCTAATGAGCATCAGTTTAAAATGCCTAACAATCCATTTTCTAGGAACATGATTGTCTTTGTTCAGTACAGTTATTATATTTCAAAATACACAATCATATTGTAAATAATTTGATAGCTATCCTCATGTGAGTAATAGACCAGGAATTGTGGGATTATTAATTTAACATAATAGTAAAGTTTCCAGTAAAACTCCATTCATTATAATTGTCTCTTAACCTCATGCCTATAAGAAATTCAGGAACGTGTGAGTAATCAAAAAAGATACAGCTGATTTTGAGAGCACACTGTCTATACAACAAATTATAACCATAACCTTCAGGTAAGTGCTGGACAGGTCACTCTGAATAATATGGCACATTTGCCAAAATGAACAGTTTATATAGGAGATAAAAATGTGTCAATAAAATAAATCTGTAGGAGCTATTATTTTCATCATCATTGCCACCACTATCATTATCATCATCATCCACTATTAGAAAAAAGTTACATTTTTATTTCTGATTCTGAGCCAAAACTTCTAATCATGTGACTTTAGGAGCAGTTTAAAAGAATGACACTTCTGGCCAGGTGTGGTGGCTCATGCCTGTAATCCCAGCACTTTGAGAGGCTGAGGTGGGTTAATCACTTGAGGTCAGGAGTTCGAGACCAGCCTGGCCAACATGGTGAAACCCTGTCTCTACCACAAAATACAAAAATTAGCCAAGTGTGGTGGTGCATGCCTGTAGTTCCAGCTACTTGGGAGCCTGAGGCAGGAGCATCGTTTGAACCCGTTGAACCCGGGAGGCAGAGGTTGCAGTGAGCCGAGAACGCACCACTGCATTCGAGAGTGAGACTCTGTCAGAAAACAAACAAAAAACAAAAAAAACCCCCCAAAAAAGCACAATAAAATTAAAAGAAAAAAGAATGACATTTCTGTTGACAAGGAAATGAGCACATTGCTAACAATAATGTATTTCACAAATGGTTTTCTGGGATAATAGTCTATTGCAGTAGCAGTCATTTAAGAAGAAATGTAACAATCATTTAAGATTTAAAATAATTGTTAGAGCTGTATATAAAAATACCTTTTTCCCTTTTAACTAAATATAACATAGATCAATTTGTAGTTAAACCTACCTTTGTTTTGTTTGTTTGTTTGTTTTTTCACTGCAGCCTTGATCTTCCAGGCTCAGGCAATCCTTCTGCTTCTTCCTGAGTAGCTGAGACCACAGGTGCACACTGCCACACCCAGCTAATTTTTAAACATTATTTGTAGAAATGGGGCCTCCCTATGTTGCTCAGGCGGTCTTGAACTCCTAGGCTCAAGCAGTCCTCCTGCCTGGGCCTCCCAAACTGCTGGGATAACAGGTTTGAACCACTGCACCTGCCCTAAACCTGACCTTTGAAACACCATTTACTCTACAAAGACTGTCTTGAAAGAAGTAAACTTTGCCTCTTAGATCGAAATATAAAGTAAGCTTAAAGAAATATTGAAAATGCAATAAATCTCTTTGTTCCTATAACACGACTCCTCTGCTAGTTCTTTATCCCAAAACATTAGTGCTATGAACTGAATTGTGTCTCCCTCAAAATCCATATGTTGAAGCCCTAACCCCCAAAGTAATGTATTTTAAAATGGGGCCTATAAGGAAGTAATGAAGGTGAGATGAGGTCATAAGGGTGGGGCCCTAATTCAATAGGATTAGTGTCCTTATCAGAAGAGACACCAGATAGCTTGCTGTCTTGCTCTCTCTACCCAAATGCACTCAGGAAAGGCAATGTGAGGACATAGTGAGAAGGCAGCCGTCTGCAAGCCAGGAACAGAGCCTTCACCAGAAACTGAATTCGTTGGCACCTGAATCTTGGACTTCCAACCTACAGAACAGTGAGATAATACATTTCTGTTGTTTAAACTCCTGATCATGAGGTCAGGAGTTCGAGACCAGCCTGGCAAACATAGTGAAACCCCGTCTCTACTAAAAATACAAAAAAAAAAAAAAAAATTAACTGGGTGTGGTGGTGGGTGCCTGTAATCCCAGCTACTTGGGAGGCTGAGGCAGCAGAATCACTTGAACCTGGGAGGTAGAGGTTGCATTGAGCTGAGATCACACCATTGCACTCCAGTGTTGGTGACAGTGCAAGACTGTGTCTCAAAACAAACAAACAAAAACATCAACTAAAGTCAAGTGTCTTCATTTCTTGTCTCATTTAAACTGATCCTTAAATGAAACTGCTCTTGCAACAATTATTAAGAGAAATCTGACCTAACTCTATCTTGCTTCTAACCTCACAGGATAACTGCCTTTATTAACTTTAAAACAAAGATAATAACAGTCCCTTCCTGAAATTAACCCCCTTCTTGCGTGGAGTCCAAAACCACCTGTGTAAGATTAATGAAAGGCCACAAAGTGAGGATTATGGGAGGGGCCTGAATTCTGCTAAGATGTAGGTTTAAACGATAACTATCCATTGTTCCCTAGCTTGCTTTTCTATAATCACTTACTACTCAACAAATTTGTAACTTCCCCAATTGCTCCTATAGATAACAACATGATTTTCAAAACCTAAGATTGGTTTTTAAGATATTTTTCAGACTTTTGCATTCTGGCAACCAAGTGACTCCACCCGACCTGTGACTTATGCCAAGGAATGAACTCAACCAGTCCTGTTACCCGCACCCAGAAACTGTCCCAAAGACTGTTTTAAACACTTGTAATTTCATCCCCAACCAATCAGTAGACCCGTTGTCTAGCTCCCTGCCTACCAAATTATTCTTAAAAATCCTAGGCTTTGAGCTTTCAGGGAAGTGGATTTGATAAATGTCTTTTGCTTGGCTGGCCCTGCAATTATTAAACTCTTTCTTTGCTGCAAAACCTGCTTTTCTGGGCAGCAGACAAGAAGAACCCATTGGGCTGTTACAAAACTATCAATCAGTCCTTTTGTTATGGGCTAAATTGTATCCCTCCACAATTCATGTGTTGAAGGCTCATCACCCAGTACTTCAGAATGTAACTGTATTTGCAGATAGGGTCTTTAAAGAGGTAATTAAGTTAAAATGAGATCATTGAGGTGGGTCTTATCCAATCCAACTGGTGTCCATATAAAAAGAGGAAATTGGCCGGGCGCGGTGGCTCACGCCTGTAATCCCAGCACTTTGGGAGGCCGAGGCGGGCGGATCACGAGGTCAGGAGATCGAGACCATCCCGGCTAAAACGGTGAAACCCCGTCTCTACTAAAAATACAAAAAATTAGCCGGGCGTAGTGGCGGGCGCCTGTAGTCCCAGCTACTTGGGAGGCTGAGGCAGGAGAATGGCGTGAACCCGGGAGGCGGAGCTTGCAGTGAGCCGAGATCCCGCCACTGCACTCCAGCCTGGGCGACAGAGCGAGACTCCGTCTCAAAAAAAAAAAAAAAAAAAAAAAAAAAAAAAAAAAAAAAGAGGAAATTAAGACAAAGACACTCATAGAGGGACAATAATCTCTAAGCCAAGGAGAGAGGCCTCAGAAGAAACTAACCCTGCTAGGCTAAGCCCCTTGATCTTAGACTTCTAGCCTCTAAAACTGTGAGGAAATAAATTTCTGTCGTTTAAGACACCTAGCATGTGGTACTTTGTTATGGCAGTCCTGTCAAGCAATACACCTGTGAAAGTGTGTATTACACTCCTCCCTTGGGCACTTGCCTACAGCTCTTCAAGTTTTCTTAGCTGTAAAGTTCCCCAGGATTGAAACACAGATTTTCGGAGATTTAAACTGAGGTCCTTTTCTGGCGGAGCGGGGAGACAGGATCTTGCTCTGTCACCTAGTCTAGAATGCAGTGGTGAGGCCATAGCTCATTTTTAACCTCAAACTCCTGGAACTAACTGACCCTCCCACCTCCATCTCCCAAGTATCTAGAACTATAGATATCACATATGTGCCACAAACCTGGCTGATTTTTTTAAATTTATTTTTTCTAGAGATGGGGCCTCTGTATATTGTCCAGGCTGGTTTTGAACTCCTGGCATCAAGTGATCCTCCTATTTTGTCCTCTCAAAGTACTGGAATTATAGGCATGAGCCACCATGCCTGGCCCAAACCCAGGTTTTATGACCACAATTCTAGTGTTTTTTTCTATTATAAAATCATAGTTTGCAATAAAATGATAGGAGTGCTGTGGGTAGCATTTAGGTACCAACGTAGAAGACACATACACTTAGTCAGATGTTAGCTACAGAGCCCATAAAAATCTCACAATTCCTCCCCTTCTGTTGTTGGCTGCAAATCAAGTCCAGCTTGGTCCCCATATTGGCAGGCTTGGGCCTCAGCTGGGTAACAGGAAGAATCCAGCCCATGAATATGGTAGGTGGGAGGACTTTGGATTGTGGCAAATAAGTAATTAGTTGCACATGTTTCTTTGTTAGTATAAAAAATTAAAAAGCATATGTATGTTGGATAATTATAGTTAGAATTAACTATTCAGTTTTTCATATTTAGCTTTGCTTTGTTTTCAGGCAAATTGTTTGATGAATGTATTCGCATTCCTATTCATTGATCCATAAAGTATATGTAGACATTTTAAAAGTATGAACCACGGTCTACTTATTTTGGTTTTCTTCAATGAAGAATGAAAGAAGCTTCTTTGAATTGGGCAAACATCAGTTAAAATAGAAATCAGACACCTGATACACGTGAAAAGGCAAGTTTATTTCTAAAAAAAGCATTTTATAATACTTTATGTAACTTTGAAATTAAGAACATTCTGTAACAATAATAAACTTAAATTCAAAACAAGGTAGAAGCAGAGATTAAGAATGAGATGGTAAAATGGGGGATTTGGTTCTGAGAGGATAATTCCCAATTGCCCTCTTAAGAGAAAGTGGAGTGTTTCCCAAACAGTCTGCATAGAACACTCTTTCTCCACCTCCTACCTCCCTTTGCCACTTATCTCTTAGTTCCCTGTTTAAATATCTCTTCTGGAGACAGGTCTTCCATGTATCCCAGACTTGTTAAATGTCCCTGTCATTCTTCCCCATAGTCCTTATGGCATCTCTGTAACATCACATTTGTTCTTCTTTGTTCCATGTCTCTTTTCCTGAATACGATGTGAACTCCACGACAGCTGTGATATTTGCCTTGTTCACTGCTGAATCACCAATATCTAGCAAATTTCTTGGCACAGAGCAGGAACTTAATAAATGTTGAATGAATAAAAAAATTAAGAAATTCAAACCTTCTTTGTATGCTTAAGGCCAAAGTAGTTTGCCTCTTTCCTTTTTTTCCCCCCAAAGCCAAGGCCTTACTCTGTTGCCCAAGCTGTAGTGCCGTAGTGATTATAATTCATTGCAGCCTCAAACTCCTGGCCTCAAGTGATCCTCTCACTTCAGCCTCCCAAAGCAATAGGATTATAGAAGTTTGTTTCTTAGAGTACTTGTTGAAAGAGAAACTAAGCTTTTCCTGATTCCTGGCATTTTTATCACTTTTGATTGAAGCTCCATGAGACCAGATACTGTTTTTACTCTTCATTCTATGATCTGGAGCCTTATGTGGCATACAGCAAGTTCAAAGATACATATACACAAATATCTCTTATAACAAAGACATATCAAATAAAATACTGGTAAATATCAATAAAAATCAGGCAAAAATATGTAAAATAAAGAGTAAAGATCAGGATGTAAGCAGATTACAAATACACCAAACCTTAAATTTGGTATTTCCTGGGAGTTAAAGTGAAGAGAAAAATAGTCAATTACTTAGATATTATTATCATAAAAGACAAAGTTATTAGGAGAGTTTTGCTACCTTAGAGGTACCTCCTAATACATTTTCTTTATAAATGTGGTGTTAATATAGAATTCATTAAATGAGTAATAGACAAAGTTTCCAGGAACATTCCTACATCCCATATGATAACACGTTGAATAGCCACTGATGAAAGCAAAGGTCTTGGCATTACAATGCAAATTCAGTGAAAGCTATTCTGCAAGGGGCAGAATGTGTCAAATATGTGACCTATTGTTTGCCCAAGGTTAGAATCCCTAAAGTAAAGTTTCTAAAGTACACGGAGGGGAGATCCTTTTTAAAAATGCATATGGCCGGGCTTAGTGGCTCATGCCTGTAATCCCGGCACTTTAAGAAGCTGAGGCAGGCAGATCAGCTGAGATCAGGGGTTCGAGACCAACCTGGCCAACATGGTGAAACCCCGTCTCTACTAAAAATACAAAATTAGCCAGGTGTGGTGGTGCATGCCTGTAATCCCAGCTACTCAGGAGGCCGAGACAGGAGAATCGCTTGAACCTAGGAGATGGAGGTTGCAGTGAGCCAAGATGGCGCCACTGCACTCCAGCCTGGGTGACAGAGAGAGACTCTGTCTAAAAAAAAAAAAAAAAAAAAAAAAGCTTATGCCTCAAGAGCTTGTGGGGATTAAATGAAATGATCCATGTGAAATATCTGGCACAATCAAAGCTTTCAGATAAGCTTTGGCTGTTATTCTCTGTGAACTTGATCACCTAAAGAGGGGTTTTTGTTGTTGTTGTTGTTGTTGCTTTCTTTTTTTATTATTATTATACTTTAAGTTCTAGGGTACATGTGTACAACCTGCAGGTTTGATACATAGGTACCCATGTGCCATGTTGATTTGCTGCACTCATCAACTCGTCATTTACAGTAGGTATTTCTCATAATGCTATCCGTCCCCCACACCCAACCCCCTGACAGGCCCCAGTGTGTGATGTTCCCTGCCCTGTGTCCATGTGTTCTCGTTGTTCAACTCCCACCTATGGGTGAGAACATGCGGTGTCTGGTTTTCTGTCCTTGTGATAGTTTGCTGAGAATGATGGTTTCCAGCTTCATCCATGTTCCTGCAAAGGACATTAACTCATCCTTTTTTATGGCTGCATAGTATTCCATGGTGTATATGTGCCACATTTTCTTAATCCAGTCTATCATTGATGGACATTTGGGTTGGTTCCAAGTCTTTGTTATTGTGAATGGTGCCACAATAAACATATGCATGCATGTGTCTTTAAAGTAGCATGATTTATAATCCTTTGGGTATATACCCAGTAATGGGATCGCTGGGTCAAATGATATTTCTAGTTCTAGATCCTTGAGGAATTGCCACACTGTCTTCCACAATGGTTGAACTAATTTACATTCCCACCAACAGTGCAAAAGCATTCCTATTTCTCCACATCCTCTCCAGCATCTGTTGTTTCCTGACTTTTTAATGATCACTATTCTAATTGGCGTGAGACAGTATCTCATTGTGGTTTTGATTTGCATTTCTCTGATGACCAGTGATGATGCGCATTTTTTTTCATGTGTCTTTTGGCTGCATAAACGTCTTCTTTTGAGAAGTGTCTGTTCATATCCTTTGTCCACTTTTTGATGGGGTTGTTTGATTTTTTCTTGTAAATTTGTTTAAGTTCTTCATAGATTCTGGATATTAGCCATTTGTCAGACGGGTAGATTGCAAAGATTTTTCTCCCATTTTGTAGGTTGCCTGTTCACTCTGATGATAGCTTCTTTTGCTGTGCAGAAGCTCTTTAGTTTAATTAGATCCCATTTGTCTATTTTGGTTTCTGTTGCCATTGGTTTTGGTTGTATTAGTCATGAAGTCTTTGCCCATGCTTATATTCTTAGTGGTATTGCCTAGGTTTTCTTCTAGGGTTTTTATGGTGTTAGGTCTTATGTTTAAGTCCTGAATCCTTCTTGAGTTAATTTTTGTATACGGTGTAAGGAAGGGATCCAGTTTCAGCTTTCTACATATGGCTAGCCAGTTTTCCCATCACCATTTATTAAATAGGGAATCCTTTCCCCATTGCTTGTTTTTCTCAGGTTTGTCAAAGATCAGATGGTTGTAGATGTGTGGTGTTATTTCTGAGGCTTCTGTTCTGTTCCATTGGTCTATATATCTGTTTTGGTACCAGTACCATGCTGTTTTGGTTACTGTAGCCTTGTAGTATAGTTTGAAGTCAGATAGCATGATGCCTCCAGCTTTGTTCTTTTTGCTTAGGATTGTCTTGGCTATGCGGGCTCTTTTTTTGGTTCCATATGAACTTTAAAGTAGTTTTTTCCAATTCTGTGAAGAAAGTCAGTGGTAGCTTGGTGGGGATGGCATTGAATCTATAAATTACTTTGGGCAGTATGGCCATTTTCACGATATTAATTCTTCTTATCCATGAGCATGTAATATTCTTCCATTTGTTTGTGTCCTCTTTTATTTTGTTGAGCAGTGGTTTGTAGTTCTCCTTGAAGAGGTCTTTCACATCCCTTGTAAGTTGTGTTCCTTGGTATTTTATTCTCTGTGTAGCAATTATGAATGGGAGTTCACTCATGATTTGGCTTTCTGTTTGTCTGTTAATGGTGTATAGGAATGCTTGTGATTTTTGCACATTGGTTTTGTATCCTGAGAGTTTGCTGAACTTGCTAATCAGCTTAAGGAGATTTTAAGCTGAGACAATGAGGTTTTCTAAATATACAATCATGTCACCTGTAAACAGATAATTTGACTTCCTCATTTCCTAATTGAATACCATTTATTTCTTTCTCTTACCTGATTGTCCCAGCCAGAACTTCCAACACTATGTTGAATAGGAGTGGTGAGAGAGGGCATCCTATCCTTCTCTTGTGCTGGTTTTCAAAGGGAATGCTTCCAGTTTTGCCCATTCTGTATGATATTGGCTGTGGGTTTGTCATAAATAGCTCTTATTATTTTGAGATATGTTCTATCAATACCTAGTTTATTGAGAGTTTTTAGCATGAAGGCTGTTGAATTTTGTCAAAGGCCTTTTCTGCATCTATTGAGATAATCATGTGGTTTTTGTCATTGGTTCTGTTTATGTGATGGATTGCGTTTATTGATTTGTGTATGTTGAACCAGCCTTGCATCCCAGGGATGAAGCCAACTTGACTGTGGTGGATAAGCTTTTTGATGTGCTGCTGGATTTGGTTTGCCAGTATTTTATTGAGGATTTCTGCATCGATGTTCATCAGGGATATTGGTCAAAAATTCTCTTTTTTATGTTGTGTCTCTGCCAGGCTTTGGTATCAGGATGATGTTGGCCTCATAAAATGAGTTAGGGAGGATTCCCTCTTTTTCTATTGATTGGAATAGTTTCAGAAGGAATGGTACCAACTCCTTTTTGTACCTCTGGTAGAATTTGGCTGTGAATCCATCTGGTCCTGGACTTTTTTTGGTTAGTAGGCTATTAATTATTGCCTCAATTTCAGAGCCTGTTATTGGTGTATTCAGGGATTCAACTTCTTCCTGGTTTAGTCTTGGGAGGGTGTATGTGTCCAGGAATTTATCCATTTCTTCTAGATTTTCTAGTTTGTTTGTGTAGAGGTGTTTGTAGTATTCTCTGACGGTAGTTTGTATTTCTGTGGGATCGGTGGTGATGTCCCCTTTATCATTTTTTATTGCGTCTATTTGATCCTTCTCTCTTTTCTTCGTTATTAGTCTTGCTAGCGGTCTATCCATTTTGTTGATCTTTTCAAAAAAGCAGCTCCTGGATTCATTGATTTTTTGAAGGGTTTTTTGTGTCTCTATCTCTTTCAGTTCTGCTCTGATCTTAGTTATTTCTTGCCTTCTGCTAGCTTTTGAATGTGTTTGCTCTTGCTTCTCTAGTTCTTTTAATTGTGATGTTAGGGTGTCAATTTTAGAACTTTACTGCTTTCTTTTGTGGGCATTTAGTGCTATAAATTTCCCTGTACACACTTCTTTAAATGTGTTCCAGAGATTCTGGTACGTTGTACATAGACTGCTTTTAACCAATCTCTTTCGAAGTTTCAAGGAGATGCCTATATATTCCTTTCTGCAGATGTAATAAAATAATAAAAATTTTATTTATCAAAATCCAAAGACAATGCTGCCCAGAAAAACATTTGGAACATGTTGGGCTACCACTGGGCTATAATTCTCAGGGAATCTCTGTTGGGAGGGAAAGTCAACTGCTGGACTCAGGAGCCTTTGGGCAGAGGCAGAGGGTGATGAAGACAGCTCTGGAGACGAATGAGTCTTAGCAGGTGGTTGGGTTGGTGAAATTCTTTGAGAAACAATGTAAGATATCTATACAATATAACACACACACACATATATTTTTTCATTCATGTTCCTGGCTCATAATTCCCAAAGCCCTTGTTAAAATCTTTTTTTATAATGTCGGGGTGCTTTAGGCCTCAGAAATAGGCCTTAGCAAACAGAATCTCTCTCTATGAGCTTCTCCTGCCCTCCTGTCACCTGCTCCTTTTTCTCCCCAAGGCAGTAATCTAATTTCCCCCTGTCTTTCCATAAAGAAACTCTCCAGTAAAACTGATTGAAGGTCATATGACCGCATTTGATAAGAGGTCCTGCCCCATACCCAGGAGGAAGGACTGCTGTGCAGAGTGGCCAAGAAGAATCTGAACAGGCCCTGCTGTGTTTCTCCAATCAGTCTAATAGTATTAGATTATATCCTGTTTGTCCAATCACTTCTGTGCAGTTGTTTATGCTTCAGTCATGCTTATCCAATGAGATCTCCATAAAAGACCCAAGAGGACAGGGCACAGAGAGTTTCCAGATAGCTGGACACATGGAGGTTCCTCGAGGGTGATGCACCCCGGGAGGGAGGTCATGGAAGCGCCTTTCCCCTTCTCCCATACCTCACCCTACGCATCTCTTCATCTGTATCCTTTGTGATATCTTTTATAATAAACGGGAAAATGGAGGTGTTTCTCTGAGTTCTGTGAGCCACTCCAGCCAATTAATTGACCTGCTCTACCAAATTAGTTGAACCCAAGGAGGGGTGGTATCACTGATATGTAGTCAGTAGGTGGGTCAGAAGCACAGACAAAACAACTGGGGCCTTGTGACTGGCATCCAAAGAGGGGAGCAGCCTTGGGGACAGAGCCCTCAACCTGTGGGATCTGACACTATCTCTAGGTAGATGGTGTCAGAATTGAATTGAATTAGAGGACACCCAGTTGGTGTCCGCTCCAGAACTGATTGCTTGCTTACTGATGGAGGCAAATCTCCACACATTTGGTCACAGATGTCTTTGGTGTTGATTGTTGTGGTGTGAGAGCAGAGGAGAAACAGTTTGAGTTTTTCCTATTCAGTGTGTCACTCTTCAGATTTTTAGAAAATGATCGGGTTTTTCATGGAACCAAGTACTGGTTAGAGTTATTTACTGGGCCAGAGCAGGAGACAGAATCCAAGAGTTCCATGAGTTGTAGGAGTGGAGACAGAAGACCAGGAGCCTTAGGAGTGGAGACAGGAAATCAAGAATTCTCAGAAGTTGTGAGTAAAACACTGGTTGTGAAGTTTAGTGATGATGGTAGCAAGAAATGCAGCTGGTTTAACCTGATTTTAAAGGGGGCTTTATGCCTTTTATTGCACTGCTGCCTCTTAACTTTAAGCCCATTCTCATCACTCTGTTTTATAATAACCTGCAAACCATATTACTGCTTTGCCACCTTGTCCTCTGTGAGGATCTACCAATAAAAGATGCGAGAGGGAGACTGCACTTCTTCAACATGGCAGTGGCAGTTTGTTCCAGAAGCAGCGGTTGAATCCAGTTTGCAGTTTTTCTAATATGCAGAACCAGCGTTGTTGCTTTGCCTCAGAGACACTAGTACCAAGCAGCCGGTGATTCCTCCTAAGAGGTCTGGGTCTTAGTCCTGTGGGGCCCCTTGTCTGATGTCAGGAATCATCATCATCCCTCTCCTCATAGGTTGAGTTTCAGCTCAGCGGGGGCCCCTTCTCCAATCTGTTCATGGTAAAGAAGGGCACACCAGTATAATACAATACAAAAGTCTCAGTAATGTGACCATGATAGAGACCCCAAGAAAGGGTTTTTTGTTGTTGTTGCGTTGTTTTGTTGTTTTGTTTTGTTTTGTTTTGTTTTGTTTTGAGACGGAGTCTCGCTCTGTCACCCAGGCTGGAGTGCAGTGGCATGATCATGGCTCACTGCAACCTCTGCCTCCCGGGTTCAAGTGATTCTCCTGCCTTGGTCTCCCAAGTAGCTGGGACTCCAGGTGCATGTCACCATACCTAGCTAATTTTTGTATTTTGAGTAGAGACGGGGTTTCACTATGTTGGTCAGGCTGGTCTCGAACTCCTGACCTCAGGTGATCTGCCCGCCTTGGTCTCCCAGAGTGCTAGGATTATAGGCGTGAGCCACTGCACCTGGCCTAAGGGTCTTTCTTGAGATATAGGAGAGTTAGAGAGGATTTGCTGATGGGGAGGTTCTCTGTCTGCTGAGGCTGGGGTGGAAGAGATGCCTTAAGGGGAACAATTTGATTCTGCCCCCTGCCCCCATGTCTAAACAATCAGACCAAGGGAGAAAGCAGTATCCCCAAAAGGGCTTTGGAATACGTCACTCTTCAATCTGTAGGCTTATGGCTCGTGGGTCAAATCCCACCCACAGTCTGTATGGCCAGTGAACTAAGAATGGATTTTGCTTTCTAAAAATTGTTGGAAAATAAGTCAAAAGAATATTTTGTAACCTATGAAAATTTTGCAAATCAAATTTCAATATCCATAAATGACATTTTATTGGATCACAGCCACACTAATTTGTTTCAGTATTGTCTATGGCTACTTTTATGCTACAATGGCAGAATTTAGTAGTACAATAGAGACTGTGTGCCCACAAAGATGAAAATATTTACTCTCTGGCCTTTTACGAAAAAGTTTGTGGATCACTGCGCAGAAGAAGGAAAGGATGGAGTCTAAGAAGGAGGTAGATTGGGATTAGCCTTTCAGGGAGATCAGTTAAGATGCCAAAAATGGATAATGTGTTTGTGTGTCTTCTTAGCGGCCCCTCTGAGAGACTGTGTAATAGGTTTGTCAGGATGCTAGGTATTTTCCTCAGTGGGGAAATAAAAAGAAATGGTGAAAAATCATTTATCTGAATTTTGGGTAGATTCTCTTGGTGGGAAAATAGTTTGAAGTGGATACAAGACTATATTTTTTCAGCTGGCCAGGTGCAGGGTCACCTGTGGGGCACATAGGCTTTCAAAGGTAGTAGCACATAGGCAGGGTGGCTCGGAGAGAGTTAATGGTAGAATCAGCAGGATGGTGATGGAATGTTGTGTAGTGTGACGGTCCTGGGGGAACTCTTATTCCTCATCACTGACTTTCCCTAGAGGAGAGGAGGCTCTGCTCCTCTTTCTAAGACAGTGAACACTTCTGGTTTCTTTCCCTACTTCTATCCATTGGGACCACTTTACTAGTGGGTGGGGCTACCTTGCTTTCAAAACAAGATACAGGCTCAGCTCTGGTTTTCTTTCTCTCTTGCCTGTCTCATGGATCACTAAGAAGGGTAGTGGGCTTTATTCTGCTTGCTGTCCCAAGATGGTGAGATTCTGGGGTAAGAATCTGTTTCGGCATGCTTTCCAAAGGCAGCCCTGGAAACTGATCATTCTCTCCATTCCTCTGACTTTATCTGTGAGATAGGCATTAGTCTGGCTGGGTATATACATTTAGATTTGCAGATCTACCTTTCCCCACAGGTAGGTCCCAAGGTGCACATTCACAGAGAGGTAGGCCCTCGTCTCATTTTTAGTGTAGTTTTAGCAGGGATTTTGTGGGATATTAGACCCTTATATGACTCGTAATAAAGATGATATGCTAATGAGATACTCTTTGATTCCTTGTGTCTGCGTTCAGCTAATTATAACTTGGAGAAGATGGGTGATTGGTGTTCTGTGGCCTTCAACATTCATGGCCATGAATCTTCAGAAAAATTGTAAATATAATACACTTGGTGTTTGGGTTCCCTCAGGAAGATGATGAGGGACAGAGTTTGTGCCATGTGGCCATGTGGAGAAGAACTTTAATGTCATGCAGGAAGCAAGAACCTGCTCTTCTATCCAGATGTCTAGTATTTTCACATTCTGTAACCTGAAGCTGTTGACTTCATAGTTCTAGTGATGCAGAGTAACTTCAGAACTTGAGATGGAGAAAGTAAATCTACTTCATAAATCACAGGGTTATCTTCTTATTTCAGCTCTGTTGATAACTTCATGTTATAAGATATTATCTTTTTCTCTTCTTCACTGAAAACAGACCTTGGTATATAATTCTAAGATTGGTCTGGATTCATGGTCCTTCAATTTCTTTAATGTTTCCAAAGAGTTTTGTGTGTGTGTGCAAACACTTCTATACAAAAACTGGTATTTGCTTCACTTCCCCCTTCTAATCTCAACCCCTAGTCCCTTCTTTTATTAATCAACTCCTAGAAGAGTGACTTGCAGTATGTGTATATTAGAGCAATAATTCTTGCCAAAAAGTATCCAGAAGTAGATTTATATCAGAATTTGAAATATAAGGGATTCAGAGATTCTGCAGGACTTATAATATCTTCTTACAGTGTTACTTCAGAATTAAATAAAATGAGAGAAAGTAAAGGGTATAGTATCATTCCTGGCACAAAATACACATGTACTATTATTATTATTTTATTTTATTTTATTTATTTATTTATTTTTGAGACAGAGTCTTGCTCTGTCGCCCAGGCTGAAGTGCAGTGGCGCGATCTCCACTCACTGCAAGCTCCACCTCCTGGGCTTACGCCATTCTCCTGGCTCAGCCTCCCGAGTAGCTGGGACTACAGGTGCCCGCCACCATGCCCGGCTAATTTTTAGTATTTTTAGTAGAAATGGGGTTTCTCCATGTTAGCCAGGATGGTCTCGATCTCCTGACCTCATGATCCACCCACCTTGGCCTCCCAAAAGTGCTGGGATTACTGGCATGAGCCACCATGCCCGGCCTACATTTGCTATTATTAATACTGTCCATTGAGAATAGCAAAGATAGATTTAAAAACCCGAAAAAATATATATTTATTTTATAATTAAAAACAAAATAGAGGGTGGCCGAGGCAGGTGGATCACTTGAGGTCAGGAGTTTGAGACCAGCCTGACCAACATAGTGAAATCCTGTCTCTACTAAAAATACAAAAATTAGCCGGGCGTGGTGGTGGGCGCCTCTAATCTCAGCTACTGGGGAGGCTGAGGCTTGAGAATCACTTGAACCTGGGAGCAGAGGTTGCAGTGAGCTGAGATCGTGCCACTGCACTCCAGTCTTGGCAACAGAGTCAGACTCTGTCTCAGAAAATCAAATCAAATAAAAACAGAATAGAAATCTCAAATCTATCTCCATACTTAATTTCTAGCTTCAGTGATGCAAATGACTTAATGGACTAAGACCACGTTTCATCACAGGCATAGAATATTATGGCTGGCAAGGCCAGTGGAAGGCATCCGACATAACTTCTTCATTTTACTTATGCACACACTGAGATAGAGATTGTCTAATTGGTTCCCAAGATTCTATCACTCTTTTCACTATTCACAGATGCAAAACATCTTGATGAAATCTGGATGTTTAAAAGATCTGGATATTTATTTTGGCCTCTGTAGATTTTTAAAAGAATGTTTTCACTTTTATTTTGCATGTTAGTCCCCATGTAGCCAAAGCCTTTATCCTCTTCAACAAAAAACTATGAGGTGCAGTCACTGCAATGTCTACAGAAAAACAAAGTTATGAGGTCACTAAAACCAAAGAGTTTGAAGCTGAAAAATTGGCTTTGATTATCATATGTCAGTAGAATGCCCGAACTGTGGAACTGATTCTTAGAGTAAATCATTACTAATGGTTTTCCCATTGGGGGTGGGGGCTGCATGATTTCGATAAGATGACTCGGGGCCTGCGGTCACCAACTCATCCATGATTAAATGTTGCTTGTGAAAACTGTGGGTGATTTTCAGTTCTGACCAATTGAATACTTACAGTATATTCTGGGAAAGGTGTGTTTTGCTTAGGTGGCAACATTAGGAAAAAGGAAGAAGGATTTCCCTATGCCATTTTCAAAATGAATGTGATGGCTCCTTATCTCGTTTCTTTCATTGGTCTGCTAGTCCCATTATGTCAGGGATTATATTATTATAACATAGATTATCTTATTAAAACAGATTCTAACACAGAAAACAAAATCAAAATGAATTAAAAAACTACACTAGCCAAAATCTACATACTTCAGGAAACCTCCAATAAATAGCCATAATTTACCTAATATTTTGAATCATTGAAATGAAATCTCAGAACACAATGAATTCCATAAAAATGTTTTAATATACTCTTGTTATTTATCTCTAAATGCCTTTTAAGTTTCCCCCAGTTATTTATTGAAAATCTTTGCCTACAGCAGACAGTGCCGGATTTGAGCCTTGGCTCAGTTACTTTCTATCCCTATTATCTTGCGGGTAATCAGTTTCTTCATCTCCAAAATAGAGATGAAAATGGTCCTATCTCATGCGATTGTTGCAAGGCTTAATGAGAACATGGAAAGCACTTAGCATAGTGTCTGGTATGTAGCAACTACTCATCAAATGCATGCAATAATTATTGTCTGTCCATTTCGCTTTTCCATGGGGGGCAGGAACGTATATTGGGAAGCACATGGTGTCTGGAGTGAGTCTGTTCTGGGGTCTAGTTCTGAGTCAGCCACTTACTCCATGTGGCATCTTGAGAAATTTAATTAACCATTTGAGCCCTATTTCCTCATTTCTAAAATGGATATAATAATATCCAGTTCACTGGGTTGTTGTAAGCACAGTGCCTATTAAGTCCTCTTCTTACCAATCAATTATCAACAAGTGAACATTTATGAAGTCTATTCCAAGGACAATGCAAAGCACAAGGTGTAACAGGAAGTTTTAATAGAAAATAAACGCGCGTTCTCCACCACGGCCAAGGAGAGCATCTAACAAGTCATGCCAACCATGCACAATGAATTGCTGATGATATATGCAAATTAAAGTGGATCTCTAATCCATGCCCATTTATATTTTTCGAGTGTAGATGTGGATAAATTTTCAATGAGAGCCTTTTTCCTGGTATTCTTACAAGTCAGCAGATCTCCAAAGCCCAACTAAAATATGGGCTGATTAAAGACTCCAGAAAAACTGAAACAGTCGCAAACTGCTCGGTGGCCAGTGCCACAGAAACTAGGACGAAACGAGCCTCTTCTTTCTAACCAAGGGCAGATCTCAGGCTCTCTTGGGGAGGTAAAGCGGAAGGGTGAAATGCCGGTCAAGTTGCCTAGACTCTGATGGAAGCGGTGGCCAAAGGGCCCCTCCCCAGTGTCACCAGCCTCCCCATTCCTGTCACGGAGGATTTTCCTCAGGCGTCGTGACAGACCCGAGGCGTGTTGCCGGGGCCCGCCGGGCCGAGGAGGAGCCGACGCGGCCCGGGGAACTCCAGTCCTCACACGGTTAACGCTCTTCCAAGGAGAGTGGAGGAGGGAGGGTCCCCGCCCACGAGAACGAAGAGAATCTCAGGGCCGAAGCCCCGCCTCAGCCGGCCCGGCCCCTCCCCGCCAGCCCGCCACCCAACTCGGGCCGCACCAGGGGCCGCACCTGCCCGCGCGCACACGCCCCCCGCGCGCCAGGCCTCGCCGCCGCCGCCGCCCTCGGCACGCGCCCGCTGCGGCTGCCCCCCACCGCCCTGCCTCGGCGCGGGCCACAGCGCACGAGCCGCCGCCGCCGCCGCCGCGCTCCTCCCCGCCGCGGACGCCGCCCCCGCGTAACCGCCGAGGAAGCCGAGGCGAGCCCGGGTCGGGCGCGAGGGCGCGCGGGCCGCTGCTGCCACCGCGGGTGTTCCCTGCGCTCCCGCTCCAGCTAGGACTCTCTCTGCCGCCTCCTCCTCCTCCTCCGACCTCAGTCCTCACCACCCTCCTCCCGCTCCTCAAAAGCACCCCCGAGTCCCCACCCCCTCACGCCGCACCCGCGGGAACGAGGCCTTGGGAATTCAGGGGAGTGGCTGTGGGGGCGCGTCGCGGCTCCCAGCTCGGCCAGCCCCTCTTTCAAGACATGGTCTGATCCCCATTGTAAAAGCTGCGCCCCGAAGAGGAGGAGAGAGTCGTGCTCCCTGCCTGGGGCTGCAGGGAGCTCTCCGTGCTGAAGCTCTTGCATTATTTTAGGGTGGGGCGAAGAGGGCCCTGGATTTTGGGGAGTGGGGGTGGGTGGGGAGGAGGACCCGAGGGGGGCAAGGACTCTGTGGGGGAGTCGGTGAGAGACTATGGGGAAGGACCAGGAGCTGCTGGAAGCTGCTCGCACTGGAAATGTGGCTCTGGTGGAGAAACTCCTGTCTGGCAGGAAAGGAGGGATCCTGGGCGGTGGATCCGGACCCCTGCCCCTGTCTAATCTGCTAAGGTAAGGACGGGCACCAGCTCCGGGGTTGGCACACCTCATTATGCATTGTGATGGATATACGTCCTCCTCCTCACGGTTATTGCACCTGGTGGCTGCCAGCGATTCATTCTTAAATTAGGTAGGAAAACAGACTGCGTGTATGGAGAGGAGGTATGAGCCTCCCAGTCAGATTGATGCCTTAGATTCTTTGAGTAATTTTAAAATAGCCTTCCATCAATGCGTCAGTAAGCTACTTTTCCTCTGAGCCCTGGTGCAGAACTTGTACATGTACTAGTGTTGCTTGAAGAAAATCGACGTTCCGCCCGCTTTCCATCAACATTTATTACATATTTGCAGCTTTGAACGCAGCCTTTTTTGTCTAGTTAAATGAAATTGGCAGAGAATCTCTTGCGTGCATGCAATTACCCTGCAAAAGCCACAGCCTTCGGTGGCTCCTACCTTCTCTTGCAGAAGGCGTTTGCTGTGCCGTGGGTTATGATCCCACAAAATGAAGTGAGTGAACCTTCTTTCTGGTGAGATGTCTTCAGCACAGGGTGTGTATAAAACTTGATGGGGCAGGTTAGGCAGCCCCAGCAATACTTTCAGTTACCTGGACATAGCTGAGTGAAACTTGGTTGTTATAGCTCAGGATGAAGGATGCCAGGTTGGTATTGGGATACTGTATATGGAGTACGGTAGAGGCCTTTTAACGTGAAGATGTCGTAGGTGAGACTGGTATTGCTTGGAGAATCTTTCTAAGATGACATTTAAAAAAAATGTCAAGGTCTTCATTCAGCAGTACCTTGGAAATAGCGGGGTTGATTTCCATACTTGAGAAACTATTAAAAGTTGTATTGATGGACAAATGAAATCAACTGGGAGGGAGGAAGCCTGGAGAGTATTCACTAGATACAATTCAAGGGAAGCTCTTTAGTTTCTAAAATCGTGGCTATCCAATTTATCCTGGGTATTTTTGGAGTCATCAATTGTCATTCATATCTTCGCCTTAAAACATCTCTTGGATAACCCAACTATAGTTGTAAAAATTTTAGAAAGCCCAAGTGATTTCCCTGGTTTTTTAAAAACTGTTCCATGCTACCCTTGACAAGTGCTTAATAGAAACTTTTGGGTGATGACATTGCGTTCTTTACACAAGTTCTCATAGGTTGTGGTGGTCAGACAGTGCAATTAATTATAGGGCTAGCTAAAAGGGAAAATGGAAAGTTTCTATTACAGTGAAATAAATTGAGTTGAAAAATAGTCGATGGGATTTTAAAAAGCCCCATATGTTATTCTATATACTCGTTGACAGTGACATTTTATTGGAATGATAGTTCATGTCAGAAGAATGAATATTTATGGGACATTTTTTCAATAGGTCATAGAGATGACTTGTGTGTACTCCCTTGTTAAATAATCTTCTCTTTCAAACACAGGTAGACAATGTGTGCATATTTCAGATTGCAGCTCTAATAATTGCCTGTAGTCACATGTAGTTTATGTGAAAGCAATTTATCTCTTTACAGTTTTAAGTTACACGTAAAATAACAACGTTTGCTGTGGATCCATCAGTTATAAAAATGATTATGTCTAAAAACTGGTATGCTGAAAGAATTTTCTCAAAATAAACAATTTCTTCGGGAAAACATGAGGAATTATTTGAGAACAGTGAGAATTTCACTTAATTTTATTGTGATAAATCGTATTTTAAAAACACTCCTTGTGACAAAACTCAAAAGCAAACATCCTTTAAATACTCCTTTCCCAGCTGTGATTTTTTTTTTTTTTTTTAAAGAATAGATGTCAAGTTTTAGGGATAAAACACCAAGTATTTAATGTTAGTGGACACTAAAGTATCAAAATAGTGACCCACAGTGTATATCTTGAGTGAGAGGTTTTCTCTTTTGCTGGTGTAGTAGTAGTAGTAGTAGCTCTACAACAAAGATTGCACATAGAAAACAAAAGTAAACAACATGTGTTTATTAGAGTACTTCGAACCAAGTTGTAAAAATCACAAACAAAACCAATAACCTTTAAACTTGCTTTTATCCATCTTATACTGAATAGTGTCTGAAGAAAATGAGAGTTGAAATTGTATTCTTTGGGCAATCATTTGCATAAAATGACATTCCTAAGAAGGCACATTTTATTTAGTTGTCACTTTATTTCAAAAATGATTGTCATCAGAAATTTATTGGCAGGATAATGGAAAATGTGTCCCCCGTCAAACATAATGACACTTTGAAATTTCTTAATGTTTTAGAAGGAACTGTAGAATATGTTTGGCACTTTTTCCCCGCTTGCTTTATTACCTGGGTTGTGTAATAATGGTGTCAGACCCTATGCTAAGTGCTTACACGTGTCATCTCATTCAATTCTTGTGTCAGCCTTAGGAGGTCCATTGTCATTTCACAGATGAAGGAATAAAAAGATAAGATTAAGGACTTGCCCATGGTCACTTAATTAATAATGGCAAAGATTTGAAAATCTGTGATTCAGATTTGTTTTACAACATTTTAAGTCTCATTCATTGAATCTGTTTTATTCACAAAAGTTTAAAGGTATGTGGCCAATTTAGACAGGCCAATCTGAACATTTTTTGCTATGAAGAATAATTTGAAATTCCTTAAATTTTGGTATTTTTTTCTAATTAAAAAAATCTCACAACTGCCCTTTGAGGGTTCACTAGACAAGAACTTTTCTGAAGATGCTTCTGATTACTTGTTATCTACTGGTAATAAGAAATTATCCTTTCAACAGTAACTATGTAATGGGGAATCAGGTATGCTTTTGGGTGGCACTGCAATTTTCAGCAAATGTAAGAATGCCATTGAATAAATTTAAAAACCTCTCTAAGCCTCACTATTCTATCAGAGTGGAAATAGTAATAATAGTACCTATCATATAAGATCATTATAAGGATTAAATGAAGTATAAAGTAATGAATGCAAAACATTTAGCATATAGGTGTTCATCGTTAGTGTTAATATTTTTCATGCACCTCTAAAGCACTTGACTGTATTCTTTAAGGCCTTAATGACTAAAGATTTGCTTCCTATTGGACTGGGAGTAAATTTCCCATAGCAATCATAGAATCGTCAAATAAGGAGGGAACTTTCTTCCAACTTCTCACCTAGTGCGGAAATTTTCTCTGTAACATTTCTTACCTGTTAGTTATTCCAGCCCTGTTAAACCTTCCAATGACTAGATTCATTCTATTTTTGACAGCTGTAATTATTTTAAAATTTTTCTTTTCATTGAGCTAAAATCCACTTCCCTGTGACTTTCAGCAATTGGTAGTAGATTGGCTGTATGGGTCAATATAAAGCAGTCTAATTCATCTGCAGGATAGTTCTTTAGATGCATGTATTTTTGTTTTCTTATAAGTATTTTTCATGGAAGAGCTATCATCTCTGTTAACCTTTTATATGGCAAGACAGCATAGATGTTAAGAACTTAGTTTTCATACTTTTCTCTACTCTCTCTTTCCTTCTTTACATATTCTCAAATTTTGCAATGACCCTCTTAAAGTATGGTGACTAGAAATTCACAAAATGCAGTAGATGTCCCTTGACCAGAGTAGAACATTATGGCTGAATAAGAAAACCAAGGACAGCAGGTTACAAGAAGCATTTATAGTATGATCTTATTTTTGCAAGAAAAAATAAGTTTGTTTGAACACTTATAATGTGCTTAAGAAGTCTGGAATGATAAGATGCCAAAATGAAGATAGTATTCATCTTTGAGTGGTGGAATTGTGGTTGGGCTTTATTTTCAGTGTTCTGTAATGAATATGTATTATGTAATTAAAATAAAATAGCAGCTATTAAAACATGATACAATGAAATTATTATCTCTTTATTATTGATCTAAGACCTACCTACAGGTCAAGATTTTCTGGGCCATGTAATGGTGTTGGCTCATGTTGAACATACAGTCAATTAAAATTTCCTGGTATTTTTTTTTTTCAATGACCTGTGAAGCCAGGTCCCCTTTCTGGTACTTTTAAAAGTGTTGATTGAGCTTAAATTATTCCTGTTCCTTTTTATCTGATTTGTTTTATGTTGTATTTGTAATTTCTCTATATCTTTTTGACTCTTTTTTTTCTTCTTTCTGACTCTTGAGTCTGTCTTTCAGCGTATTAACTTCTCTCCCCTGTATCATCCAGAGATGTAATAAGCATGTTTTCTATAACCTAAATTCAACACACTGTGCTATATCCCCAAAGCACCTCTCTTCAACTTAGTATAAATTTAAAAGTAACAGTCTTTACTCATGGTATTTCTACCAGGATTGAAGCCACGCAATGACAATCAGCTATTTCTCTCCATTGTTCCTGTGAGAATATTGTGAGGTATTTTATCTACTGCCTTTCTAAATTCACACTGTATTTAAGTGTATGGCATTCTTTTGATCTATCCTTTAAATTCCATCAAAATCAGTCTACTTTATTATGGCTTGTTTCTGGCAGTGAGCCATTGGTAATTCCTAGTATTGGCAAAAATTCCTTCTACCCTCTTGCATCTAATTCTTCTGGGTCTGGATATGCATACTTATTTAAAGCAGCTTACTGTCCCTTATGGTCTCGTTTGGACCTTCAGTAATCTCCTGAAGTTATTTGTTTATCCCTTCTGATTTGAAAATGGTTCTCAATAGGGAAAATAGAAGCAAAATAAAAGTTGGGAAGAATTAGATTCTTGGCATTGTTAGATATCATAGAAAATTATCTTGTGGTTTAAAACTACCCACAGTTTTCCTTTTACTCTGCCAGAACTGAAGGTGAAATTAGTGAACTGTTACACCTCTTTTCTCTTTTTCAAACTTAGCTAAAAAGGACATTAGCATTTTTCCTGGACAAGTATATATTTCTTTTTTTGTGTTTGCTTGCAGTTATACCTCTTACTACCCCCTTTCATCCTTAAAGAAATCTGAGCTCATCAGAGCACTAAAATTGAGTTGCCTCCCTCCTTTTCTTCCTCTACATTTTATGTGAAATTTCAGTTTATTTAACATATCTTTTATGAGACAGCTGCAAAATCTTAAAAAAAAACCTCTCTTCCTTTGGCACAACTACCTTTTATTCTAAACAAAACTAATTTCCATTTAAAATGTATATTTAATTAATTTTTTGCTGAGTATAGGATAGAGAATTATTTGTATTTTAATACAGTGATAAAACTTTATTAATGCCTCAATTTATTTGATTTTCTTAATGCCTCGAAGAGTTGAGTTTTATATAAGGTGTATTTAGTAAATTCTTGTCAGAAATAAATAATACAGTTCTTAAGATCCCCATGTGAAAAAGTAGATCAATAAGAAGTGGAGCAAAACAATCTTCTGGTCACCAAAAACATAAAAACCAGAGAGCTTATAATTTTTCAGATTTAGGATTCAGCTCATGTCATTTTGGTGATGAATACAGGGAGATAACAGACAACTAGGAAGTACTGTAATTTTCACAACTATTTGGGCAATTGTGGTTATTGGGACCCTGATATAAGAAACTCACTTTCAGGGAAACTGCATTGGTTAAATGGAATAAATCACAAATAGAGCAGTTAAGCTCCATGAAAATGTTATATCTATAAAAATAGTCAAGTTGCAAGTGGGTTATCTATTTTAGATAGTAATGATGTTTGAAGTGGTGATTGCACCATTATGTTCAGGGAGCTGTATCTGCCAGAGTGAACAGTGCCAGCTGCATGATGGGGAGTAAGGAGAAAGGAGGGTGAATTTTGGTATTGACCTCTTTCTCCACTGAGCAGGGTTTTCAGCTCCCTTTTCAAAACACTGAGGGTGATGTGTAGCAGTGAACTAGGGCAGCCAGCCAGTGACTACTACTCAACCTGTCCATCCATTGCACAGTTTCTTGTGTGACTCGATTTCTTACAGATGACAAAGGCTGATGCAAGTCTTCACTGACATTAAGGCAGAAGCATATAATATTTATTAGTGCCTCTGCTGACTTTAGCAACTTAACCTTTCAGGTGACAGTAAACAATTTGATTAGTTCAGTTATATACTGAAATAATTTTGAGGTAATTTTGGAAAATTCTATCAGAAGCCTATGATAGAACATTATTCCTGAGTATTTAACTAGAAATGGAAGCTGACTATAATGCCAGACAAAGGTTAGAAAAGACTAATTTCAACCTATGGAACCTGAAGATATTTAACACTTAATGCATTTTAGAGTGTCTTTAGTTTCCGTTTTGGACATATTGCAGAATGATGTTAGTTAATTAAAATACAGTGAGTTTTTATTACTCATCATATGTTGATATGGGAGAATATTTTATATTTGAAAAAGGAATTTACAAAGAAGACGCTTCTATCTTCCAGTTCTTTCTCATGCATGTGAGGACATGGTTATGTAAGCCGTACGGGCAGGCAGAGGCACAATGCCAGTTGAAAACTCATTGAATTTTCTTGTGTAATACAGATCTAGAAACTTTTCTTAAGAGTCTACTTTTCTTCTTTGGTGTCAGTAGGATATCAAATACATTTTACATTTGTGTTAAATCTGGATGAGGCTTTTAATTGATATTTGAAGATGGATCAAAAAATATGACCAAAGGATAAATTTTGTTTTCCACAGTGCTATGATTTGAGTGTTGTCTCCAAAACTCATGTTGAAATTTATTTGTCATTGTGACAGTATGAAGAGATGGGATCTGTCTGGACGTGGTGGCTCACACCTGTAATCGCAGGCTTTGGGAGGCTGAGACGGGAGTATCACTTGAGGCCAGGGGTTCAAGAATAGCCTAGGCAACATAGTGAGACCCTGTCTCTATAAAAAACAAAACAAAACAAAATGGCCAGGTGTGGCATTGCACGTCTGTAGCCCCAACTACTTGAGAGGCTGGGTGGGGAGAATTGCTTGAACCCAGGAGTTTGAGGCTGCAGTGAGCAATGATCATGCCCCTGAACTCCAGCCTAGGTGACAGAGTGAGACCCTACTCAAAATAAAAACAAAACAAACAGGTGAGATCTTTTAGAGGTGATTAGGCCATGAGGGCTCTGCATGTATGAATGGATTAATGCCATTATTGTGGGAGTGGGTTAGGTGTCATGGGAGGCTCCTCACAAAATAATGAGTTCAGCCCAATTTCCTCTTTCTGTTGCCCATGCTTGCTTGCCCTTCTGCCTTCTGCCATGGGATGATGCAATAAGAAGGTCCTCACCAAATGCTGAGCAAATGCTAGTACCATGCTCTTTTACTTCCCAGCATCCAGAAATGTGAATCACAAAAACATACATTGTTTGTAAACTACCCAGTCTCAGGTACTCTCTTATAGGAACACAAAATAGACTAAGACACTCTGTTTCTTCTACTGCACTGTCCAGAGTGTTCATCTCTGAATCTGATTCTTATGAATCATGTTTCTTATTAAATGACATGTCTTCATGGATCTAGTTGTGAAATGGAACTTTGATTAAGCTGTGCAGTAGAGTTATTTGGATTCTATTGTGTTATGAGAGTAGCTTTATTTGAAGTGGTTAATCACTTCTAGTTAACTGAACTGAAACAAACTGCTTAGACTTGTTACCATTCTTTGATCAAATTGGATCAAATCTTGATTGATGGATGTGAGCATAAACAGCCAACCTCCTTTCCTGTTTCTATTTCCCACACCACATTCCCTTTAACCCTCCTCAATCACATCTCAGAAAAAAAGCGTTTTTTTCTAATTACTACAAGTTCACCCTGGCTCCAGTTTTTGTGCCAGCTGGCATCATCTCTAGATTCCAGCCTATCTGAATATTTAAAAAAAATTTTCAACAGATTTTAGATACAGGAAGTATGTATGTAGATTAGTTACATGGAAATATTGCATGACACTGAGGTTTGGAGCATGGATCCTGTCACCTAGGTAGTGAGCATAGTACCTAATAGGCTGTTTTTTAATCTACCCCCCTTCCACCCTCTAGTAGTCCACTGTGTCTTTCGTTCCCTTATTTATGTCCACATATGCTTTATATTTAGCTCCCACTTATAAGTGAGAACATGTGGTATTTGGTCTTCTGTTCCTGTGTTAATTTTCTTAGGATTATGGCCTCCAGCTCCATCCATGTTGCTGCAGAGGACATGGATTCATTCTTTTTTATGGCTACCTAGTATTCCATGGTGTATATGTACCACATTTTCTTGTCCAGTCTACCATTGATGGGCATCTAGATTGATTCCATGTCTTTGCTATTGTGCATAGCACAGCAATGAACATGAATGCATGTGTCTTTTTGGTAGAATGATTTATTTTCTTTTGGGTATATACACAGCAATGGGATTGCTGGGTCGAATGGTAGCAATTTTAGGTTCTTTGAGAAATCTCTGTACTACCTTCCACACTGACAGACAACCTACAGAATGGGAGAAGATATTTGCAATCTGTGTATCTGACAAAGGCCTAATATCCAGAAGCTATAGGGAACTTAAGTCAACAAGCAAAAAACAAGTAACTCTATTAAAAAATGAGTAAAGTACATGAACAGACATTTCTCAAAAGAAGACATACAAGTGGCCAACAAACATAAAAAATGCTCAGCATCACTAGTTATCAGAGAAATGCAAATCAAAACCACAGTGAGAGATAGCATCTCACACTAGTCAGAATGGCTGTTATTTAAAAGTCGAAAGACAATAGATGCTGGTGAGGCTGCAGAGGAAAGGGAATGCTTATACCTCAATGTTAATTTATCCTCTAACGTCATGGACCCAGTGCCTTTTCTTTCCTTTCTTTACCACCAAAAAGTGTTTGTGGGACCTGACAGTTAATTCATAGTGAAGTTGTAATTGATTGGTAAAGCTTTTAGAAAGAAGCAGCTCTTTTCGTATTTTCATTTAAAGAGGCAACAAAACATTAGGCCAAAATAGTAAAGCCATCGACCTCTTCTGGCAGAACAAATGGAGTGGATTTTGCCAGGCTCGTAAGAGAATGTTGGATACAGGTGGTAATTCTTCCATTTTTTTGGAGACAAGTTCTCACTCTGTCACCCAGGCCGGGGTGCTGTGGTGCAATCACAGCTTACTGCAGCCTCATTGCCCCCCAGGGTCAAGTGATTCTCATGTCTTAGACCCCAAGTAGCTGGGACTACCAGCATGTGCCACCATGCCCAACCAATTTTTTGATTTTTTTTTATAAGGACAGAGCCTCACTGTTCCTCAAACTCCTGCCATACATAGTGATTCTTCTGATGAATCTGTGCAAAGTAAATTGAAAACCTTCTGGAAAGGATTGACCATGCTAGACACCATTAAGAACATTTGTGGGCCAGGCACAGTGGCTCATGCCCGTAATCCCAGCTCTTTGGGAGGCCAAGGTAGGAGGATCACTTGAATCCAGGAGTTCAAGACCAACTTGGGCAACATAGGGAAACCCTGTCTGTTGGGGTCTGTTGTTGAGGGCTCAAGTGATCCTCCTGCCTTGCTGTTCTTGAACTCCTGGGTTGGTCTCGAACTCCTGGGATCAAGCCATCCTCCTGACTTGGCCTCCCAAAGTTCTGGGATTATAGGTGTGAACCACCATGCCTGGCTAATTCTTCCTTCTTAAAGGCTGAAGGGGAAGGGATTTGACTGGAGACATGAGAAATGAGAGAGTATATGGCTGGTGATAGAAAAGTATTTTCTTTTTGCTACTCATTTAGTCTCTAGAATTTTTTATTGGATTATATAAACCCATTTTAGATATAAACATATATTATTTGCCTATATCAGACGTTATTACTTAGATGTACAGGCATAGCTCAGACATATTGTGGATTTGTTTTCAGACCACTGCAATAAAGTGAGTCATACAAAATTTTTGGTTATCCAGTGCATATAAAAGTTATGTTTACACTATATTGTACTGTTAAGTGTGCAACATCCTTATATCTAACAAAACAATGTACGTAATTAAAAAATACTTCATTGCTAAAAATGCTAATGATCATTTGAGCCTTCAGCAAGTTGTAATCCTTTTGCTGGTAGAAGGTCTTGTCTCAATGTTGTTGGCTGGTGACTGATTAGAATGGTGGTTGCTGAAGGTTGGGATGGCTGTGGCAATTTCTTAAATGAGACAGTAATGAAGTTTCACATTAGTTGACTGTTCCTTTCACAAAAGATGTTTCCGTAGCATGGGATGCTGTTTGATAGCATTTTACCCATGGTAGAACTTTCAAAATTGGAGTCACTGGAGTCACTCCTCTCAAGCCTTGCTGCTGCTTTATTTATGTTATGTTATAAATCCTTTGTTGATGTTTCAGCAATGTTCACAGTGTCTTCACCAGGAGTCGATTCCACTCGTGAAACCACTTTCTTTGCTTATCCATAAGAAGCAACTCCTTATCTGTTCAAATTTTATCATGAGATTGTTGTCAGTTAGTCCAATTTTCAGGCTTCACTTCTATTTCACTTGCTATTTCCACCACATCTGCAGTTCCTTCCTCTGTTGAAATCATGAATCCCTCAAAATCAGTCATAAGAGTTAGAATCAACTTCTTCCAAAACTCCTGTTAATGTTGGCCTCCTCCCATGAACCACAAATGTTTTATCTATTTATTTGTGATAGGGTCTCACTCTGTCACCCAGGCCTGGAGTGCAGTGGCATGATCACTGTGCTCACTGCAGCCTTGACCTCCCAGACTCAGTGATTCTTTGCTTTCAGCCTCCTGTGTAGCTGGGACCACAGGCATGTGCTACCAAGCCTGGATAATTTTTAAATTTTTTGTAGAGACAGGGTTTCCCTATGTTGCCCAGACTGGTCTTGAACTTCTGGGCTCAAGTGATCCTCCCACCTTGGCCTCCCAAAGTGTTGGGATTACAGGCATGGGCCACTGCACCTGGCCCGCAAATGTTCTTAGTGGTTCTATAGCTACCACTAGGTATGGCAGCTATAACCTTACAAAATGTATTTCTTAAATAAGAAGACTTGAAAGCCAAAATTACTCCTCAATCTCTGGGCTACAGAATGGATGTTGTGTTAGCAGGCATGGAAACAACACTAGTCTCTTGTACATCTCCATCAGAGCTCTTGTGTGACTAGTGCACTGCCACTGAGCTGTAATATTTTGAAGGGAATCTTTTTTTCTGTGAGTGGTAGGTCTCAACATTGGGCTTAAAATATTCAGTAAACCATGCTACAAACAGATGTGCTGTCATCCAGGCTTTGTTGTGCCACTTGCAGAGCACAGGCACAGTAGATTTGGCATCATTTTTAAGGGCCCTAGGATTTTTGGAATGGTAAATAAGCATTGGTTTCAAGTTAAAGTCACCAGCTACATTAACCCCTAACAAGAGAGCCTGTCCTTTGAAGCTTTGAAGCCAGGCAGTGACTTCTCTTTAGCTATGAAAGTCCTAGATGGCATCTTCTTCCAATAGAAGGCTGTTTCATCTACACTGAAATTTTGTTGTTTAGTGTAGTCACCTTTATCAATTATCTTAGCTAGATCTTCTGGATAACTTGCTGCAGCTTCTGCATCAGCATTTAACTACTTCACCTTGCCATTTTATGTCATGGAGATGGCTTTTTTCCTTAAGCCCCCTGAACCTCTGCTACCTTCAGATTTTTCTTCTGCAGCTTCCCCAGCTCCATCAGCTCTTGATGGAATTGAAGAGAGTTAGGGCCTTGCTCTGGATTAGGCTTTGCCTTAAGGGAATGTTGTGTTGCTGTTATGATCTTCTATCCAGACCCCTCAAACTTTCTCCATATCAGCAATAAGGCTCTTCGGCTTTCTTATCATTCATGTGTTCACTGGAGTAGCACTTTTCATTTCCTTCATGAACTTTTCCTTTGCATTTGCAGCTTGGCTAACTGTTAGGCATAAGAGGCCTAGCTTTCAGTCTGTCTCGACTTTTAACATGCTTTCCTCACTAAGTTTATTCATTTCTAGCTTTTCGTTTAAAGTGAGAAACGTGTGACTCTTCCTTTCACTTGAACACTTATAGGTCAGTGAAGGGTTATTCATTGGCCTAATTTTAATATTGTTGTATCCGAGGGAATAGGGAGGCCCAAGGAGAGGGAGAGAGATGGAATGGCCAGTTGGTGGAGTGGTGAGAACACACACAGCATTATTCAGTTCACAGATGATCATAACAGATATAAAAATAATGAAACAGTTTGAAATATTGTGAGAATTACCAACATGTGACACAGAGACATGAACTGAGCACATTGGCCTAATTGGAAAAATGGACTTGTTAGACACATGGTTCCTATAAATCTTCAATTTTTAAAAAAGTACAGTATCTATGAAGTGTGCACTAAAAGTATTTCTGTACACATTTATTATATCACAGGTGACAGAGATATGGAACAAAGTTGTATCACAGCTTTAATGCCTAATGTGGCTTGAGATTCAAATGTTAAAAAATGTATTTTGTTTTTCTTTTTAAAAAAATTGTGTTGCAAGTTGGCTTCAGCATCCAGGTTATTCCTAAAACTTATGTTTTACGGTACAGGGAAAGCATTTGAAGTTCTGATACCTGGATCTCAATTAGTATTCTTCCACATTGATTTTTCTTTCTTTTTTTTTTTTTTGGCCTGAATTACTATTAGTCACTTTAGGTTCTTGTTTGGTACCTCTAGTTAGTAATCTGCATTTGAAATGTTTTATGTATTACACAAATATACTAAATATAGTATCTAGTGTTTTGAATATACTAAAAAACTGCTCTATTTACTTACAGAATTATCTCTGTTTTATATAGATATTTTACTGCTAGTGCGGAGATGGCAGTGAGTGGGAGTGTGTTTGGGGGAAGCAGCAAGAATTCTGCAGGGATGTTCTTTGGCTGGGTAAACTCCAGCAATGGAGGAGCCCAGAGCAGAGTTATTCCTGTTAGCCTGCTTTGGCTATTGACCAGAGTGGTCTGTCATCCTGAAGGTTGATAGAAACTTTGAAGACATAAGCAGAGAACGTGAAGAATTACAAACAATGGTTAAACTATTTCTTAAAAATTTTTCATGGGTTTGTTTTATGCTACGTGTGTGTGTATATATATATGTATATATTAGACAAAGCTCATTAATCATTGAGCCAAGTGTTATCCAACTAACCAGCAGGGCACTCAGGATTTTTTAGAAAACTGATAACTAAGAACAGTGATAACAAAAAATAGGTCTTTACTTATTTTAACAAGTATTTGCTGAGTACTTTGTGGATTCTAAAACTAAATGAGATCATCTCTACCTACCCCATGTACTTGCAGAATAATGGGATAGATCTATCAGCAAAAAGGTAAAATACAGGGTGATATATGGAGCAATGGAAATACCAAATAATGCTGTAGGAATACTAGGAGCAAGAAGGAGGCACCCAGAATTTGACTTGGAGGAGTATTCAGGGGAAACTGCAGAGAGGAGGTAGTGCTTGAATCTTGTGGGATGAATAGGAATTTTCCAGACAAGTTGGAGAAAGGGCATTTCAGGCAGAAGGAACAGTATATTCAATAATAGTGTGTGAAAATATAGAATATAGCTTGGGGTATTATAAGTAGTTTGATATGGAGCATGGACAAGAGCTAAGTCTGGAGATAGAAGGACCTTGTGTGTTGCCCTAAGGAGTTTGAGCCTAATCCTGAAGGCCATGAGGATCCAATGTGTTTTTTTTTTTCAATTTTAATGTGTTAGTGATTCATTTATAATAATAGCATGACTATTTAAAACTTTGAGTAAAAGATCAAAAATTACCTTTAATCTTATTGCTAAAAACAACTTTTTTCTTAAGCATGTTTAATGTAGTTATCAGATAAAGCGTACAAGTTTGGATCCTGAATTTTTCACTTAAGGGTATATCATACACCTTTTCAATGCTATTTCAAAGTCTTCATAGTTATTTTTAATGGCATCATCGTATTCCATCTACTGCATACTTTTCATAGATGTCCTCCATCAGAAGCACCTATGGTTGTTTGTTAAACGTGTTATTTCCTGATCCCACCCCAGGATTTCTGAGTATTCTAAGAATTTCTAAGTGTAAGGCCTGGAAATATGCATTTTACAACCCCCTAGAACATTCTTATGTGCACTAAAATTTGAGAACCACTAATCTGGTGTATATACTGTTGTTACTTAATATTTTCTTAATGATAGATACTTGGATGATTTTTGACTTTATTATTATTATAAGCAATGTTGTAAACATCACACAGGCCACTTTTTTTACATAAAATTATATTCTTCAATCTTTACAAGTCTTGCAATGTCTTCCCCATTTTTATTTATGGGTGAAAAGGTTAGAAAAATTGAATAACTTGCCCAGAGTTACAAAGTCAGTAGTTTTATAATCAGTACTCATGCAGATTCAAGAAGCAAATTCAGGTGTTTCTGATCCCAGATATCTTTCAATTGTGCTGTATTGCTTCCTAGTGCCATAGGGATCAATGCATATCTTATGTTAAAATATGAATATACCAATATATTTCCAACATGTAAATGGAAAGTACATTTTCTACAAAATTATATAGTAATATATTTCAGTTCCTACATAGTTCTCAATTATTTTTGTGTGCTTATCAGTTTCATATTATTGGCAGTATTTTGCTTTAAATTTGTTTCTTGATAGCACATGAACAGTAAACTGAACTGAGTGGTAAAGTAAATCACCTAAAGACATTTTAAAAATATGCCCTTGTCAGTTATTTTCACTATATACAGTGTTAGTCCAGGTGTGTTGACTCACACCCGTAATCCCAGCACTCTGGGAGGCTGAGGCGGGAGGATTGCTTGAGCCAAGGAGTTCAAGACCAGGCTGGGCAACATAATAAGATCCTGTTTCTACAGAAAATAAAAAAATAAAAATAGCTGGGTGTGGTAGCGCATACCTATAGTCCTAGCTACTCAGGGGGATGAGGTAGAAGCATTGCTTGAGCCCAGGAGTTCAAGTCTACAGTGAGCTATGATCATGCCACTGTACTCCAGCCTGGGCAAAAAGAAAAAAACCTGAACCAGAACAACCCCCACAAAAACCCAGTGTGGAATTTTTTACCCCCAAAATTCTAGGTGCTTGATATTGTCTAACTTCTATTGTCTTCAAAGGTATTTTAATAACTTGTCCATCCCATGTTTCCAGATGGGCGAGTGTGTCAGTTCTTGTGTTGCTATAAAGAAATACCTGAGGCTGGATAATTTATAAAGAAAAGAGGTTTAATTGGCTCAGGGTTCTGCAGGCTGTACTGGAAGCATGGTGCTGGCATCTGCTTCAGGTGAGGCCTCAGGAAGCTTCCAATCACGGCAGAAGGCAAAGGTGAGCCAGTGTATAAAATGGTGAGACCAGGGGCAAGAGAGAGAGCAGGGAGGTGCCACACACTTTTAAACAACCAGATTTCATGTAAATTTGGAGAACTCAGTCATCACCAAGGGGATGCTGCTAAGCCGTTCATGAGGGGTCCACTCCCATGATCCAAGCACCTCCCACCAGACCCCACCTCCAACACTGGGAACCACATTTCGGTATGAGATTTGGAGGGAACAAACATCTAAACCATGTACGTGGGATTTATTTGTCCTCATTCCTTTCACACAAAGAAGGAAAGTACAGTGTTCACCACAGCATTGATTGATTGATTGATTGATTGATTGATTGATTGAGACAGAGGCTCGGTCTTTTGCCCAGGCTGGAGTGCAGTGGCACGATCTTGGCTCACTGCAAGTGCCGCCTCCAGGGTTCACGCCATTCTCCTGCCTCAGCCTCCCGAGTAGCCGGGACTACAGGCGCCCGCCACCACACCGGGCTATTTTTTTTTGTATTTTTAGTAGAGACGGGATTTCACTGTGTTAGCCAAATGGTCTCGATTTCCTGACCTCGTGATCCATCCGTCTCGGCCTCCCAAAGTGCTGGGATTACAGGCGTCAGCCACCACACCCAGCCCACAGCCCTCATTTATGATCCATCTCTTTCAGGCCAATAAATCTAAGCCTGTCGTTTTTAACTGAGCTCATTATTAATTCAGGGACTTTTGTCAACTCTAGTGTTAGGCTGTGTAGGAAAACTGGGGAACCAGGCAGTTTGTCCTTAGACCTTTCTCATCCCCTCTTCCTGTGCCCTTATGTCCCTTTGCTTAGCCTTTCTTCCTTTCATGGTTCTAAGGCATTCTTTGGCTTCTTCTACCCCAAACTCAGAAGTCTCATAATTTAGTTTTATCCTGTACCAATAAGAAGCTTTCCTATATGGCATTTTATTCCCTCATACCATAGATCTCCATTTTTCTTTTTTCTTTTTCTTTTTTTTTTTTTTTTGAGACGGAGTTTCGCCCTTGTCGCCCAGGCTGGAGTGCCGTGGTGTGATCTCGGCTCACTGCAACCTCCGCCTCCTGGGTTCAAGCGATTCTCCTGCCTCAGCCTCCAGAGTAGCTGGGACTACAGGCATGCACCACCATGCCCAGCTAATTTTTGTATTTTTAGTAGAGACGGCGTTTCACCATGTTGGCCAAGATGTTCTGGATCTCCTGATCTTGTGATCCGCCCGCCTCAGCCTCCCAAAGTGCTGGGATTACAGGTGTGAGCCACTGCGCCAGGTTCTATTTTTCAGAATAGTAAATTACATAGTGAAAGAAGAAGCAGAATGTAATGGAGTGACTTGTACCTGTAATCCCTGTGACTTGGGAGGCTGAGGCGGGAGGATTGCTTGAGCCCAGGAGTTTGAGGCTGCTGTGAACTATGATTACACCACTGCACTCCAGCCTGGGTAACAGAGCAAGACCCAATCTCTAAGAAAAGAAAAAACCGTAATGGAAAAATTCCGAGTCTTGAGTTTGAATGCAGACTCTGCAACTGAAAGGACATTTGGCGCTATGCAGGTGATTTAACTTCTTTGGGCTTCAGTTTCCTTATTTATAAAGTGGAGGTGATAACATCTATCTTGTAGAGTTGGAATGGTTAAAGATAATTTATATAAAATATCTATCACAGTGCCTATTACACAGGAGGAAATAAAATGCTTATTATTACTAAGCATTAATATCTATGCAATAAATAATTTAGATATTCAATAAATTATTCATAATTATAAATCATAATTATATATTTCATGAGTATCTTTTATTGAATGGGAAACTCTGGAATATTTGCATTATAATAAGTCATTTGTTTACACTGTCTTAACCTAAATCTTTAATGGTGTAACTGTAGGCACCAAGACAGGCCATAGGGAGTGACACTGCTTGGCCAATCTTCCTCTGATCCCAGAGGCAGAGGATTGCTTTTTTCCTTTTGCTTTTAGGAGTGGTACTGGTCACCAAAGATTTAGTATTTGTTTTCTATCTTGTACATTCCTCACAAAGATAACTTGAACAGAAAAAAATTGTGTTCCACGGAAGTTGTATGTGCTGTGCTGTAATCCATGAGATTAATGGGTTCCTAGTAAGCCTATCATTACTATTTTCTCCTTTTTAAAAGCATTAAAATATTTTGAGACATATTTTTATGGTATGGAAATATCTTGAGGTGTACACTATGCATTTAGTATGGTGATGGTGCTTTGGAGGCTGGAAAATAGACTCTTCTCTCTAGGCCCTTACAAAAATCATTTACATGAGATAATAGCTAACTATACAGTAGTATCTAATTTTACTAGGGCATAAAAACTCACAAATTTAGCTTTTTCGTTTGAGCAGTCTGGTGTCAGCATTTGGCTCTCATCTCCCATCATACATCAGATCTAAATCCGACCATGAGTCAGGTTCAGGTAATTCTTTAATGTTTGGAGGTAGAACTACATACTGTCAAATATTTTTATTTTTAAAATTAAAATTTATTTTGAAATAATCACATATTATGGAAAATCTGGAAATATAGTTTAAATAACCTTTTTTTTCCCCGAACCATTTGCAAGTAAGTTGTCAACCTAATCACCCCAGAATACTTTAGTTTGTATTTCCTACAGACAAGGACATTCTTCGACCTAACCACAATACAGTCACTAAAATAAGAAAATTAACTTTGTCACATTACAGCCATTTATTCCTCAGATCCCATTCAAGTTTTGCCAACTGTCCCAATAATGTCTTTATTGGGATTAAGTTCAAAATCATGTACTGCATTTAGTTGTCATACCTCCTTAGTCTTCTTGAGTGTGAATAATTTCTCAGTCTTTCTTTGACTTTTGTGATCTTGACACAAAGACAATAAGCCAGTTATTTTATAAGATGTCCCTCACTTTGGGTTTACCTGCTGTTTTCTTATTATTACATTCAGGTTGTGCACTTTTTTTGTTGTTGATGTTTGGTTGTTTTCGGAGATGCAGTCTCACTTTGTCGCCCAGGCTGGAGTGCAGTGGCGCAATTTTGGCTCACTGCAAGCTCTGCCTCCCGGGTTCAAGCGATTCTTGTGCCTCAGCCTCCTGAGTAGCTGGGACTACAAATATGCGCCTAATTTTTGTATTTTTAGTAGAGACGGGGTTTCACCATGTTGACCAGGCTGGTCTCTAACTCCTGACCTCAAGTTATCTGCCTGCCTCGGCCATCCAGAGTGCTGGGATTACTGGCGTGAGCCACCGTGCCTGGCCCAGGTTGTGCACCTTTGGTGGGAATGCCACAGAGGGATGCTCTGTTCTTTTCATTGTATCCTGTCAGGTGGCATGGGATTTGATCTGTCCCGTTGCTGATAATGTTCATTTTAATCACTTGCTTATGATGGTGGTTGTCAAACTTCTATATATATAATTACCTTTTTCCCCCTTTAATAACTATTTTGTGTGGAGGTACATTTATGCAGATATCCCATTCCTCATCAAACTTTCTTTTATTCATTTATTTATATCAGTGTGGACTCATGGTTTGCTGTTTTATTGCCTAGGTTATAATGCACTGCTATCATTATTAATTTTGATGCTTAAATTATCTCAGACTTAGTAGGATCCCTTTTAGGCTGACTTTTTTTTTGAGCCATTCCTTGAGCATTTCCTTGCTTTTGGCATCATAAAATGTTCCAGGACTCATCTTTTCCTGCCTTAGCCCTGGAATCAACCTTTTCTCCAAGTGGCCTGGTTCCTTTTATTGGAAAGTGGGCCATTAGAAGCTAAGATTTGGGTATTGTTATGCTCATGGCTTTTGGAGTGTCATATCTCCCAGATCCTCTCAGCCAGGGAGTGAATATATTCACATCACTGTGTACACATATTTACATCTCTATAGTTATTAAAAATATGAGTTTATTGTAACTTCCTTCATCCTCCAGTCTGGCTTCTGTTATCTTTGTATATATACTTATTTGATAAGTCGTCTTATATGCTATCAATCTCCTCTCCACTATCGTCCCCTCCCTTCTGTTAATGTCCTCCTTTTCCCTCTTAGGCTCTGTCACCCCACACTAGGCTGTCCTTCTGCAGAGACACCTCTTCACCCTTTTCATATCTGACTCTCTCCTGGTCTGCATCTACAGGGGAATAATCTTTTCATCCTTCTTGGACTCTAATCCCCCTGCACTAGGTCACCCTTGCATGTGGATGCCCTCTCATTCTGTTTGGATACTGACATCCCATGCTGGGGTGTTCCCCTCTGCCATCACCACATGGGCACCCTCTTCACCCTGTGTGGGTTCTAACCCTCTCATATCATGCCAGAAGGGATGCCCTCTCACTTAGGCTATGGTACGCCACACTAGGCCTGCCCCAATATGGACACACCTCCTACCTTTCCACTGTGCCTTCCATCTTTCCTCTGATGTGGACACCTACCTTTCTCTGTGTTACTTAATAGTGTAGGAACTGAATTTTTCAGGAAGAGAAGGGAAATGAGAAGGAAGGAAAAGAGGAATAGGGAGTGGAAGAGAAAGTGGAGGAGGCTCTTCTTTTTATCTAGGTGATGACAATGATAATATCTCTTTCAAAGTCAGCATTGGCTGTACCTTGTATTGGAAGAAAATTGGGCAATTAATGATTTTAGGTAACATCAGATTATGACCAAAGCATGAGCACTGTGTGGCAATTCTCCTGGATACTATTTCTCCTTGCACTTTGGAGGAGAGATGATGATAATTTGATAGGCTGGTCAGCACTTTGCATTCTTTAATGGGCTTTTTTTCATGTATAGTGTTGTGGACATGTAGTAGGCCTCCAGAATGAGAGACAGAAAATCTTTATATATTTTTTTGCTGTTTAGCTGAAGGTCTTTCTTTATCATAATTATCAGCAAAGTGCATTCTCAAGAATTTTAGTAAGATGATGATAATGCCGAAAAAGAGTTATAAAAGAACTGAGATATTAACTGTCATTCACTGAAGAAGTTGAGTTTGCAGAATTCGATAGAGATAAGGATTCCAGCAAGTAGGTTTTTCTTGTTATATGATATTCCCACTATGATTTTTAAAATGTCATAAAAATATGTCTGGAAATTGACACAAGTATATTATAAAATATGGCACATCTGCACAGGTCTTATAAAAATGATTATTGCTTCAAATGAACCAGGACAGTAAGTAATTCATACTGGGAATTTCCCAAGCTTTAAGTTACTATCAGGAAACTATAATTCCTAGAAATAAATCTAAGCAAAGAAACGTCCAGGAAGCTCTTTAGTAAACATTTGCTATAGCCAAAAAAATGCTATCATTAATTGCAAAGAAATGGGAAAAATAGTTGGAAGTATTGCAGAAATAATTCATTGCAGTTATATTCTGTACTTTAAAAGATCATTCAGCTTTGCATGCCACATTTAAGAAAAAATAAACAGCAGGCACTATTACCAGTTCCTGCTCTCCTTCCCTAGGTTTGGGAAAACAAACTCAATGGAAAGATGATCTGAATTTTAGTTTTACTACCTTAAGAAGAGAACTCTTGACAAATGGGATCTAATTAAACTAAAGAGCTTCTGCACAATGAAAGAAACTATCATCGGAGTGAACAGGCAGCCTACAGAATGGGAGAAAATTTTTGCAATCTACCCATCTGACAAAGGTCTAATAGCCAGAATTTACAAGGAACTTAAACAAATTTACAAGAAAAAACCCCATCAGAAAGTGGGCAAAGGATATGAACAGACGCTTCTCAAAAGAAGACATTTACGTGGCCAACACACGGGTAAAAAAGCTCAACATCGGCCGGGCACAGTGGCTCACGCCTGTAATCCCAGCACTTTGGGAGGCCGAGGTGGGTGCATCACGAGGTCAGGAGATCGAGACCATTCTGGCTAACACGGTGAAACCCCGTCTCCACTAAAAATACAAAAAATTCTCCGGGTGTGGTGGTGGGCGCCTGTAGTCCCAGCTACTCCGGAGGCTGAGGCAGGAGAATGGCGTGAGCCCGGGAGGCGGAGCCGGCAGTGAGCCGAGATCATGCCACTGCACTCCAGCCTGGGCGACAGAGCGAGACTCCGTCTCAAAAAAAAAAAAAAAAAAAAAGCTCAACATCACTGATCATTAGAGAAATGCAAATCAAAACCACAATGAAATACCATCTCATGCCAGTCAGAATGGTGATTATTAAAAAGTCAAGAGACAATAGATGCTGGCCAGACTGTGGAGAAATAGGAAGCTTTTACACTGTTGGTGGGCATATAAATTAGTTCAATCATTGTTGAAGACAGTGTGGTGATTCCTCAAGGATCTAGAACCAGAAATACCATTTGACCCAGCAATACCATTACTGGGTATATACTCAAAGGAATATAAATCATTCTATAAAGGTACATGCACACGTATGTTTATTGCAGCACTATTTACAATCTCGAAGTCATGGAACCAACCCAAATGCCCATCAATGATAGACTGGATAAAGAAAATGTGGTACATATGCACCATGGAATACTATACAGCCATAAAATAAAAAGGAATGAGATCATGTCCTTTGCAGGACATGGATGAAGCTGGAAGCCGTCATCCTCAGCAAACTAACACGGGAACAGAAAACCAAACTGCATGTTCTCATTTATAAGTGGGAGTTGAGCAATGAGAACACATGGACACAGGGAGGGGAACAACACACACCAGGGCCTGATGGGGGTGGGAGGGTTAGGGAAGAGAACTTAGAGGACGGGTCAATAGGTGCAGCAAACCACCATGGCACATGTATACCTATGTAACAAACCTGCACGTTCTGCACACATATCCTGGAACTTAAAGTAAAATTAAAAAAAAACAACTAAACCAGCCTGGATTTAAAAAATGTCATACTTAATACACAAGAAAACATCTAGGGATCTAAAGAGATCGTGATTTCTACTCTTTTCTTAACATCTTGTTTTCTTATCAATACCTCTAATAACGTAGGACCTTTTCACAGTATTTCAAAGTATTTGTATCTTGGCTTTCTGTTTTTATGGTGTCCTTGGGTGTCCATAGAAATGCTTCGTAAACTTTGTATTTTGTGACATTCATCAGCAGAACAAGGGAACATGCAGAGTACCTATCCTATTTGTTCCTGGATTACCTTTAAAAATCCCTCCAAAACTCTTGACTCTTGGGATGGATAGATACCTATTTTCTCCACAATCTAATCTATAGTATTATCATCATCTCACTGATGAAAGGAGTTGCAGAAAAGGGTACAAGATCCATGTTTAATATATCCTTCCTTGGAGGTCTTGCTTGCTTTTTCTTTAAAGGGGAATGGGAATTTATGACTATAGAAGTCTTTCATAGAATCAAGGAAATGTTGAACTGCCAGGCCTTGAAAAGACCAGGAATCAAGGCAGTGAGGATGAGGGGAAGGCAGGGAGATAGGATCTTGTAGCATAAACTAGGGGCTGCTGAGTCTCCTTGAGCCCCACCTCATGGCTGGAGGAGAAGGTGGACAAAATCTCAGAAAAGAGGCATGTGGAAAAATGTTTATTACCTCAGCGATTTTGTGAACTTTTTAAGAGAATACACTCAAACCAGAAGTCTTTCTTCACCTTACCTTTCCCACTTCCTTTCTGTTTAAATTCTCTCACTTCATTTGTTTTGTTGTTTGTTTTGTCTTGTTTTGTTTTGTTTTGTTTTTTTTGAGAGGGAGTCTCACTCTGCTGCCCAGGCTGGAGTGCAGTGGCACAATCTGGGCTCACTGCAACCTCTGCCTCCTGGGTTCAAACAATTCTCCTGCCTCAGCCTCCTGAGTAGCTGAGACTACAGGCGCCTGTCACCACGCCTGGCTAATTTTTGGTATTTTTAGTAGAGATGGAGTTTCACCATGTTGGCCGGGCTGGTCTTGAATTCCTGACCTCAGATGATCCGTCCGCCTCGGCCTCTCAAAATGCTGGGATTACAGGTGTGAGCCATCATGCCCAGCCCCTAACTTCTTTAAAGAACCAAAATACTGTGTGATGCAGTTGGACACCTTATCCAAAGTGACAATTGTGTTAATAGCAATGCTGTAACTGTCCAGGAGTTTCCAATAGTAAAGTCACTCAAAATGAATGCCTACCCTTCCTTTTCCCTGGTTATTGGCTATAAATGTTATTGAGACTCTGCCATTATTACTATTTTTAATATGTATTTATTTTAGATTAGCGAGGAACCCATTTGGAAAATTTTCGCAAACCCTTAGTTGACTAAGGGCCGCCAACACCTGAGTTGAGGACATTAATCTAGAGTTGCAAGTTTCTACAGATTCAGACACAGTCCAGGGTTTTCTTATTTCCCCTCTAGTTAGCATTTCCAGACTCCCTGCCTCTTTTCTCTCTGATTTCCTTCCTTTATAGTTCAGCTGCTTTCCCTTCTCAACTCAGCTGTGTCAGCTTTGGCTGGTAAACCCCGTGGTCAGGAAACTAGAAAATGCTCTGTGACTAAAGAGAAAACAGAGGGTTAGGGAGCAGAAGGAAAGGAAGGTTAAGAGAGACATGATTTGGCTGTGGTTTTCTCAGAGTAATTTATGTGGCTAATTCATTTAGATACCTGTGAGGCCAGATTATCTGTCTTAGAAGTTTATAAGGAAACCTTACCTCGCATAGATGGTCACAGCCCAGAAGAAAAGGGTAAAGCTTATCTATAGGGATTTAAGCGTTGCCACCCTTGGCTTTTAGAGCTTTTTATATAGATGAACTTGTGGTTTTAATCTACGTCTTTGAAACATTATTTCTAAACATACAGAAATATGAATCTTAAAATAATTCTCTATATTCTGCATTTATATAGCACACATTTTGCTCACATTATAAATCTCCTGTTCTTTTTGCAAATAAAGTGCTCATTTTGGCTGTTTTCCAGATATGACAGTTGGTGGACATGCTTCAGTAGAGAAAAGGAAATTTTCCCTGCTTATCTAGTCTCTCCCGTCTGCCCAAGATAGTGTGTCTGTCAATTGTGACCTGATTTTGAAATAATTTATTAAGTAGAGGGATGCATGATGTTATTTAAAATTTTGGTATGACATTGACTTTTAGTCCTTTATAATAAGCTCTTCACTAGATTCTCTGGGTGAGGTATATTGCTCTTGGGGTTTTAGAAATTTCTTAACTCCTTCCTTGAATTTGGACGCTGTTCAGTGTCAACTATGACTAATGTTTACTCAGGAAATTAAACACACTTGTTTATTCAGAAGATGAAGCAAGCGTTATGCTTTTTTTTGGCCATGAAAACATTATTTTGGAAATACGTTACTCTTATAGGTAAGGAAAATGTCCTTATATTAGCAAGCAGACTGCTTAAGCAAAGTAATAGACAAATAAATATACAATACTTACCTCTGTTAAAGTTTTTTGTTTTCATTAAATGTGTTGACATCTTTCCATATTTTTTAATGTTAGATTTTAATATATATGCAATAGATAGTAATTTAAGGTTTTTAATTTGTAATCTTTTCACTTGAAGTTGGGAGAGAAGTCTAAATGAATTATATTTCTTTTAAAAAGCATGTTCTTGGCCAGGCATGGTGGCTCACGCCTGTAATCCCATCACTTTGGGAGGCTGAGGCGGGTGGATCATGAGGTCAGGAGATCGAGACCATCCTGGCTAACACGGTGAAACTCCGTCTCTACTGAAAATACAAAAAAAAAAAAAAAAAAAAAAATTAACTGGGTGTGGTGGCCTGCACCTGTAGTCCAAGCTACTCAGGAGGCTGAGGCATGAGAATCGCTTGAACCCGGGAGGCAGAGATTGCAGTGAGCCAAGATCGCGCCATGCCACTGCACTCTAGCCTGGGCAACAGAGTGAGACTCTGTCTCAAAAAAAAAAAAAAAAAAAGCATGTTCTTTGGTTTTAAAAATTATTATTCTCCAAAATCTACCCGAAACCTGTATCTGTAATTCATTTCTCTCTCCTGCACGCTAGACATGTTATCCCCGGTGTCCTATTGAACATCTCCTCCTCAATGGAGGTATGAAATGCAAAACATTAATTATCTGTACCCAGAGTTCTGCTCTGTTACTTGCATCATTTGTGTTAGGAACTATGGTGCATCATTTAAACTAGAAACTCTAGAGCCATGCCTGACGTTTTTCCTTACTACTTCTGTCCACTCAGTATCACCACTTCCAATAACAGTCCTTCCAACCTGATTCCTCCTCTGCCATTATAAACATGTTATTCTTTGACTTAGAAATATATCAATAGAGGCTGGGCACAGTGGCTTACATCTGTAATCCTAGCACTTTGGGAGGCTGAGGTGGGTGGATTGTTTGAGCTCAGGAGTTAGAGACCAGCCTGGCCAACATGGCGAAACCCCGTCTCTGCTAACAATACAAAAAAATTAGCTAGGCATGGTGGTGCATGCCCGTAGTCCCAGCTACTTGGGGGGCTGAGGTGGGAGGATCACTTGAGCCCAGGAGGTTGAGGCTGTAGTGAGCTGAGATCGTGCCACTGCACTCCAGCCTGGGTGACAAAGTGAGACCCTGTCTCAAAAAACCCCCCAAAAACAAAAAAAATCAGTGGCTTGCCATTGCTTAATGAATAAAGTCCATACTCTTTGGCACATCACTTGAGGCCTTTTGTGGTTTGGCTCCCTCCTAACTGCCCCATTTTTTCACCAGTTCTTTGTAGCAGCACTCTCCAACCCGACTCAATTCCTGTACTTGGTGTTTTCAGCAGGCATCATGGACTTTCCACTGTTGCCTGCCCCTGTCTCTCCCAGAATGTCCGTCTTTCCCTTGTGTGCTCAGTGAATCCCTGCTCATCCTCCCAGACTCAACTCTGGCATAGTCATCTCTTCAAGGAAGCTTTGCCTGATCTCTCTCTATGGTGCTTCCCTGGCACCTTGTACATGCATCTATTTTTAGCACTTAGTATACTGCCGTGTAATTATTTGTTTACATGTTTGCCTTCCCACTAGACAATGAGTTCCTTTAAGTCTGAAACTTTGGTTTAGTTATCTTTGAAAGTGCTGTACAAATGTCTTTATTTTATGCCTAGAACATATACAGCATTCAGGAGATGATTAGTTGAGTGAATAAATACAGAACAGGGCACATGCTAATGGGACATGATTTGGATTGTATCTTTGAGACTAATTGTTGACTGAGAAGGTAGTCTTGGTTAGCAATGCCAGTGCTGAGAACAATTAAATATGATATATTTGAGCACCTATTATGTGCTAGGCATTGTGCCCATTGCCATACATGTTCTAGTTTTTGGGACAGTGAGAGCCACAGAAATTTAATAAGTCAACCAGGTAAGTAATTCGACTACATAAGCAACAGAATTGGATTTGGAATCCAAGATTGCTTGACTCAAAAGCCAATGCTCTTAATGCTGGAAAATTATCAGAGATGAGGAGGGAAAAGCCACTTTAAAACAAAGGCAAAACAATGTGTTTAGGGTAAAGGCAAATTTGGAATCATAGTTTCTACTTTTCACTATGGATTCCAGAGATTTGTAGGAGATATTTTGGGAGAGGCAGTGGTAAGCTCGTGCTCTTAGTAACTTTTGATAAATGAAAAAGTAAATTGCCGATAAGGTGGAGGGACTTAAAGAAAATTAAGCAAAGAGAAAAGAAAAAGTTGTGGTGGAAGGTGAAGGGGAGCAGGCATCACATGGTGAAAGGAAGGAAGGGAAAGAACTTGATCAATATGTTTGTATCAGATTTGGCTAAAAGGAGAAGCTAGGATTCATTAAGCACCTGGTATGTTCTAGTCTGTATAGATATATCGTCTCCTTATCAATGCTCACAACAAACCTCTAAGGTAAATATTATTTTCCTCAATTGCATTTGGTTAAAGTCTCACGTACTTCAGCCTAGAAGAGGTTGAACATCACGTAGACAGTACCTGATAGAGCTTGGGTTCAAAGCCAGCTCTGTAAGACTCCACTTTACGAGGAACAGTGATAATCGTAGTTGTAGCATCTGATATCTCAGTGCAGCAGCAATATGAATAAATCATTATGATGGATTAACAAGGTATTATGCAGAGGAAAAGTCAGTCTAACCAGGTGGATGCTTTCTGCTATGTCAATTGGTAATTGGAATTTTTATACTTTTAAAGGGAGAATGAACATAATATAGTTATGAAATCTCTTCTTGGGAGCCCTGCCTGCTGCTCTAAAATTGAGAGAATGTACTGATCAAGGGTGACATTAAAACAACTTACCACTGATGAGGCACAAGCACTGACCAGTCAGATGCACACTGGCTGTAAACATCTGGAGAGGCTACATGGTGTCTTTTGGCCTAGTATCAGTCCTGGTCTGTCTACATACTGGTGGGCTATGTCTGTTTAGAGGCTTCATTATCTGCAAAACTGAGAAGCAAAGATTTTTCAGCATGGATTGTGTTGTAGCATTATTCTATCACCCAGATTAATTTGTTATATATGCTAAACCAATTAGCATTTATAGTGAGAATGACATTTAAGGAAGATGAAAAGAAAGGAGATGTAGTAGAATAATGAGGCTCTCATTTACATGATGTACCACTTTGCCTAAGACCCCCAGAAAAAATTTACTTGTTTGATATTTGGTTTCTCATTTATCCATCTGCTTGTTCATTTGCTCATTTATTTATCCATGCGCTTTTTTTTTTTTTTTTTGAGACAGAGTCTCCCTCTGTCACTCAGGCTGGAGTGCAATGGCATGATCTCAGCTCACTGCAACCTCTGCCTCACAGGTTCAAGTAATTCTCCTGCCTTAGCCTCCTGAGTATCTAGGATTATAGGCGCCCACCACCACACCTGGCCAATTTTTGTATTTTTAGTAGAGACAGGTTTCACCATGTTGTCCAGACTGGTCTTGAACTCCTGACCTCAGGGAATCCATCTGCCTGCCTCGGCCTCCCAAAGTGCTGAGACTACAGGCATGAGCCATGGCACCCAGCCTCATCCCATGTACTTTTATTTTAAGACCATTAGTTCTGTCAATTCTGAGGAAGGATTTTATTTCTTTTACAATTTTCTTTAGATATTATAAAATAGGAATAATCTGACTGTAATTAGTCTAATTACAGATTACTTATTTACATATCTGATTTTATATACTAAGCTGTGAGCTATTTATGGATACTTTTTTTAAGCCACCCACCCCCACATGCCTGGTACTGTACTTCAATAAATATTTTGGTAACTGAATGAAAGAACTGTTAGATCCAGAATTCAGTTGGTTTAAATGTATGTTCTTTGTAACTCAAGCCTGCAAGTTATTGGTTCATGTTTTCCTCCAGCAACCATATAATGAGGTCTTAACACATGTAAACTGTTGTTCTGGAGATAGGTAACAGCCCCTTAGGTGACTGCAGGAAGAAGAGATGGAATGCTGAGACTCCAAAGTTAGACAGGAGAAGGCCTTTTTTTTTTTTTTTTTTTTTTTTTTTTTTTTTTTTGAGACGGAGTTTCGCTCTGTCGCCCAGGCTGGAGCGCAGTGGCGCGATCTCGACTCACTGCAAGCTCCGCCTCCCGGGTTCACGCCATTCTCCTGCCTCAGCCTCCCGAGTAGCTGGGACTACAGGCGCGCGCCACCATGCCCGGCTAATTTTTGTATTTTTAGTAGAGACGGGGTTTCACCGTGTCAGCCAGGATGGTCTCGAGAAGGCCTTTTAAAGGCTGCTCTGATGTGCACTGTCAAACCATATTGTCACCCTGGGGTGTAGGGAGAAATAGATGATTAGGATTAGTCAGGTTATGTTAGAGGCCAGACCGTGCAAAGACTCAAGTCCAGAAAACAAGGATTAAAGACCCCCCAGTGAGAAACAAGCCTGGGGAGTTTTGGAACTTCACAGGGGCAACTGCATCTTAGGTGTCAGATGGCCCAAGGGAGCTAAGGATCTGAGAATCAGGATATCATAGCCTTGCTGGGAAAAAGGCAATCAAAGTCTCAATGGTCAAGGCAGACAAAGGGCCTGGGAATGTAGGAGATCAGGAGCAGAGGAGAGAATGAGCTTGAGCCAAAGGCAGGTTTTATTTCGTTGTTGACCTATTTATAGGTCTTAGAATATGAATGAGGTAGCTTTTGAGCATGATTTCCCAACCTTGGTACTATTGACATTTGGACCAGATAATTTTTTTTTGTTGGGGACGGGGTGGGGTTTTCCTTTGCATTGTAGGATTGCAGCATCCCTGGCCTGTACACACTGGATGCCAAAAATCATCTCTAGACATTGCTAAGTGTTCTCTGGGAGGCAAAATTGCTTCTGGTTGAGAACCAATGCTTTAGAGGTAAATGAATCAAGTGGCTGCTGTTAGCTAAGGAAAGGGTGAAGGCAACAGTGATAATGAATGGCTCCGTAAATGTTACATCTTTCCATATAAATTCCAAAAGGAATCAGGACCAAAAGTAACCTAATTGTGAACAATTGGTCATTGGTAGAGATAAATAAATTCTAAGATTCAGCAGCCTTTGTATTTGCAAATGTGAACTACTATGCATGGAAATGCAACTATTTTAGATTGTAGTGGAGGAGTAGTGTTTGGACAAAGGAGATTGGAGTTGATATAGTTAGGCATAGTTGAGGAGAACTTTGAAGGTCAGTTAAGAAGGCTTAATTAGCCTGGAATTAACGCTTTTATTAGTCAGAAATTAGCAAGGAATAAATGTTGAAAGAACTGGATTGAAGATTTATTAGTTTTCTTTTTCTTATTTCTTCTTAAAAAGTAAAATACAAAAGGAAGTCCTTTTGAAAAATTCAGGTTTTGTTAATTTTTGGATATTTTATTCTGATCACTTGACATTACCTACCTCATACCCACTGAGCATCTCTCATTATTATAGCTACTATTGTGAAAAACAGAAATTTTGCTGTTTCTAAATCCATATTTTGTTTAGAGTCTCCCAGAACTTAGAATAGCTTTATCTAGACTTTTCTTGCTGCCGCTATTTCTTAAGTAAATTAATAAATACCGCCTCCCCCACAAACCCCCTATTACATTTACCAGACCAGCTGTTCCAAACCTTTTTCACTCTCTATAAATTTCATTCTTGCTCTCAGCAGATAACTTGGTTTCTTATTTAACTGAGCTTGAGGACATTTGGGCATGAGGTTTTCAGAATTTTTTCTGGTGTCTCTCTCTACCTCTGCTTTTATTCTTTCTCTTTCCCTGCATATCTGCCTTGCAGTAAGAATGCCTTCCCCTTTTCTAAGATGAACCTCTGCATGTGTGCTCATGAGTGCATATCCTACCTTTCTCCTCCAGTCCTTTATTATCCTTTGATTTTCCTCATCTTTGCATTTACATTCTTTCCTCAAATCTTTCCTTTTGTACTCTTGCTAAGGTTTTTTTTTTTTCCTTAAACAACAAACCAAAAAAACACAAAAACTTTTCTTAACTTTCATGTATGTTCAAATTCTCCTCTCACTTATCTCAGGCTTTTTGTCTTCCACTGGCCACCAGATTATTGGGGAAAAAAGAACCACCAATACATTATCTACTTTACTATCTACTTCTTTATCTTTTGTACTCATATGCTATTGAAACAACTCTCTTAAACTTCACCATCATCTTCCTAATCACCAAATGGTATGTCCTCAACATCCTCATCTTCCTGTGTTTCTCAGCAGCATTTGATATCATTGATTGTCTTTTTTTCTCTTGAAACCTTTTTCTCCCTTGACCTTTGTGACTTAGTACTAACCCACTTACTCTTCTATTTTTATCATTCCTCCTTCTTTGAGCTCTTTGATAGTTTCTTTTTCCTAGCTTAGGCATTTCTAAATATTGTATCATTGGATATTTTGTCTTTATTTTATATTTTGTTTATTTCCTTTGATAGTTGTAGAAACCATTTCTGTATAAGCAGTTCTCCAATTTACATCTCTAATTCTGACCTTTATCTTGAGCTTCACCTGTGTTTTCAATCATTGGATATCTGCTTTATTATTGTGGTGTTACTTGGAATTCACTGTGTCCAAAAGCAAATGGAGAGAGTGTCTATAGACCATGTAAACTCCTCTTCTTTCCTTCCTCAAATCTCACTGAAATGGCAGTAGAAGACTTTAAAAGGTATTAACTTATAAGGATAAAGAAATTGGGATAGCAGAAGAGAGATCTTAACAAAATTTTGGAAGATGAAAAATAAAGGAAGAATGCTACCTGCAGAGAGTTACCTTTAATTTTCTGAAGTCCCTATAGAAAAGACATTGATGAGATGCAAACCCTTTAGAGACTCACATTTGGAAACTCCCGGCACCACAAAAACTGGGAGTAAAACACAGAGCAGAACATGGATCTTGGTTGAAAGTACAAGAGCCTTTAGATCACCCAGATACCTTTCTCTGCTGTGGGAAGTTGGGTGAAACTTCCCTTCACCTGCTGAGGGAAGCAGAGGCAATTCAAGAAGAATACTTCCAAAAACTCTTACTAATTTCATTAGAGTAATAAGAGAAGATATTGTACTTTTAAAACAAGAACGGATGCTATGAAACAGGTAAAATTAGATAACAAGAAAGTAGTTTGGAAATTTAAAATTTATTATGAACTAACATAAAAAATTTTAGAAGTTTCAGGATAACATTGAAGAAATCTCATAGAAAGTGGATCATCAACAACAGCAGCAGCAACAAAGAAAAAAAATAAACCTAAGAGATGGAACATAGGAAAGAAAAGAAAATTAGAGGATCAATTCAGCATTTCCAAGATCTGACCAATAGGGGTTCCATGCATGAATTCATGTATCCAAGCCTTTTGCAGGTGCCCTCCATACTGACTCTGGACTTGGTTATGTGACCCAATTTGATCAATTTTGTTATAGAAAACTTGACACAACAGAGGCTTAAAAAGCACATTTTTTCTTCTACTGTTATTTTAACTGACATATAATTGTACATATTTATGGGTGATACTTTTTTCTTCTTTTTTTAAAGTGCATCCATTATTGGCTAAAGTGTGATATTTTGATACGTGTATACAATGTCTGAAACCTCTGTGATTATCATGAAAACATGCTTGTGGATGAGACTCATGAAACAGGTCCCTGTCCTACCTAATACCATTAATTAATTAAAGAGTCTCGCTGTCTCCTTGGCTAGAGTGCAGTGGCAGGATCACAGCTTACTGTAACCTCCAACTGCTGGGCTCAAGTGATCTTCCGGCTCAGCCTCCTGAGTTATAGTTGGGACTACAGGCATGGGCCATTGTGCCTGGCTAATTTTAATTTTTTTTTTTTTTTCGGTAGAGGCAAGGTCTTGCTATGTTGCCAAGGCTGATCTCGAGCTCCTGGCTTCAGGTGATCTGCCTGCTTCAGCCTCCCAGAGTGCTGAGATTATAGGTATGAGCCACTGCACTAGCTCCAAATACCATTTAAATTCAGCTAACAGCCAGCCTACCCCAGATACCTGTGTGAGGTCTAGTCAACACCAAAAAGAACTCCCTAGCCAAATCCAACCAAGATCAGCAGAACTGCCTGACTGACTGGTAGATTCTAGAACAATTATGAATGGCTATTGTTTTATGTCTCTGAGTTTTAGGATGGTTTATTATGAAGCCTTATTATAGCTACAGGTTGCCTGATACAAATAGAGGACAAGAAAAAGGAAGGAAGCTATCAAAGAAATATTACAAGAAAATTTCCTAGTACCGGTGGATGTAAGTCTCTAGACTGAAAAGGCTGCCCAAGTATCTAGCACAATAAATGAGAAAAGAATACCAGCCATGTCATTCTGAAATGTAAGAACATCATAGATTAAAATAAGGTCCTAAAAGCTTTGTGAAGGGAGTATAAAATGAAACAAAGCATTAACACAAGTCACATAGAGATGGATGGAAATCAGAATGGCATCAAACTCTTATGGCAACACTGGCTGGTAGAGGACAGTGGTGCAATGCTTTCAAAATTCTGAGGGGGAAATCCTTTTCAGTTTAGATTTCTCTATCCGGCTGAAAGTATCAATTAGATATGAGGACAGAATGAAGAAATTCTAAGTCCTGGAAGGATTAAACAATTTATATCTTATGTGTGATTTCATAGAAAGCTTCTGGAGGATGAGCTTCCATAAAACAAGGGAGAAAATCAATAAAGAGAAAGACATAGGATTCAGGAGAACAGACTCAATATGGCAGGGCAGAGAGAAGTTCCAGAAAAGCAACTGTTCACTAGGCCTTGAGAGCAACCACTCAGATTAGAGAAAAAGGATGGAGGGTTATTGGGGGGGGTGGTTTTGAGGGGAACAAATAAAAATGAAGTATTTGGTGTGTTTGAATGTTTGGAAAAAAATGAACAGAACAAATGTGTTGGACTCAGAAAAAATAGTGATAGGTAAATGAAAAACTAAGCAAATGAAACAAATGATAACTATTAACTTCAGAAAATAACATTTTTATAAGCATGGAAACATAAACATAATTACATTACATTATCTGGCTCAGTAATGAAGAATATTTATGTAGTCACAATAATGTTGCAAACACTACGAATATAAATATATATTCATACGGGGAAAGGAAAGTATGTGTGGTGGGGAAGGAGAGTGGGGAGGATGCGGGGAAGGCTGATGGTGCAAGCAAGCCAAAGTCTCAGTTACTATAATAGGAATTCAAATGATAGTCTTGATAATTTATCAGTCAGGAAATATCCAAATAAGCTTAATATTTAGATGAGAACAAGCTACTAAAAGAATTGGAACAGGCCAGGTGAAGTGGCTTACGCCTGTAATCTCAGCACTTTGGGAGGCCTAGGCAGGTGATTGTTTGAGCCCAGGAGTTTGAGACAAGCCTGGGCAACACAGACAGAGCTCGTCTCTGCTAAAAAAAAAAAAAAAAAAAAAAAAAAATTAACTGAGCATGATGGCGTGCACCTGTAATCCCAGCTATTTGGGAGGCTGAGGTGAGAGAATTGCTTTAGCCTGCAGTGAGCTGTGATCGTGCTACTGCACTCCAGTCTGGGTTACAGAGTGAGACCCTGTCACAAACAAACAAACAAACAAATAAGAGTGGCTTGTGGAGTATGGAACTAGAGCAAGCGTTGACAATTTTTTTTTTTCTGTAAAGCACTAGAAAGTAAATATTTTAGGTCTTGTGGACCACATAGTCTTTGCTATTATAGGGTGAAAGCAGCCATTAACAATCCGTAAATGAGTGGACACGGCTGTGTTCCAGTAGAATTTTATTTACAGAGACAGATGGTGGGTTGAATTTGCCCTGTGGGCCATAGTTTACTAACCTCTAGACTAGAGGGCAAAAGAGGGTGGCAGAGGGATGACTTTTTTCTTTTGAATCCAAGCTTAGTTTTTGGACTTGGCTGTCTTTTTTGTTGTTGTTGTTGACTGTAATGTAAACATAAGAGAGTAATCTTCCATCTGACTCCTCACATTAGTCCCCTCTTCTCCTTTTCTCCTTTTTCATGTCTGAGATTCTAGTTTAGGCTCTTCCCTGAACTATTACAGTAACTTATTAACCCCAATATTTGACTTCCAGAATGTGCATCCAATCTATCTTTATTTGTAAAGAGTTTGTGCTACTTGATCTACTCACCATTCTCCAAATGTTGATCCTGATTTCTTGCTTCTGTGCTTTTTGCTGTTCCTCCTGGAAATGTTCTCCTTCTTTGCCATCTCAGCTTTTCAAAACTGTGTATATCTTTCCAAGTTTTACCTGAAATAACTGCTTCCCTAAGAAACTGTTCCTGGTTTCTCTCCACCAGCCTCCAAACTCCCATCCAACTAGCCAACCAGAGGTGATTTGCCTCTTCTTTGGGAGAGACTGAGTTTGGAGTCAGTCTTGAATTTGAATCTGTACCCTACAATATACTTGGTATATGATCTTGAAAAATATTTTTGATCTGCCTGAGGCTTTTTCTCATGTATAAATATTTCATATGGCTCTTAAGAGGGTTAAAAGTGGTTTAATTTGTTTTCTTATCTTCATTTGGCTTTCCACAATTAATATAGCTCAACCTCACAGTATAGTCATTTGTGTGCTTCTCCTATCCCCCAACACTTAGCAGCTGGGCTCAGATTGTGTCTTCCCCATCTTAAATATCCTGAAGCCATGATCGGAAAGTATTGATCTGATTGAATGCAATTGAATTAAGAATGACATATTTACAGTGCTGATCCTTAGCTGAAGCATTCTGATTTTATGGTAAAATTAGAGAAATTTTGTATTCTCCAGTTTGCCTGTTTCCTAATCTCTGTTACATCGTCTATTTTTATTAGTTCATATCTGTTTTCTCCTACATTGCAAAGGAGGTGCGATGTTGGGGAGGAGAATAGAGTGACTTGATTTTTCCTTTGATGGGAACTAAGCCATATGTTTATATTGAGTCAGCTACTCCAGCCTCTGAATTCTCAATCAGATGGTCAGCAGTGTTTAATTGAATTCCCAATATGTGCAAGGCTACGCTAGGTGCTGTCACTCCAGGGAGATGTAACCATCTGGAGGAACTTTTTCAAAGAGCCTAGAATATGTTTCTTTGTATCTAAATTAAAATGATACTAATTTTGGCAAAGTAAATAGTTGGCATAAAAGGTGTCTTTTGCCTCTGCCTTTTTTTTTCTTTTTTTTTTTAATTCTTTCTTCAAATCTCCAATAAAAGGCATCCTTCTTTTTTTTTGCTATGGCCAGGATGGCATACTTTTTCCTTGATTTCTTTCCTTCCTATTTATAGGTAATTTGTGTAATACAAGGTTCTATTTAAAATCTTCTTCAAGGTCTTTTCGCTTTTGGATCTTTTTCAACTTTAAATGTGTACATGTGGTAGGCAGAATCCTAAGATGGCCCTCTAAGATTTCTGCCATAATTTCTAGGACTGTAAATATGATGGCTGTTACTTCCATAATTATGTTAGGTTACACAGCACAAGGGGTTTTGAGATATAATTGAGGTTCCTAATCAGTTGACCTTAAGGTAGGGAGGTTATCTGGGTCTAATACAGTCACATGGGCCTTTGAACAGATTTGTTTCTAGCTGCTATTAGAAGAAGAAGTCAGGGACATTCAAAATATGATAAAGGTCCAGTGCACCATTGCTGACTTTGAAGATGGAGATGAGCACATGCAGGGCCAGAGAACAGCATCTAGGAGTTGTGAGCAACCTCCAGCCAATAGCCAGCAAGGAAATGGGGACTTCAGTCCTATTTGCTGTGTGGAACTGAATTCTGCCAACCACCTGAATATGCCCGGAGGTCTTATTCTCTAGAACTTCCAGATAAGAGCCCAGTTTGGTTGACACCTTGATGCTGGCTTTGTGAGACTTGAAGCAGAGACCCCAGCTAAGCTCACTCAGACTTCTGACCTACAAAACCGTGAGATAATAAGTTTGTAATAATTTGTTTTGTGGCAACAGAAAACTGATATAGCACTGATATAGCACTGATATAGAAACCTATATATATAGGTCTTCTGTATTAGGAAATGAATTCTATTTCCTGCTCCACTAGTTGTTGCTCTATTTTTTATTCTTTTCATTGTTACGTTTCTAAACTCAATGATTTAAACTCACTGTCTCAATTTTCTTGCCACTTGTTTTTTCCTGAACTCCCATGCCTCTGTCTCCCTGGTGTCCAAAAATGGCTTCATGATGACTAGCCTTCTTAGTAAACTTAGAGACCTCAGATCTCATTTCCTTTGGTGTTTTGTATTGCACTTGATTTTTCTCCCCTGAAATTTTCTTTTCTGTTTTTTTTTTTTTTGTATTACTTTATGATTCTGTATCCCCCTCCCCAGTGCTTTTGTCTTCTTCACAAACCTTGCTGACCAGTATCAGAGTTGAATTTAGGACCTATTTCAGGGAACTGGAAAAGGTAAATAAGAAAACAGGATTTGAAGAGAAGAGTCTTTGGAGCAGTACAACTTAATTTTCCTAGGCAGCTTTGTTAGCATAAGACTCTTCCTAAAGAGCCACAGGTCCTCCTTGGCCATTTTCCTGTAGTCATTATATAGATCAATTACCTACTGCCCCAGTAGTGCTTCCTAACAAACCACCACAAACTTGCTGTCTTAAAAACATAATCATTTGTCATTTATGCTGCAGGCTTGGTGGGTCGTGGTTCTGCATGTTGCAGATTGTTGCAATATGTGTTTGCAGTGGTGGTAGTACTCCATGTATTTCTGTCCTCCTTTGTGGAATGGTCTAGCCATGCCATGTTCTTCTCATGCCCATAGCAGAGGTGCAAGGGGGAAACTGTTAACATGTAAGGGCTCTTTAAGGCTTGGCTTTGGAACTGGCATATACTGTCAATTCCAGCTCATTCTGTTAGCCAAGCAAATCACATGGCCAAAGTGTAAACCAAAGAGTGGGAGAAAACACTCAGATATAGATGGAATCATATCCATTGCCCAAAATTTCATATATTGAAGCCCTGACCCCCAATGTGATGGTATTTGGGGATGGGGCCTTTGAGATATAATTAGGTTTAGATGAGGTCATGAGGGTAGGGCCCTCATGATGGGCTTAGAGCTTTTATAGGAAGAGACACCAGAGAGCTTGCTCTCTTTCTCTCTTTGTCATGTGAGGACACAGCGAGAAGGTGGCCATCTGCACACCAGAACTCTACCATGCTGGCACCCTGATCTCAGATTTGCAGCCTCCAGAAATGTGAGAAAATAAATTTCTGTTTAATAATCCACCCAGTCTATGGTATTTTGTGCAAGGCTTACATATCTGATAAAGGTCACTGATCTAGCCAAGAATGGAGAATTGGGGCAAAAAATGCATGCTGTCAGAGACATTGAGTAGTATCTCATATTCTCTCCTCCTCCTTTCCCCACTCAGAGCAAGAATGTCTACTCTTTCTGGTCTTTTTAAAAACTCTGTCTATATCCTGTATTAATCATTACAGGTTAGGTTATCCTTCCATAACAAACAACCTCCAATTTCTCAGTGAGTTAACACCACCAGAGTGGATCTGGGGGATTCTCCATGGCAGCCTCCCTCCAGATATTGGCTCTGCATTCTACACTGTACCTGTCTATAACACCTCCATGGTAACAAGTGATTGCCATGGCAGGTTCGGGGAGCCAAACACCAGCAATTAAATGCTTTGGTCCCAAAGTGACACATTATCATTCTTGTTTGGGCAGAACTAGAGGAGAACCACGTATTGGTGAACATCAGTTATGATGTCTACTCTCTCTCCTCCCAGGCCTGTTTTCTTCTCTGGGCTTCATTTCTTCCTGCAACAGGGGAAATTGAGCTAGAGAACTTTCTGCTCAGTCTGTGTTCCACGTCACCAACAGTCTCGCAGCTGCTTTGCCTTGCTGCCTTGGTGTTCTGGATTAAGTGCCCATGACCTCCACAAGAGTCACCTAATTTATGAGAAATATCTGTGGGCATCCCTGAGGACTTGCCTCGCAGACCTGGCTCATTATATTGTGAGACAATTGCTTTTGAAGAATGAAATATATCCACCTTAATTTGGTGTCTGAGATTTTCTAATTCTAGCCCAAATTTGTTTTCAAGGATCATCTACTACTACAAACTTCAATCTAAACTGACACCGTGCTGTTACTTAGATATAACCTCAGCCTTAATCTCATACTACTTTTGTTTTTGTCCACTTTGCTGTAGCCACATTGGCTTTTTTTTTTTTTTTCTGGTTTTACAAACACGCCAAGCTTGTTCCTACTTCAGGGCCTTTGCACCTGGTATTTCCTTTGGCATATTCTTCCTCAGCTCCACTCTATTTTATCACTTTCTTCCCAGGTTAAATGTCATCACCTCAGAATGGCCTTTACTACCTTACCTGGAATGTTTCCCCTCCAGTCCCCATAGCACATCACCTTCACATCACTTACCTCTAACAGAAATCATTTCATATCTTTGTCTTTGTTTATTGTCTGTCTTTCCCAACTGGAATGTAAACCCTCTTAGGGTAGGGGCCTCCTCTGAATTTTTCACTGTTGTAACCCTGGCACTTAGAAGAGTGGTTGGCACATATTTGCTTAGTAAAATTAGCTGCTAAGTTGATGCTGGCTTCTCAGCTTTTGGCTTCCTTCACCTGGCTACCTCTCCCCATCCCCATTTCAGCATGTCTAAATCTTACACATTCTCCAAAGTCAGCTTAAAGGCCAGCTTCTTCTTGAGTTTTTCACTTATCTATGTCTCCAGTTTTTCCCTAGCAATCCCTAGCAAGAAGGCATCTCTTGCCTCCTCTGAACATTCATAATATCCAACAAAAATATTTCTAGGTATCATTCTCAAAGGACTACAATACTTTTCAGATTCAGTATGCTTCTTAATCTCACAACAACCCAGTGATAAAGTCCTTATAGATTAAGAATCTTGGAGAGGTCCTGCAACTTGTAAGAAATCCCCTCATGCCTGGAAGTCTTGTGTTTTGCCTGCGAGTCCAGCACCCATTCCTCCACATTACAAGTGACATTCATTTCCCCCACACATGTAGGTTATACACAAATAAAATAAAGTGTAATCCTTGTCCCAGTAAGAACAACATCACATTGTATCTAGCTCTGTCCTTCCATGTCTGTGTGGCTAGGAGGAGGTGAGTATTGATTTTCATGGGAACCCTGAGGAGCAGCATCTGACGGCCAAGGGCCACTGGGAAGGAGGCCTTCCAGGAGGAGATGCACTGTGAGTCTAGTTTCAAAGGAAGAGAAGTCAGCCAGATTGATACGAAAAGATGGAAACTCAGGGTTGATACAGCCACAGGGGCAAACTTGCAGAAAGGATATTCGCTGGGCCTAGGCCCAAGAATTCCCTTATTGGTGACTGTTGCTCAAGTCATAGGCCCCTCTCACTTAATTCTGGAGCATGAAGATGGGGTAAATTTGGATGCTGCTGAGAGGAAGAGTGCCCTTATGCTCCCAGGCTGCTAAGATCTCTTGAAGTTTAGGGGCTGATGAAGAGAAAATAACCTTGGGTGGAGGAGTGGGGAAAGGATTTATAGGAGAAGGAGCAGGAGTTGAACAATGAGAACATATGGGCACAGGGAGGGGAACATCACACACTGGGGCCTGTCGCGGGGTGGGGGCTAGGGGAGGGATAGCATTAGGAGAAATACCTAATGTAGATGATGGGTTGATGGGTGCAGCAAACCACCATGGCATATGTATACCTATGTAACCTGCATGTTCTGCACATGTATCCCAGAACTTAAAGTATAATTTAAAAAAAAGAGAATGAGTTGTAGTTTCAAAGCTTAGAACCATGAACAGTGATATGTTTCAGCTGTGTCCCCACCCAAATCTTGAACTGTAGCTTCCATAATCCCCGCATGTTGTGGCAGGGACCTGGTGGGGGGTAATTGAATCATGGGGGTGGGTCTTTCCCATACTGTTCTCATGATAGTGAGTAAGTCTCACGAGATCTGGTTTTATAAAGGGGAGTTCTCTTACACAAGTTTTCTCTTGCCTGCTGCCATGCAGGACATGACTTTGCTCCTCCTTTGCCTTCTGCCATGATTGTGAGTCCTCCCCAGCCATGTGGAACTGAGAGTCAGTTAAACCTCTTTCCTTTATAAATTACCCAGTGTTGTGTATATCTTTATTAGCAGCGTGAGAACTGACTAATACAGACAGCTAAAGCCAGAAGAGTGGAGAAAGGGCACAGTCTCTGGTATCTGCACTGGGCAGGTCTTATTTTGTGCTGCAGTTTTATAACCGTTTTACTTGTGCCTACAGTGACATCTAATTTGTAATTAGGATGGTTTTACTTGAAATTATCAAAAAGCTCGGCTTAAATGGCCTTAAACAAAGAAAGAGATGTTTTGGATCATGTAACTGAAAAGTCCAAAGAAAGGATGGGTTTCAGATGTGGTTTGATCAGAGTTTCATTTTTTACAGCCATAATTCTCTCAGCTCAATCCTCCTCTATGTTGCCTTCAGCACAAGTGGGCTTCTTTCAGGTAGCAAAATGTATGCAACAGTTCCCGACCTCACCTCAGCACATTTTGTCGATCAGGATTGTCCTCTTTTCCATTTAATCAAAGTCCCAGGTTTCATTCTGATAGGACCAACTTAGGTTGTGTGGTCATTCGTGAATCAAATACCCTGATAACACAGATAAGATGATGCTGATTTCTGAGACCATTGGTAGCAGTGGAATTAATTCCATCCAAACTCTGTGGCTGTTCTGCAACAACAGGGTAGAATAAAGGCATTCTACCCTGTCCACTGTATTCTTCCTTTTCCTCTGGAAGCTTAGACATACAAGCTCCATGAGCTTGGGATCCTACCTAGCTTGTTCTCCGGTGTATATTCTCCAGTTTTGAGTTTATGGTGGGCATTCAATAAATACTTATTGAATGAATACATCAAGTATTTTATGCATCTTTGATTTATGCCTTTACTGGATCTTCTATCTCTGCTCTTTCCTGTTCTAAAAAAAATGTTGCTTTTTTTGTCCACTTTTTCTCCAACAAAAGACATACTCATATAATCTTTCCTTAGCCTAAATTTTTTTCTTCCTTCTGTTGTCCCTCAAGCTATTGTTCCATCATTTTCTTTTCCTTCATTTTCAGACTTCAAGAGAGCAGTTTGTTCCAGCTATCTCCACTGCCTCACCATTCACTGATACCTTAACTCCTTGCAAACTGAGTTTTCCCTTATCACTCTGCTGCTCTCTCAAATATCACTAATACATTTCTTTTATTCCCAAATCCAGTGGCCTTTTTGTCAGTCCTAATTTTCCGTGATTTCTCTGTTGCAAATAATGCTGTTGATGGTCCATGCTTCTGGAAACACTTATTGTTGTCCTGATGATCCTTTTGCCTCTGATTGCTCTCCTCTTTCCTGGTTTGGCTTGGTTTGATTTTCTGATAATTTTCTCTTAATTCTTCCCTTTGCCTTCTCTCATCTCGTTAAATATGGATCATCTCCAAGGTTCTACATGTTTCACCCTTTCTTACCTTGTCTGCTCTCAATTTCAGCTCTCATATTTATGCTAGATGCCTTTCAAATCATAAGCCCTAATCTGTGCTCTGTCCTCCAGTTCTGAATTTGCAACTAATTCAGGAACATTTTCACTTGCGTATTCCACACAAAGACAGTGTGTCAGAATCTGTCCATACCGTCCTCCCTGTCCACCTTCTTCTGTTTTGTTCTTCCATTCTCTGCATGGTGATGCCATCCTCTTAGTTTCTGTTCTCAAAATTTAAGAGAGGCATTGACTTCTCCCTTTCTTCATTTATTGTGTTATTCTGAAAGGGCTGAAATAAAGTCTACCATATTCTACATTTTCAAACTGTCTTTTAAAATTCAACTTAAATGCTCCTTCCTCTATGATGCCTTTCCTTATCTTAGCTAGGAGATCAGTTTTCAATCAGTTTTTCTTATTGAGATGACAGATTGACTCTCAACTCTGAGGTGAAGGACTACAGCTTATTTTATTTTTCCTGTCTCCAGCTCCTGGCAGTGTCTGGTAGATATGTAGTAGTTGCTCAAAAGATGTTTGTGGAATGGATAACTAACTGATTGTTCTATTGATTTTATCTGTTTAATATCCCTGTCGTTATTTTTTTTTTTAACTTTCTATTCCCACTGCCTTTATTCTACTTCAGGTCCTTGTTATCTTTGATCTAGACTCCTATAATGATCTCTTGACTTCTTCATTTTATCTTTTTTGTAGTCTGCCATGTACATTACTTTTAGATATACTTTTGAAAGCACAGATCTAGTTATGTCACTACATTCCATAAAGATCTTCAGTGACTCCTTATTTCCAACCAAATAAACATTCTTCAGTTTGACTTTTCAAGGTCTTCTGTCATTTCACCTTAAGTGATCTTTTGTTCTTCATGTCCCTGTCTTCTATATTTACTAGGCAAATTGAGCGATTTGTCCTCTATATTCCTGCCTCTGTTTATTTATTCCTTTAATAAATATTTGTTGAACATCTGTGACATACCAGATATTCTGCTAGGTACTAAGGAGACCATTGAAAAAGTATAGTCTCAGCCCTCTCAGAACTTGACATCTATTGAGGAAGAGAGACATTCAATAATTACGTACATAATATTTCATTGCAGTTATGAAGGCATATGCTGCTGCTTTTGATTGAAATGAAGGCTACTATAGTCTGTATTTTCAAATTCTATCTTTTAAAATCTAACTTAAATGCCCCTTCCTCTGTGATGCCCTTCCTTATCTTAGCTAGAAGTCGTCTTTCACCCTCTAAGCTCTGGTCCCACTTTACTTGTATCTTCTCATGACTCATCTCATGCTTTGCTTTGTATTATTATGTGTGAATATTCTTTCTCTTACAAGGCATTTAAATTGTTAGTGTGGAATTTGAATCACTTTCAACTTTGCGTATCTTAGTATCTTTCTCATAGCAAGTTGGAAGCGTTAAGTAAGATGTAATGTGGGATCCATCTTTTCAGGTATTTATTTTAAGTATCATTTTTTTTGGCTTCGTTGATTGGCTGTATGTTCATCAGTTTGATTCATCAGGTATTAGCAGGGGAGAGACCAGGATGTGAATCTTGCCCCTGATAGGAGCGAATAGAGGTAACCTACAGATTATCTTTCATTTACTCTGCCTAGTTTTTTTCCCCCTGAAACCCCCATAAATGTTTTTGTTTTGTTTTATTATTAGCTTCTATATTGCTGATTTTTAACGTTGTTACATTTAGTGCCTTATTGTATCTAGAGGTTATACTGCTTTACATTATTGTACATTTCATTTATTGTCATGCCCTATTTAGGACATTGTGGTGTCAGCCATAGAACTGACCCAGATGTTCACAAACAGGGCACTCAGAGATACCTTGAGGCATTGTGGGAGTATAGATTAGGCTATACTTTGCATGCTCATCTCTGGGCGTATAATCAAGCTTTACTTAGAGTAAATGTGTATTCTTTCCAATTATTTGGCTTTTATTTCTTGCAATTTTTGGAAATGTGCTTATGCATTTACTAATGTTATAAGAATGATTTTGTCACACAACATTGAATATTTTGTCTACCTAAATTGTCAATGAAAGTACGTCTTAACTGTTAATGATTTGCAAAAAGCCTTTTTAACATTGTATACAATTAAAGGAAATTAAAATAACTTTCTCTTAAATGTGCAAACTTAATTTTATTAGCTGTCCATTTGGAACTAGGTTATTGGTTTCATGTTCCCTTTACATGAAAAATTATAGTGAATCTCCTTTTACAAAGGAGAAAATTTCATTACTCTAGGATTATGTCTTATCTCACATTTTATAACACGTAACTAACTGAATTTACTCTTTAAAAGGTGAGCATTAAATAAATACAGTAACAGTTGAACACTTTTCTGCTTCTCAATGTTGAATAATAAAAAGAGAAACCTTGTCATTTGTTTTTAGTTACCTTGATCCTGATAAGATCATGCTAACACATCACTTTCATTCCTTATGTGAAAATATTTATACTACAATGAGCCTGTGATGATGAGACTTCTGGAAGAACAATGGAAAGAACCTTCATGTGGCCGGGCACAGTGGCTCACACTTGTAATCCCAGCACTTTCGAAGGCTGGGGCAGGAGGATTACTATCCTCCAGGAGTTCAAGACTATTCTGGTCAACATAGTGAGACCCCTGTCTCTACAAAAAAGAAAAAATAAAAATTAGCTGGGCATGGTGGCTCACACCTGTAATCCCAGCACTTTGGGAGGCTGAGGTGGGAGGATTGCTTGAGCCCAGGAGTTTGAGACCAGCCTGGGAAACACAGTGAGATCCCATCTCTACAAAAAATAGAAAAGTACCTGGCTGTGGTCACAGTCACCTGTAGTCCTAGATACTCAGGGGCTGAGGCAGAAGAATTCCTTGAGCCCAGTAGGTCGAGGCTGCAGTGAGTTATGATTGTGCCACTGCACTCCAGTCTAGGTGACAGAGCAAGACCCTGTCTCAAAAGAAATTTTTTAAAAAAGAACCTTCAGATGATATATAAGCCTACTCTGGTTTGTTTGTAATGAATGCAGGCCCCCAAATAAGCTATTGTTTAAGAAAAGGTGGTTATTATATCTGAAAGAAAATAGGAGGCATATATTTTTACTTTTTTGGATTAAGTGGGAATGACAGTTTTCTTCTACACCTTAAGCTTGCCCTCTCTACCAGCGTCTGCGGGGCCGCTTGATCCTTCAAATTTCTCATTTTTACCTAACAGGCCTGATGGCTCATTCTGAGCATTTAGTCGGGAAATGGAAGGTCCTTACTCTCTGAGAATGTACAAGGCAGGAATTAGCAGCTGATCTTTAGTTTTTGATCTGTTAATTGGGCAGCCATACTGGCTATTTTGGCAATATTGGTGGCAAATTGCCGCTTGAATCTTACAAAAGGGTCTGGCTGTGTGACCAACTCTGGTTTTCTCTAGCATGTGGGCTGGGGATTTCATGTCACCAGTGGTGACTGGATGTTCAGAATACTTGAGTTTACCTCTTATGATATGTTAGCAACTTGAATAATATAAGAAGAAAGATGTGTTAGTCATCTATTGTTGTATAACAATATTATCATAAACTTAGTGGCTTAAAGCAATGTGTACTTGTTGTCTCATAGTTTTTGGGGCCAGGAGTCAGGGCACAGCTGACTTGAATCCTCTGCTCAAGGTCTCACAAAGCTTCAATCAACATATTTGCCAGTACTTAGTTCTCAACTGGGGCTCAATTAGGGAAGGAGATGTTTTCAAGCTCATTTCAGCTGTTGGCAGAATTTAATTCCTGTGGTTGTAGGACTGAGGGTTTCAATTTCTTGCTGGCTATCAGTCCAGAGCCAGCTTCAGCAACTAGAATCGTCCTGCAGTTCCTGGCCATATGGCCACTTGCTTCCTTAAAGCCGGTAAAAGACAGAGACTCCAACAAAATGGGTATGACAAGTTTGTGTAACATAATCACATAGTCATGTACATGTATCCCATCTGTCGTGTCACCTTTGCTTATTCTTTTGACTAGAAACAAGCCACAGGTCCTGCCCATACTCAAGGGGAGGGATCACAATGGTGCATGGAAACTAGGAAATGGGGATTATGAGGATTGTGTTCAGAGCCCACCTGACATCAGAAGAGAAAGGAAAATTGGGTCGATTCTGCTCCCAGGATTTTCTTTTCACTTATTATATATAACTTGAGGGCAGGATTCATGACTGATTTATCATGTATCTTCTCTTTGCTACCATCACCCACCTACTAGACAATGTGTTACACTTAGTAGAAACTCAGTTGGTACTTGCAGGCTTAACTGTTATGCTATAAATCTAGTATCAAAGAAAGAAAATAAATACCCCTTTTCTCAGAAGAAGGTATCCTAGTGCTCTACATGTATTTAATTTGGGAGAATACAGATCACCTTGTTAAATCAGTGTAGCAATATGATAGCTGTTTGAAGATTTGGAACCATATGCCACGTTGTCAGGAAAGACTAGCAACTGTATCAGGAGGCCTTCTTTTCATAGTGTTCTACTTCTTTGTCTATCAGCATTGCCTCCCAATCAGCAGGCAAAATTATCAAGGGCTTTTGATTTTTGTCTGTGAGAAGAATATAAGCTGCCAGATCAAAGGAGAAGTGGGTATTTCTAACTCTGAGACTTGTTTTCCTAAATAATCATATTCAACATTGTAGAAATATTAATTATGTGTATACTTATTGACCATGTAGCTGTAGAATTGACATTTTGCTTACACCAAAGCTATGCTGTTTGTTTTTCTTCTTTCTTGGGTAGTTAAGATGGAGGTTACTTTCCAACTTTGGCCTGGCAGAATGGCCCCTGCAGAGAAGGGTGGGAAGAAGAAGGGCTCTCCTGCTGTCAATGAGGTGGTGACACAAGAATACACCATCAACACTCAGAAGCACATCCATGAGTGGGCTTCAAGAAGCATGCCCCTGGGGCACTCAGAGAGATCCAGAAATTTGCCATCATGAAGGAGATGGGAACTCCAGATGTGCGTATTGATAACAGGTTCAACAAAGCTGACTAGGCCTAAGGTTAAGGGATGTCCCATACTGTATCCATATGTGGTTGTCCAGAAACATAATGAGGATGAAGGTTCCCAAGCAAGCTGTATACTTTGGTTACCTATGTACCTGTTTCCACTTTAAAAAATCTATAGTCATTCAGTGTAGATGAGAACAAACTACTGATCATTGAATACATCAAATAAGGTTATAAAACTGCAAAAACAAAGTTGGAAGCTATATAACCATTGAATACTTACACTTTTCTAGTGTGAATTTATGCAAGGTCACAAAAGTAATGGCTGAAAATAGCGGGAAAAAAGTAATAAAGAGGCTAGGTCTTTGTGGAGTGAGGAGGACCTTAGTAAGTTAAATATTAATCTAACAGTAACAGACAAGGCAGCCAAGAGTACAGCAAACAGAGGTAGGAATGGTTTATATTGAATAAAAGACTGCGAAGGGAGAAGTAGATATTCCCAGTCAGTAACATAGGCCTTATAATAAATGAGTACCACAAATAGCCAAAGAGTAGACAGTTACCAAATATGGGAGGTTTCTCAGTTGCAACTGTAATTATCCATTTTTTTAAGAGATGGGGTCTTGCCATATTGGCCAGGCTGGTCCTGAACTCCTGGCCTCAAGTGATCCTCCCATCTTGACCTCCCAAAGTGCTGGGATTACAGGTGTGAGCCACTGTGCCTGGCCTAATTATCCCTGTGTATTTTACAAGTAGCATAACGTTTGGAGACAGAAATATAGGATGGAAAACTATTTAATTTTGGCTTAGCTTTTGAGAATTTTTGTTCTCATCTTCTGTTACCAGCTATGCTTGGCAGAATTCTAGGATGGCTCCCAAGATTCTCACCTGATATGGTTTGGCTCCATGTCCCCACCCAAATCTCACCTTGGATTGTAATCCTCATAATCCCCATACATCCAGGGCAGGACCAGGTGGAGGTAATCAGATCATGGGGTTGGTTTCCCCCATGCTGTTCTTGTGATAGTGAGTCTCGCAAAATCTGATCATTTTATAAACATCTGGCATTTCCCCTGCTTGCACTCATTCTTTCTCCTGCTGCCCTGTGAGGAGGTGCCTTCTGCCATGATTGTAAGTTTCCTGAGGCCTCAGCCATGCGGAACTGTGAGTCAATTAAACTTCTTTTCTTTATAAATTATCCAGTGTCAGGTATTTCCTTATAGCAATGTGAGAATGGACTAATACGTCATCCTATAGGGTACACATCCTGTAGAGTCACTTGTGATGAGGTCACTAATCAGTTGACTTTAAGTCAGTTAAGAGGGCCATTATCTGGGTGGGCCTGATCTAATCAAGTGAGCCTTTAAAAGGGATTGGGTTTTCTCTGAAGTTAGAAAGATTCAAATCTTGGGAGCATTAGAGGGCTTATTGAGGGACTACTAGGCAGGGAATCGCTGGTGGCATCTAGAAGTTGAGAGTGGCTCCTGACTGACAGCAAGAAAATGGGTGAGTGTCTGTCTTAAAACTGCAGGGAAATGAATTATGTCAGCAACCAGTGATGTTAAAAGAGGGCCCTATGCTTAAGAGGAAACCATAGTCTTGGTGGACATTTTGATTTCAGCCTGTGAGACCCTGTGTAGAGGACCTAGCTAATTCAGACTCCTGACCACAAAACCTGTGAGATGGTAAATGTGCGTTCTTTAAGATGCTAACTGTATAGTTTTTTTTTTTTTTTGTCAGGCATCTACAGAAAAAGAACACATCCTTATATGCAGCCTAAGCTTCTAAACTATCACTTTTCTAAACACGCCCCATCCCTTCCCAACTTTGTGGCTATAGTCAGGTGTTCTCTTCCCTGGAATGATTTTTGTTATATATCTATTCTACCCATCCATCTCATGGACCACCCCCTTATTGGTACTTACTCTGCTTCTGTAGGTGAATAGGATCTTTCTATCCTTTGAATATCAAGTGTAATTTATATCTCTTACGTTTAACTTTGTTTTGTAAAAGTTATTTTATATATGGTTTATGCTTTTTAATTTATTTATCGGAATAGAAAGGACTGTATATACATTCAAATATTCCAACAGTGGGAAATAGTATATAATGAAAATTAAGTGCTCTTATCCCAGATCACCAGTCCCCCAGTCCTCTGACCCAAAGGCAATCATTCTTTTTGGTTTTCACATATCCTTCTGTAGAGATTCTATACTTAGACAAGCATTTATGTACATATCTCCTCCCTCCTTTATATACAAAATTAATGTGTTTATCCTCTCTTCATTGTGAGATGTTTGAAGAATCCATGTCTTTTTTTCTTTTTTGTATTAATCTCCTAAAGTACCAAAGTATTTAAGACCTACTGAATTTAATCTTTTTCACCAAGTTGGTTTTCGAAAGATAAACAAAATTGGGAAACCTTTAGCCAGACTAAGAAAAAGAGAAGATCCAGTAAAATCAGAGATGAAAAAACAGACATTATGATGTATACTGCAGAAATTCAAAAGATCATTAGAGACTAGTGTGAGCAGCTATATACCAAAAAAATTGGAATAGTTAGAAGAAATGGATAAATTCCTAATCACATACCCTACCAAGATTTAACCATGAAGAAATCCAAAACTTGAACAGACCAATAACAACTGACAAGACTGAGCTGTAATAAAAAGTCTCCCAGCAAAGAGAAGCCGAGGATCCAATGACTTCACTGCTAAATTTTACCAAACATTTAAAGAAAAATTAATACCAGCTCTACTCAAACTATTCTGAAAAATGGAAGTAGTTTCTCCTTCCAGGTTCATTCTGCAAGGTCAGTATTACCTTGATACCAAAACCAGACAAAGATACATCAAAAAAAGAAAACTACAGGCCAGTATTACTGATGAACATTGATGCAGAAATCCTCAACAAAACACTAGCAAGCCAAATCTAACAACACATCAAAAAGATCATTTATCATGACCAAGTGGGATTTATCCCAGGGAGGTAAGGATGGTTCAACATGCACAGATCAATCACTGTGATACATCATATCAACAGAATGAAGGACAAAAACTATATGATCATTTCATTAGATACTGAGAAAAACTATATGATCATTTCATTTGATACTGAAAAAACATTTGATAAAATTCAACATCCCTTCATGATAAAACCCTCAAAACACTTGGAATAGAAGGAACATACTTGAACACAGTAAAAGCAATATACAACAGACCCACAGCTAGTATCTTACTGAATGGGGAAAAATGGAAAACCTTTCCCATAAAATCTAGAACAAGACAAAGATGCTTCCTTTCACTACTGTTATTCAACATGGTACTGCAAGTCCCAGCTAAGCAATCAGACAAGAGAAAGAAAGAAAGAGCATCCAAAATGGAAAGGAAGAAGTCAAATTATCCTTGTTTGCAGATGATATAGTCTTATATTTAGAAAAACCTGAAGCCCCCACCAAAAAACTATTAGAACTGATAAACACATTCAGTAAAGTTGCAGAATACAAAACCAACATAAAAAATCAGTAGTGTTCTATATGCCAGGGTGAACAGTCTTAAAAAGAAATCAAGAAAGTAATCTCATAAAAAAATACCCAGGAATAAACTTAACCAAAGATGTGAAAGATTTCTACAGTGAAAACTATACAACACTGATGCAAGAAATTGAAGAGGACATGGAAAAATGGAAAAATATTTCATGTTCATGGATTGGAAGAATCACTATTGTCAAAATGTCCATACTACCCAAAGCAGTCTACAGATTCAATGTAATCCCTATCAAAATACCAGTGATATTCTTCACAGAAACATAAAAAATAATCCTAAAATTTATATGGAACCACAAAGGACCCAAAATAGACAAAGCCATCCCAAGCAAAATGAACAAAACCGGAGGAATCACATTATCTGAATTCAAATTATACTACAGAGCTATAGTGACCAACACAGCACAGTACTGGCATAAAAACAGACACAGACCAATGGAACAGAATAGAGAACCCAGAAACAAATCCACACACCTACAGTGAACTCATTTTTGACAAAGGTGCCAGAACGTACATTGGGGAAAAAGACAGTCTCTTCAGTAAATGGTGCTGGGAAAACTTGATATCCATATGCACAAGAATGAAACTGGACCCCTATCTCTTGCCATCTAAAAAAATCAAATCAGAATGGATTAAAGACTTTAAGACCCCAGACTATGAAATTGGTACAAGAAAATTTTGTAGAAACTCTTCAGGACATTGGACTGGGCAAAGATTTCTTGAGTAATACCTCACAAGCACAGGCAACCAAAGCAAACATGGACAAATGGGATCACATCAAGTTAAAAAGCTTCTGCACAGTAAAGGAAACAATGAAGAGACAATCCACAGAATGAGAGAAAATATTTGCAAACTATCCATCTGACAAGGGATTAATAACCAGAATATATAAGGAGCTCAAACAACTCTATGGGAAAAAAATCTAGTAATTCAATTAAAATATTGGCAAAATATTTGAAAAGACATTTATCAAAAGAAGACATACAAATGGCAGACAGGCATATGAAAAGATGTTCAACATCACTGATCATCAGAGAAATGCAAATCAAAACTACAAGGAGATATCATTTCACCCCAGTTACAATGGCTTACCTCCAAAAGACAGGCAATAATGAATGCTGTAGAAGATGTGGAGAAAAGGGAACATTTGTATGCTGTTGGTGGGAATGTAAATTAGTAGAGCCACTATGGAGAACAGTATGGAGGTTCCTCAAACAACTAGAAATATAGAGAAATACCATATGATCCAGCAATCCCATTGCTAAGTATATGCCCAAAAGAAAAGAAATCAATATATCAAAGACATATTTACACCCCCATGTTTATTGCAGCACTATTCCCAATAGCCAAAATTTGGAATCAACCTAAGTGTCCATCAACAGACAAATAGATGAAGAAAATGTGTCACGTATACACAATGTAGTATTATTCAATTGTAAATAATGAGATCCTGTAATTTGCAACAACATGGATGGAATTGGAAGACGTTATGTCAAGTGAAATAAGCCAGGCACAGAAAGAGAAACTTTGCATGTTCTCACTCATTTGCTGAAGCTAAAAATGAAAACAATTGAACTCATGAATATAAGAGAGTAGGATGATGGTTACCAGAGGCTGGGAAGGGGAGTAGGGCAGTGGGGATGGTTAATGGGTACAAAAATATAATTAGAGGGAATGAATAAGACCTAGCATTTGATAGCACAACAGGGTGACTACAGTCAACATTAATTTATTATATATTTTAAAATAACTAGAGTATAATTGGAATGTTTGTAACACAAAGAAATAAATGCTTGAGGTGATGGATACCCTGTTTACCCTGATGTGATTATTACACACTGTATTTCTGTATCAAAATTTCTCATGTACCCCATAAATACATACACTATGTACCCATAAAAATAAAACATTCTTTTCCACAAACCTTTCATTGATGTTGCTTATATTAACTCTAATTTTATTTTGATAGACACATTAATTAAAATGTTCTCCTTAATATAGACTCAAAACTTTTTAGAATATTTCACTGTTTAGAATGAATGCTTCTATATAGCAGAAAATATCAAAGTTTCATAATTACAAGACATATTTCCTGGGTTAGAACTGCGTAGAGGAATATTTGTGAATTGGATATTACTATCAGCATGTGTACCCTTTCTGTTTTGGTAATCCCTCTGTCATTCTCTTTTTTTTTAAATTTTATTATTATTATACTTTAAGTTTTAGGGTACATGTGCACAACGTGCAGGTTTGTTACATATGTATACATGTGCCACGTTGGTGTGCTGCAACCATTAACTCATCATTTAGCATTAGGTATATCTCCTAATGCTATCCCTCCCCTCTCCCCCGACCCCACAACAGTCCCTGGTGTGTGATGTTCCCCTTCCTGTGTCCGTGTGTTCTCATTGTTCAATTCCACCTATGAGTGAGAACATGCAGTGTTCGGTTTTTTGTCCTTGTGATAGTTTGCTGAGAATGATGGTTTCCAGTTTCATCCATGTCCCTACAAAGGACATGAACTCATCATTTTTATGGCTGCATAGTATTCCATGGTGTATGTGTGCCACATTTTCTTAATCCAGTCTATCATTGTTGGACATTTGGGTTGGTTCCAAGTCTTTGCTATTGTGAATAGTGCCGCTATAAACATACCTTCGCATGTGTCTTTATAGCAGCATGATTTGTAATCCTTTGGGTATATACCCAGTAATGGGATGGCTGGGTCAAATGGTACTTCTAGTTCTAGATCCCTGAGGAATCACCACACTGACTTCCACAATGGTTGAACTAGTTTACAGTCCCACCAACAGTGTAAAAGTATTCCTATTTCTCCACATCCTTTCCGGCACCTGTTGTTTCCTGACTTTTTAATGATCGCCATTCTAACTGGTGTGAGATGGTATCTCATTGTGGTTTTGATTTGCATTTCTCTGATGGCCAGTGATGATGAAGCATTCCCTTTGAAAACGGGCACAAGACAGGGATGCCCTCTCTCACCACTCCTGTTCAACATAGTGTTGGAAGTTCTGGCCAGGGCAATCAGGCAGGAGAAGGAAATAGAGGATATTCGATTAGGAAAAGAAGAAGTCAAATTGTCCCTGTTTGCAGATGACATGATTGTATATCTAGAAAACCCCATTGTCTCAGCCCAAAATCTCCTCAAGCTGATAAGCAACTTCAGCAAAGTCTCAGTATACAAAATCAATGTACAAAAATCACAAGCATTCTTATACACCAATAACAGACAAACAGAGAGCCAAATCATGAGTGAACTCCCATTCACAATTGCTTCAAAGAGAATAAAATACCTAGGAATCCAACTTACAAGGGATGTGAAGGACTTCTTCAAGGAGAACTACAAACCACTGCTCAACGAAATAAAAGAGGATACAAACAAATGGAAGAACATTCCATGCTCATGGGTAGGAAGAATCAATATTGTGAAAATGGCCATACGGCCCCAGGTAATTTATAGATTCAATGCCATCCCCATCAAGCTACCAATGACTTTCTTCACAGAATTGGAAAAAACTACTTTAAAGTTCATGTGGAACCAAAAAAGAGCCTGCATTGCCAAGTCAATCCTAAGCCAAAAGAACAAAGCTGGAGGCATCATGCTACCTGACTTCAAACTATACTACAAGGCTACAGTAACCAAAACAGCATGGTACTGGTACCAAAACAGAGATATAGACCAATGGAACAGAACAGAGCCCTCAGAAATAATGCCGCATATCTGCAACTATCTGATCTTTGACAAACCTGAGAAAAACAAGCAATGGGGAAAGGATTCCCTTTTTAATAAATGGTGTTGGGAAAACTGGCTAGCCACATGTAGAAGGCTGAAACTGGATCCCTTCCTTACACCTTATACAAAAATTAATTCAAGATGGATTAAAGACTTAAATGTTAGACCTAAAACCATAAAAACCCTAGAAGAAAACCTAGGCAATACCATTCAGAACATAGGCATGGGCAAGGACTTCATGTCTAAAACACCAAAAGCAATGGCAACAAAAGCCAAAATTGACAAATGGGACCTAATTAAACTAAAAAGCTTCTGCACAGCAAAAGAAACTACCATCAGAGTGAACAGGCAACCTACAGAATGGGAGAAAATTTTTGCAACCTACTCATCTGACAAAGGGCTAATATCCAGAATCTACAATGAACTCAAACAAATTTACAAGAACAAAACAAACCACCCCATCAACAAGTGGGCGAAGGATATGAACAGACACTTCTCAAAAGAAGACATTTATGCAGCCAAAAAACACATGAAAAAAAATCCCTCTGTCATTCTCTTAACTGAGTGGTTATTGTGTGAAGAGTCTTAATGGCAATGAGATTGAGAACATTGCAATAGGATAAGAGGTTTTTCACTTATATAAGAATTTATGAAAATTAGTTCTGTGAGCTGAACCTGAAATATTGTATTCATTACCTGTTCTCATGATGCTGTTGGACAAATGAAGCTTATAATATTTCCTGCAATTGTATAATATTAAAGCAACAGAAAAATCTAACCTTTCCAATCTGTGAGCATGATTCTGGGGCCTGAAATTTTTATTAATACTTCTACTAACTAGTTTACTTATCACTCCCTAGTTCCTTTAGTGGCCTTATATAGAGTCTGTTGATCACTTCCAAGCCTGCTTTTCCTCTCTTACCTATTCTAGGATTATCTGATTCCCTTTCGTAGTTGGTAAAATTAGTAAGAGTGAAAAAGAAAAGTCACCTGGAGTTACGATCCTGAGAGGGTTTATACCCTTTGTGACTAAGTTCTCATCAAGTTTGTTTTTGAAGTGTATATGTGTGTTAGCTTTTTATATTCTCTCTTACTTTCTGCTTATTCACAATTATGCTACTTAGCACATCATTCAGGAAAATCTATAAGGGCAATCAAATTAGAGAAAACAACTATTAAAACTTTAATATTTGTCAGCAGCTTTATAAAATAATAGGTGAGGCCAGGCGCGGTGGCTCACGCCTGTAATCCCAGCACTTTGGGAGGCCGAGGCGGGTGGATCATGAGGTCAGGAGATCGAGACCATCCTGGCTAACAAGGTGAAACCCCGTCTCTACTAAAAATACAAAAAATTAGCCGGGCGCGGTGGCGGGCGCCTGTAGTCCCAGCTACTCGGGAGGCTGAGGCAGGAGAATGGCGTGAACCCGGGAAGCGGAGCTTGCAGTGAGCCGAGATTGCGCCACTGCAGTCCGCAGTCCGGCCTGGGCGACAGAGCGAGACTCCGTCTCAAAAAAAAAAAAAAAAAATAAAATAAAATAAAATAATAGGTGGTTGAAGACTTTGAATTCAATTGAATTTGGGTACTGAAGATTGTGTTTATCTCTGAATTTTAATTACCCAAGCCACCATTTTTTTCCTGTTTCTTAGGATAACATTTATATTATTGAGGAGGAAATTCAGGACCAGTTTATCTTTCATGTGTATGAATAACTACTTCATAATTAAGTGTTTTCTATATAACAAGAGTTCTATAAGAAGATAATGAATTTCAGCCTTCAACCAGCTAAGAAAACACTCAATTTAAAACTTAAAAGTGCCAAGAAGATATTTGGTAATGATAACCTCATTTAGTAAATTTGTATGGTTTTCCTTAAAGATTCAGATTACAATATTTTTAGTTATAGTATTATTTTTATATAGCAGTTAAAGTGTTTTTTAAAATTAAAATTAATTTATAAAAATAGTACAAACTTAAAGCAGCATATTCTTGTTTCTTCTTCTTTTTTTTCTTTTAAAGAGATGGGGTATCACTGTGTTGCCCAGGCTAGAGTGCAGTGGTGCCATCATAAGTCACTGCAGTCTCAAACTCCTGGGCCCAAGTGATCCTCCTGCCTTAGCTTCCCAAAGTGCTGGTATTACAGGTGTGAGCCGCTGCTCCTGGTTTATATAACATTTTTAATGGTACCTCATAGTGTTCACCAGAGAACATGGAACTCATTATGATTTCTAATTTTGCTTTCTAATTTGATAAGTCCCTTGTAAAAACAAGCAAAGAGACATTCTTCCTAGGCAATCTTTGCATTTTAAGTAGCTTCAATGTTAATGTTTCTAGGACAAATATGGAACATATATATATTTTTGAATAATATCAATTTATGGCAAACAGATTTTAGAAAACATTTGAATAACTAAGTTTGGTTATTTTTAATATAATTCACAGATTTCTGTAATGATTTACATGCAGTAGGAATTTACTGTGTCTTCTCTAGTTGTGACTGACTGAAACCTAATTCAAACCAGTTTAGGCCAAAAGGGAATTTATTGACTACTGTAAAGGGGTCAGGGAAAGACAGGGTGAGGCTAAGCTTCAGGTATAAATGAGGGAATTAGGTATCAGTAGGATGCTATTTTTTTTTCTTTCAGCTTTTACCTCTGTTTCAGTGTGTCTCCTTCATTTTCTTAGGCCTAACTCCCACACATGGTTGTTGGCAGAGAGGGACTTCAATCAACTCTCTTTCAGTTTCTAAATACAAATTTCAAAAATCTAATTTACATTTATGGCTTCTGATTGGCTCAGCTTGGAGGATATCCAGCCAAACAACTGTAATCCAGAGGGTAGGCAGGATTTCAAAGCTCATGTTCTAACCACAGAATTACAGAGGTGGGGTAGGAATGTGTTTCCACAAGGTAGTAGCATGGGGGAATGGGGACAATGAGAAGACAAGATAGTAAACACAATACTTTTACCTTTTGAAATGAGAGGAGAAAGGGAAAGGTCTGGAACATTTGTAGCTATTTAGGCGGGATGCTTTAGCAGGAGTTAATAAGAGGTCATTTGCAGTGTGTATTAGGGTTCTCCAGAGAAACAGAGCCAATAGGATATGTGCATATGTATATAAAGGCATTTATTATAAGGAATTGGCTTGTGTGATTATGGAGGCTGACAAGTTCCAAGACCTGCAGGATGCAAGATCTGCAAGCTGGAGATCCAGGAGAGCCAGCGATGTGGTTCCATTCTGAAGACCAGCAGGCCTGAGACCCAGGAAGAGCTGATGTTTCAGTTCAAGTCAGAAGGCAGGAAAAAACTGATATCCCATTTTAAAGGCAGTTGGGCTGGAAGAATTTTTTCTTATTCAAGAGAAGGTCAACTTTTTTGTTCTATCCAGACTTTCAACTAATTGGATGAGGCTTACCATGTTAGGGAGGGCAGCCTGCTTTACTCAGTCTACCGATTTAAACACCTTCACCAAATAATGTTTGACTAAGTATCTGGGGACCTTAAATTGACAGATAAAATTAACCTTCGCAAGGTGGTACTTGCTAGAATCTGGGTTGGAGTATGTTTTGTACTTTGCAGTCCTAATATAAGCAAGTTAAAGTTACTATAGAGCAAGTTAAAGTTTAACTGATAAGCATTAAATATATAAATTGGCAACCCAGGTTTTTCTCAATGATTTTCATTCTTACTATATCCAAAATGCATATAACCCTTTATCATTCTATAAAATGGGAAGATATTTGGAATGTGAAATGGGATATATAGGCAACCAATCTTATGATAAATGAATCTGGGGCCCACTGGCCTAAAAAACTACTTAAAAGCTATCCATTTAGGTGTGAGGCTATAAATCTTCAAAGATAACAGCTATTGAGTTAGATGAGAATCAGATAAAAAATCTGTTCAAATGTTAGATGGGTAATGTTTCAGTATATGAAAAATTAAGCTTGACTTAAGGCCAGCCCTACCATTGGAAATGTTCATATTGGATGACAATTCTATGTATTAACTTTCTGTTAGGTTTTCAGAAACAAATATTTTATGTTTTATTATATTTAATAAGTAAAACTAGTTTGTTTGGAATCACTTACCTTTTTTTCAATGGGCTGATCAGCCTTGTCCCTCCTTTTGACGAAGCTTAACATTGAGCCAGAAGTCAAAGGAAAATGCTCGTAGGGTCCAGCTCCAATATATAAAGCAAGACAAAGAAGGGTGCATTGGGAGCTGTGAGAAAATACATTGATAACTATCACACCCAGAACCACTATATACTTTCTTGGCTTGGGAGTCCAAGACCATCTGGGTGGTATAAATTTAAAGCCCCAAAGATAGGAGGCTAGGTCATATTTAAGAATTCTCAGGGAGACTTTTTTATTCTTCCCGGAGCCCAGGCTGAGAAATGCAAGTTTCCTTTTATCTTCTGGTATGCCAGTGATAGCCAAGTATGTAATCCTTTGAGGGTATCAGCTTTATCCAGAGATTTGAATCTCATCTGGCCAAAGGCTATTAAACCCAAGCCCACTGGTTACTTCCCAAGGTGACTACAGGTAAGCTCCCAAGCTTATTGCTCTGGTTTGCAATTGCATCTTTGTTTTTGGCTCCTAGGGCTTTCTGTTAAATTCTTGTGAGCGCCTAGCTCTAGTTTTGTATCCACAGAGGGTTTAATTTATTTTTTTTGTCTTATTTCTGCTCCAGTGTAAGCCAGCCCCCAGCCACCCTCGCACTCTTTGTCATGACCTTCAATGGCATTTATTCTAGGTGCTGGGGATACAACTATGAACAAAACAGAAAAATTCTGTGTTCTCATGGAGTGAATCTTTTTTAAAGGGGGAAGAAAAATAACTAACTTATACTGCATCTAGTAGTGATAAATGCTATGAAGAAAAGTGAGCAAGGATACAGAAATAGAGTGATGTGGGTGCCGTTTGATGAAGTCATATCAAAGACTGTGTTTGTCTTTAGTCTATTTGGGCAGCTATAATAAGATACCATTGACTGAGTGGCTTATAAACAATTCATTTCTCAGACTTCTGGAGATTGGGAAGTGTCTGGTAGGGCCCTCTCTCTGATTCTTAAATGGTGCTTTCTAGCTGTGTCCTCAAATAGTGGAAGATGCAAGTCATTTTTCGGGGGCCTTTATAATAAAGGTGCTAATGCCATTCGTGAGGGCTTTGCTGTCATGACATGATTACTTCCCAAAAGGTTCCACCTCTTAATACCATTATCTTGGGGATTAGGATTTCAACATATGAATTTTGGGGGAACACAAACATTCATACCATAGCAGTGTTAATGGTACATATATGTAACAAGCATCTCATCTTGGCATCCTAAGAAATGTTAACTTAAAAGCTGAACTAAGAAATTAGATATTGCTGCAATACCTCAAATATTAGTGTAAGTTTTAAAAAGAGAATGGGGAAATATCTTGAGAACAATTCCTTGAGTAATGTCATCCTTTAATATTTCCATTATACATGCTTCCAGTGTTGAATAATAAATTAATCTGTAATACACCAAGCAGTGCTTCTGACATGCATTATAAACTCATGTTCCTCTAGAGTCTTTTGCTCTTCCTGTATTCACTGTCTCTGTAAAAGGCCCACCACCATCCATCTTGTTGCTTATGCCACTTGTTTGCTTTTCCTTCATTCAACATGCATTTAAGTACCTGCTTGTGTTAGGTACTATGTCAGGAAGACACTGAGTATCAGGTCTTTGACTAGGGGTAAGTGAGGTACTTGCCACAGGTATAAAATTTAAGAGTGTGCCAAAGTATTAAATAATATACAATATTTTAATTTAATGTTTAAAAAATCAAAATGTATGCAAAAAGTCTGTGATGAACAAAATATGAAAATTTTAAATAGAAACAGATTTCAACCTTGTACCAGCATGAACCTGAAGTTGAATGCCTCACTCTCCTCACCCTAGTTCTGGTCCTGCTAAGAATATAAGGGGGATAAGGCACAGTCTCTGCCCATAATGAGTTTACCAGTAGGAGGAGGGAGACATGAATAAATAGGTACCCCCCTAAAAGTCCACTAACGTAGAAATAAAATAGGTTCAAAGGAGAAGATGTTTCTACTAGGGGGATAGAGGGATTAGGAAAAAACTCAAGGCACCATCCAAGGAATCTCCTTCTTCCTTACTTTTACCAAATTTTCTCATCGAAGACCCTCTTGAATATGTTCTTTCCTTTTTTTCTGTCACCATCACTAATGCTATTTCCTTATCCCTTTTACCTCCTGGATTACTCCTTACTGGCCTTCTATCAGAAGGGCTTTGTTAAAACACAGATCTGGTCATGATCTTATTTTAAATCCTTTAGTGATTACTAGTCACTTTTGTTATAAAAGCCTGGCATCCAAAACATCTAATGATCCCACCTCTGCCTTTATCTTGGGATCCTCCCGTGGATTTAGACTTGTTAAACTCTTCCTGGTTCTCAGAATGCCTTTGCATATGCCATTTCTCCTTCCTAGAATGCTCTTACTCCTTTGTTCTTGCAGCTAACTTCTATTTATACATTAGCACCTGAAACAGATATTACCTTCCCAGAGGCTATGGATTACATGTCTGTTTCTTTGGTGCCTTGCACATGACAGGTAGTTAATGTTTGAAAAAACAAGAGCAATGTAAGGTCTTGATGGAATGCTGAAGCCATATTAGGTGAGTTACCATTCCCCAAATATGCTATGCAGTTTCATGCTTCTTTGGCTTTGTTCAGATTTCTTCTTTTGCCTGTAATGCACTTTGCTCATACTTCTGTTATAATACATTGTCTTAGTCCATTTCATGTTGCTATAGCAGAATGCCACAGATTAAGTAATTTATAAGGAAAAGAATTTTTTTTTTTTTATAGTTCTGGAGGCTGAGAGGTCCAAGGTCAAGGGGTGGCATCTGGTGAGGGCCTTCATGCTGTGTTATCTCATGGTGGAAGTTAAAAGGGGTAAGAGGGGCTGAACTTATTCTTTTTATGAGTAACCCATTCCTACCTTAATGTCATTAATCCATTCAGAAGGGCAGAGCCTTCATACCCTAATCACCTCTTGAATTTCTCACCTCTCAACACTATTGCATTGGGGATTAAGTTCCCAACACATGAACTTCGGGGGACACATTCAAACCATAGTTTACATCATAACATAATTGTGTATTGCCTGTATACTCACCCTGAGCCCTTAAGGATAGAGTCCTTGTCTTCTTTGTATGTCCAGTATCTTGGAAACACCAGTCACACAATTGACACTTAGTAAATGCTAGTGGAATATGGTGTGGTTTGGGCCTTAAGTATTATGTCCATTGGTATTAATGGTATCAATCTGTTGACTTTCCTATTCTTAATACAAAACGTTTTTCCTGAAATGTTTTTTTTCCTACTCTTGTTAGAAGTGTTTAGTGCTATAAAACCATATTTATTGAGTCTTGCAAAAAATTTAATATGTATCCTTTGGCTCTTAAACCTAGTAACAATTTATCACCTGTTGGAAGAATTAAAGAAGTCCTTAGTGAGGAGAACAGTCATCAATTAAATGAAAAGACATTTAGGTGAGATTAGATGTACCAATTACTGTCACTTAATTTTTGGTCATTTGTAATAATAAGTACCACTTATTTAGATTTTGCTATGTGTCAGGCACTGTTTTAAATGCTTTATATGTTAATGTATTTAATTATAACAACTCCCTCAGGTAGCTGCTATTATCCACATTTTATAGAGGAGGAAACTGAGCAGGGAAAGGTTAAGGGATTTTCTCAAGGTCACACAGCACCTAAGTGGCAGAGCTGGCACTTGAACCCAGGTAACTTGACTCTAGGATGCTTATTGTTATCCATTATATGTCCATTAGCTTAAAGTTACTTGTAGAAAAGTGCTTGCTGTAATTATACTTGTCTAAGAGATTAAAAACTTTCGAAGTAAAAAAAAAAGTTTATATTTTTCATATTTTTATATTACTAATTTTTCCTTGAAAATTTATACAGGAGATTTTCATAGAAGCAAAATATTAGTGTGTGTTGTTTACTAATGGCAGAGTTATGAAGATGAAAAGCCATCCTGTGATCTTTCACTGTTTATGTCATCTTCTCCAGTGGTTCTCTGGTTTTTATCTCCAAAACAGATTTTTTTCTGTTCATTAATTTTGATTTTTCTACTATCAGATTAGATTGCTTTGTTTGTGGTGAGTAGATTTTTTGGGGGGAGTGTGAGCAGGGGAAGTGAGAATTTGGTTATTTTTGGAGTCTCATGTTCTGTAAAGATTGGGAAACTGTATTTGTGAAACACTTGAAGAAGATACCCAGAGTCTGTGGAGTTGCCTGGTATATTAATCCATTTTCACACTGCTGTAAATAACTTCCCTGAGACTGGGTAATTTATAAAAGGAAGACGTTTAATTGACTCACAGTTCTGCATGGCTGGAGAGGCCTCAAGAAACTTACAGTCATGATGGAAGGGGAAGCAGGCACCTTCTTCACAAGGCGGCAGGAGAGACAGAGAAAGCAAAGGGGGAAGAGCCCCTTATAAAAGCATCAGATCTCATGAGAACTCACTCACTATCATGAGAACAGCATGGGGGAAACCACCCCCATGATCCAATCACCTTCCTCTGTTGACAGATGGGGATTACAGGTCCTTCCTCGACACATGGGGATTACAATTTGAGATGAGATTTGGGTGGGGATGCAGAGCCAAACCATATCACCTGGTCAGTTTTTCCACTGAAGCCTCTGATAGAAAGACTTATCAAGCTAGTTTCAGCCAAATTTGTGTAGAGGATTGAGGTGGTGTGATGGCTAATTTTATGTGTCAAACTTGACTGGACTAAAGAATGACCAGATAAGTGGTAAAACATTATTTCTAGGTCTGTCTGTTGAGTGTGTTTCTGGAAGAGATTAACATGTGACTTAGTTGACTGAGTAAAGAAGATTGTCCTCACCCATGTGGGTGAGTGTCATTCAGTCTGGCTTCGAGGGCCTGAATAGAACAAGAAAGTGGAGGAAGGGCAAATTTGTTCTGTTCTTGAGCTGGGACATCTTCTCCTGCCTTTGGACATGGAGCGCCTCCTTTAGGCCTTTGAACTCCTTTGGACTCTGAGATTTACACCAGCAGCCTCCCTAGTTCTCAGGCCTTTAGATTTGGTCTGAATCGCACCACCGGCTTTCCTGGGTACCCTGCTTGATGCCAGGGACTTTTAAACTATGTAAAGTATGAATGAATGAATTAATCATTGGTGGACTTTTCAGTCTCCATAATCTTGTGAGTCAGTTCTCCAATAAATCTCCATATATGTATATATGCATTTTTTTTTTTGTCCTCTGGAGAACCTTGACTAATTCAGGCAGTTTTCCTAGACTCTTGATTATATGAATAAATGCCTCAAGTTTAAAATTTTATTTTTTCTAGTAGACAGCTAACCTTCACTTGTCTTGAATGTCGTGAATGGATAGTGCATATTAAAATAATGTTCCTTTTAAAGTGTGTTAGAAAGTACCACAGAGTCTTGCCTATGTGAATATTGTCCTTGAGGGACATTTTTCGCTGGGAGTTATTTATCCGCTTATTCATTCCTATATATTTTATAAATCATTTAAAGACTATTTGTGGCAAATCATCCGTGTGTTGCATCCAGGATAGTGGGGCCCTCATACAGGGACATGAATGAAAATTGTTGTTACTGTAGTGCTAAGTCTTTGCTAAAGAATGGAAGACTGGGAGGGAAGAACATGGGAGCCTAAGAATGAGGACTCTACATCAGTGCTGTTCAAGTTAAATTAGGACCTCACATTAGTGCTGTCCAGTGGAAATAAAATGCAAACCACTTATGTAAATTTAAAATTTCTAGTGGCCACCATAAAGAAAGTAAAAAGAGGGAAATGAAGTTAAATCTAACAATGTTTTCTTTAACACAATAAATCCAAATATTATTTCAATATGTAATCAATCTAAACATTTTTAATGAGATATTTTATATATTTTTTCATGCCAAGTTTTTGAAATCCAGGTTTTTTTTTTTTTTTAACTCTGCAGCACATTTCAATTTGGGCTAGCTATATTTCAAGTGCTCAATTTGCCACCTGTGGCTAGAGGCTACCATGTTAGTACAGTGCAAAATTATAGCAGTGGATATCCATGTCTACCCCTATGGGGTGACCAAAACAGTTCTGATGGTATCCTGGAGATATTGCTGAGTAGTATTTAAGTTTTCTTTCCTATGGCTGGGTCTACCTGCTTTCTAATCTATTATTGTTATTTCCTCTTCTTGTGAATCTGTGTTTTAATCTGTTTATGCAAGCTTCCAATTTATTTCCATCTAAACTTATAAGACCCTTAGGATTTTCTACATTATTTATTGTTTATTTTAGTTGCAAGTAATTATGTAAACATGAATTAATTAATAATACCTATGAAGAAGGAAACTATTACTTATTAAGTAGCTGCTGGATGCTAGATGGTACACTAGGCACTTTGCATACTTCAATCTTTTTTTCTTCCACATTCTATATATTGGAAAACTGAAGATCCAAAAGTTAAATAACTTGTCCTAGGCCACATAGCAGGTAAGTTGCAAAACTGGGATTGTCTGACTCCAGAATTCATACTCTTTCTATCATATCACTTTTAGGAAATTGCCCATTGTAAACTTTAAAATAATTGTGATTTGAATACTAGTTCCCAGGGCTTCATTCTGATGCCTCAAGCATAGGGCCAGCTGAAGGACAGGTGATGCTAAATGATAAGGATTAGCTAGTACAAAGGAGTTTATGTTTATTTTTGAAAACTCCTAGCCTGGTTGATTTACCTACTTCCTAGGGATGAAAATCACTGGCAACTGTTACCTTGAACTTATCCTGTTAACTGTTGTTCAAAAATGCATAACTTGTGAAAATTTGTTATAAAGACATCTTTTTTTGTGTGTGTGTTTAGGTATGTTTTTAAGGAGCGTGTTTATAGATACATGCTAAATGAAGACAGAGCTAGACATTGTTACTGTCTGATTACATTGAAACCTGTATTAAAATAATAAAAAACTATATTAAATAATACTTGTTCAGATTTAATTGAACTTTATTTTAATTATAGAGGTGCTAGCCACACCTGCCTTAGAAACATAAAATAATATAGGAATGCTTTGCTCCAAGACAACTAAATACAAAAACATGAACTTTAAAAACAGATAATTTAGAGTAGAGGTTGAAAGCAAGGACTCTAGATGAGACTGCCCAGGGTCAAGTTCTGATTCTATCACTTACTAGCTGTGTGACCCTGGTCCACTTAAACTTCCTCGTGCCTCATTCCTCAATATAAGGTGATAATAATTGTATCTAACTGTGTTAAAGTTAACTCAGATTCTCTTTTAAATCAGGCACCAAAATAAAGGGTTTGGGTGAAAGTAATTTACTCTCTGGTGAAAGTGTTCCACTCATAGGGGTTAAGGTATCACATCCCACAGAGTCTGAAGTTGAGAGAACGGGAAGTACAAATTACCCAACTTGGCTACTGAGGATGGACAAATTTCCCAAGTGGGTTAAGTGGTGAGTGCTGCCAATTCTACTTCTACCCCTTAGTTCCCACACCCATGCTAAGGGGACAGAACATCGTGTAATGATCATTGGTTTGACTCATCTACTGCGCTGTAGAGCAGCAGTTCCAACCTTTTTGGCACCAGAGACTGCTTTTGTGGAAGTCAATTTTTCCATGGACAGAGGTGGGAGGCTGGGATGGGGAGAGTGGTTGGTTTCAGGATGAAATTGTTCTGCCTTAGGCATTAGATTCTCATAAGGAGCATGCAACCTAGAGCCCTTGCATGCATAGTTCACAGTAGAGTTCACCTCCTATGAGAATCTAATGCCACTCCTGATCTGTCAAGAGACAGCGCTCAGGCGATAATGCTTGCTTCCTTGCTGCTCACCTCCTGCTGTGCAGCCTGGTTCCTCACAGGCCATGGAGAGTTACCTCTCTGCAGGCTGGAGATTGGGGACCTCTGTTTAAGAGGATGGGGCACCAATCCTTTAGACAGTTATTCTAAAGCTGAGCCTTTTGGCCATCAGCTTGATGGAATGCTAGTGGTTCATCAGCTTGATGGAGTGCTAGAATGGCCATAAAAGGTGAGACTGGTGGATCCTATGCTAGTAAATATGACCTGGCAGAGGCAAAAAAGGCAAAAGCATGTTTGAATAACCATCAGGCCCATTGAGGATGAATTGCTGTGCCTTCCAAGGTGGAAAGGAATTTGATGTAATCAACCTGCCACAAATGTCTGATTGGCTTTTTTGAGGGATGGTTCTGTATTGAGGGGCCACTTTGGGCCAGTACTTATTGGTCAGACATTCAGCACTGTCAATAGCTAGATTACCCTTGGTGAGAGGGAGTATATGCTTTTATGCCCATGCATAGCCTCCATCCCTGACATTATGGCTAGTCAGTTTCCATGTCCACTGTGCAACCATTGTGATGGCTGAGGACAAAGATTGGCTGACATTCATTGGATGGGTCATCTTTTCCATCTGGTTGTTCAATGCTGCCTCTACTATAGATGCTTTGTTAGGTATTCACACCTATAGGGTCATCCACATGCCTCCTTCTCAGACCTCCTTGTATCTGATCATGAAGTATTGCTTCTTCCAGGCATCTGATCAATTAGCAGAACCACTAGCCCCTGCCCAACAATTGATATTGTTCTCACCTCAAACCACTTCTTTCTTCATGTAAAGTTATGAAGCTCTGCCTGATGGATTTCCTTTCACCACTGTCCTTTAGAACAGTGCTACTCAAACTGATCATGTGAAGGAACTATATATGGGTTTGTTTTCAGTTCAACATGAGTGATCTTTTTGTAAAATATAAAACTACAGTTATTACAGCAATGTCAAATTGCTCTAATGTTTCCAAATATGTACTCTCACTTTTAATAATTATTTTGTCGACTTACAAAAATAAATTTATGAATTGGCACTAGTCTATGGATTACACTTTGAGTAACATTGCAGTAGTTCATCCTTGCCTTGGGCTATAGTGTGACAGTAGTTTTCCTCTTGCACCAACGTATTTAGCTGACTCATCCATGAGCCGTATGGTTTTTTTGCAGGAAGCATTCTGAGGGTGGCACAAATTGTTATTCCACCTGGCCAAAATATTCTTTCTGATTTATTATTTGGGCCAGGGACAGAGCAGAAGTGATACCAGGGGCTTTCTTTGTCCCTTTCTATTATAATGGCTCTTGTTTCATAGTTCAGAGAACCAGTGTTTGGATTCTAGCTGCTTCTAAGTATATCCATCTCAATTATGTACTCAGGGACCAGGTACGTGACCAGTTGGTGGGTCTGGAGACCCATTGGGCTGATGGTGAGATGGACTTGAGTCAGGGCTCCATTTATTATCTGGCTTCCAAATGCTCTTACTCTAACTGGGAGACCACAAAGCTATTTTGGATACCCTGGTATAAGTGTCAGCTTAGAGCCTATATCCAATAGCCCTGAAAGGTTTGGGTATTCCACTTTCACCAGTGTATATACTGGCATATGGTGCCATATACTCTGTTATATGGCAGCACTTCCCCTTAAAGAATTATTGGAGAAACATTAGCTCTTTCGCTCAAGAGGACTTAGCCTCCCCTTGATGGGCTCTGGGTCTGAGAACTGCCTTAGATCCAGAAAAGGAACATCGATCTTCTGTTTAGTTCTTGGTCTTCTTTGCAAATATAAATAAAAAATTAACCTTATTAACTACTTGTCATAGGTTGAATTGTGTAATGAGTAACCATGAGATCATACTGGGGTAGGTTGTGCCCCTAATCCAATGTGGCTGGTATTCTTATCAAAAAGAAAATATTGACACAGAAATGTACACAAGGAGAATGTCATGTGAAGATGAAGGCAGAGATTGGGGTGATGCTTCTATAAGTTAATGAACGCAACAGAATGCCAGAAAACCACCAGAAGATAGGAGAGAGTCATGGAACAGATTCACCCAGCCCTTAAAAGGAACCAACAATGTCTTGATCTTGGACTTCTGGCCTTCAAAACTGTGAGACGGTAAATTTCTCTTGTTTAAGTCACTTAGTTCGTGACAGCAGCCCTAGCAACAAATACATTACCCATCTCTTTTGCTTCTATAAACAAAATGGCTAATGACTTATCAACCATTGCCACAGACCCCTGCAGGTCAAGCTCTCTGGTTACTGCTCTGACCTTACTACCTTTAATGGCGTGCATTCACCTTGCTTCTGATGGCTAAGTGCCACCTCTGATGCCTGTTATTTTGGAATCCTGTCAGTCACATTGACATCCCATTAGTGTTTTAGGACCTACTTATGATTTCCTTGCTACAAATTAAATTATGAATCACCAGAGATTGCCTCCATATGAAAGCACTCTCCTCTATCTAGCATTCTTTCCCCATGCCTCAGCTCAGCACCCTCAACATCCACGTCCTTATGTGTGCTCTCAGTTCTAATGACACATGTCAGATAGGCTCAGCTGACTTTTTCGGTGAATAGGTGATTTCTTCCCATATTCTTCCCACCAATGTGAAGGTGTGCCCTTCACAGTTGGAGCTTTTTTTTTTTTTTTTTTGAGACAGCTTTTTGTTCTTGTTGCCCATGCTGGAGTGCAATGGTGCGACCTCAGCTCACTGCAACCTCCGCCTCGCGAGTTCAAGTGATTCTCTTGCCTCAGCCTCCCAAGTAGCTAGGATTACAGGCATGCATCACCATGCCCAGATAATTTTGTATTTTTAGTAGAGATGAGGTTTCACCATGTTGGTCAAGTTGGTCTTGAACTCCTGATCTCAGGTGATCCACCCGCCTCAGCCTACCAAAGTGCTGGGATTACAGGTGTGAGCCACTGCGCCTTACAGTTGGAGCTTTTATCAGTAGGACCTGACCCTAGTTACTGGTCTAGAGGCAATGAAAGATGAAGGGCAGATCTGGAGGAAGGCACCCCCGTCAGGTATGTCCTTTGCCAGGTCTCCATGCAATTAGAGGTGGCTTACCTTTATGAAAGGGATGAGGGTGGATTCTGCCGGCCCAGAGGTTTCAGCAGATTTGAGTGTTTAGTGGTCTCATGTACACCCCCCTAAATATCACCCTCCCATGCATCACCACCCTCCCCCTTTCCCTATCAGAGCCCTGATGGGAGACCTGCTGGGGCTGTGCATTTAGTTGTCTTTGTAGCTAAGCTCCTTCATCAAATCTTAGGCCTGATTTCAGTATAGTATGTTAGCTGAGTGCCAGAGATAAGGTTCATTTTAAATACTGACATGGAGTTTTTCTGACTTTTACAGCATGCCCTGAATTGATAGATGGCTTACCCAAGCCTGCCATTCTCATTCTTCAAAGCTTCTCGAGTAGTTAACACATACTCCAAAATCTTTGTTTTGATTACCACATGTCTTTCAAGTATTAGAGCTATTATATAAGCTTGTACTTCCTCCTTCCTGTAACACATTACAGTCCACCTCAGTTAAAAATTTTGGGCATTATACTGCTGTAGCCTGTTAGGGGTTATCACCACTCACTTATCACTAGAAATTGGATCCTTGCTGCCCTCTGACCAGCAAGTAATGCAATTCCAGAATCTCATTCTGAAGGTCTGCTTTCTAGTGCTATTTCTATTACCAACAGTCTTATTAGGGTTTTCCCCAAAAGCAGACCCTGGTGTAAGGACTTAGGCATGGGTAGTGTATGTGCAAGGTGGTTCCAGGAAGAATAAAGAGAAAATGGAGAAAGAACTGTGGGTCCTTTAGGTGGGAAGCTGTCAGCATCAGCATGACTATCCACAGCAGTGGAAGAGAACTCACAGACAAGTCAGGGGGATATGGTGTGGGCATTAACAGGGTCTCCTACAAGGTCTAACAGGGTTTGTTATAAAGGTTACAGTTGTAAAGCAAGAGCAGAGAAACTAATAAATTTGCCTATTGTTTGTATTGGTGGTTAATCATAAATTTTTTTTTACTTGTTTGAGTTTTTTTTTTAACAGTATGAAATCTATCCACCTTTAATTAGTGAGTTCTCCTAATCCATTTGAAATGTGATTTGATTTTTGAAATTTTCCAAACTTTTCCAACTCCCCCAAATATATATATTTTCTTAATTGCGTTACTCCCATAAGCCCTAACTTATGATTGAACTATAAAAATAAGATGATGACTGGCCTTTATTTAGCCTGGATAACCCAAGTTCAGCATTTAGGTCCTGCAGTGCAGTTATTTTGAAGCTAATCTCTTTAATCCATTTACTACACCATTATTTGCAACCTATTTTACTTCTTGTTAGCGTGATGAAAGAAAATTAAATTTTTTTTCTTTATTTCAAAAGAAACTATATTATTTATAGCTTTCTTAGGCCTCAGGAAAATCCTTACATGAGGTGCAAATGGTAATTATCACTCTTTCTCAGAGGAAATGTCTGTTCACTAGTGAAATGCTGATGTAAATTTTCAATACAAAATTTGATGTTTCCTTTTTTAAAAAATTATGCTGTTTCTACTTCTGTTTGCTGTCATCATTATTTTATCATTGGCTAGATCGAGGAAATGAAATTAATTTTTCAAAGGAATCTTTCAAGGCAAAGTTTATAAGGCAGAATATCAATTAGTAATTTCATGGTGGAAGCTTTTTTGTTTTGGAGGGCAAGGCAAGCTAGGGAAGGAATGTGAGAGTAAGTATGGTAGAAGCAAAATGGTTATAGAGAGTTATATGAAAATAAGGGTCACAGAATAAACACTTCAGTTGGATAAAATATGTAGCTCGTGAATAATAGCTGGCAAATTTGTGGAACAATTCATAAAGTAGTCATTTGGTATCACGAAGAGGATGATAAATTGAACTGTGGAAGACAGGAAAGGTTAATCACAAACAAACCATGCCTAACTAATTTAATTTCTTTTCAATACCAGGCAAGCTCAATGAGTAAACAAAACTAATAAGCTCAGTATATATAGAATGTTTAGTACTCTACTTCTATGGACACATTCAGTATAGTGCCATATGACATTTCATGAATAGAGTACAGAGACATTAGGTATAGATATAATAGATTATATATATAAATAATGTATTCAAATAGAAATAATAGTCTGGAAAATTTGAATATACAGATAGCCTTAACACTCAAAGTAAAATTTGTCAGTGTTAAAAAAATTAACTGGGGCCAGGTGCAGTGGCTCACGCCTGTAATCCCAGTACTTTGGGAGGCTGAAACGGGCAGATTGCTTAAGGCCGGGAGTTCCAGACCAGCCTGGCCAACACGGTGAAACCCTGTCTCTACTAAAAATATAAAAATTAGCCAGGCGTGGTGGTGTGTGCCTGTAATCCCAGCTACTTGGGAGGCTGAGGCATGAGAATCACTTGAACCCGGGAGGCAGAGGTTGCAGTGAGTGGAGATTATGCCACTGCACTCCAGCCTGGGCAACAGAGTGAGACTCTGTCTCAAAAAAAAAAAAAAATTGATTGGGAAACCATTAGGTAGTGCTTTGGGTTCCTATGTAAGCAAACTGAAACCAAACTCACTGTAAACAGTAAACACACTGTAAAACAGTGAAATGAAACTTAAGTTTAACAAATCAGAAAGCACCAGTGAATCTCTATCTAGAGTCTTTACCAGACACTGCCAATTACCTCTAAGTAGGGACTCTCCACTTTAATAAATCAAACATTTTCTCTGTCCTGCTTCCACAGACACCTTATAAAAGTTTTCCCTTGCACGCCTTTGGTGGAGCCCAAATCACTTGCAGTCTGGTGCTGCCTAATTCATGAATCACTGAATGCTCAAATAAACTCTTTAAAATTTTAATGTGCCTAGGTTTATCTTTTAATATCAGTGAAAGTGGTACTTAAATCTGTATTATTTATTGCCATTTATATATCTAAATGTATTTTCCAAGTTTGTCATATTAAGATATTATTGTTAATATTTTTAGGTGTCATGATGGTATCATGATTATACTTTTAAGAAGGGAACCCTTATCTTTTACACATGGATACTGAAATATTTACAGAAATGTTATGATGCCATGGATTTTCTTCAAAGTGGGAGGGTATATAGATGGAACAAATTTGACCATGAGTTGACGATTTTTAAAGGTGTATGATGAGTACGTTGGGTTTTTTAATACTATTCTGTCTACTTTTGAATATGTTTAAAAGTTTTTATAGTAAAAAGTTAATAAATCATTATGTGTTATATTGCTAATGGGTGATATCGAACTTTATAAGTAAATGTTAATTATGCTTTCAGTTTCCAGTTATACTTAATATTTTTACAACCTAATAATAGTCGTAAACTCATAGGGCAGAAAATAAAGAAAGCATTTCTTCTGGCAAGTTTATTTTGGACTGAAGACTCAGATTTTTAAGTAAGTTTTTCTTGGACAAATGGACTTTTAAGCTGATAGGACCTTGAAAAATTTCTATTCCAATTTCCATGTTTGTAGATGAGAGGATTGGAATTTGGCTGGCCTGGTTAGTTTGTATCATGACTCAGACTGCGGTCTGGGTTTCAGCTTTTGGTTCTGGGATTTTTCCTACTCTGTTAGATGCCTGTCTGCAAAAGTAATGTAAGATTCTTTTAGCTCACTGAGACTCAATTGCCCTTACAGAGGGATAGCTCAAGTGGCAGCAGAGTGCAGTGACCGGAGTTTAAATCATTGCTCTGCCAACTACTAGCTGTAAAACCGAGAATGATTTATTTCACCACCCTAAATCTCAGTTTTCTCATAAATTGAGAAAAACTGTAGTTCTTGTTGTGAGGATTATAAAAAATAATATGTTAAAATGGTTAGTAACAGACTCTATTATTTGGTGACTTTGTAAGGTTTTAATAAGATTACGTATTTTTAGCACAATAGCTGGCACATAGTATGAACTAAATGAGTACTTGATATTATTATTGCTGTCATTATTGTTATTATTACCATTCTCATACAATCAAGGAAGTAAGAAATTTTGAATTTTAAAATTTCAGTGGATAAACTGCAGGCTGATAATTCAGAACTCTCTGTAAATGAGTATGTATATATATGCATATATTATGGGTGTGTACACATAGACTGTTGCGTTAGATACATGTTTTTAAACAGCTTTATTGAGATATAATTCTCATAATGTTCACCTATTTAAAGTTTTTAATTGGATGGTTTTTAATATATTAACAGAGTTGTGAAACCACTACCACAGTCTAATTTTAGAATATGTTCATCGCTCTAAAAAGAAGCCACTGTACTTATTAGCAGTCACTTCCCATTCCTCCCATCTCCCCAGTGTAGACAATTACTAATCTACTTTCTGTTTCAATAGATTTGCCTATTCTGTACAATTCATATAAGTGGAATCATACAATGTGTGGCCTATATGACTGTCTTCTTTCACTTAGCATGTTTTCAGAATTCACCCATGTTATTGCATGTATCTGTACTTTATTCCTCTTTTTTTTTTTTTTTTTTTTTTTGAGATGGAGTCTTGCCCTGTAGCCCAGGCTGGAATGCAGTGGTGCGATCTCGGCTCACTGCGACCTCCGCCTCCCTGGTTCAAGCAGTTCTCCTGCCTCAGCTTCCCAAGTAGCTGGGATTACAGGCACGGGGCACCATGCCCAGCTAATTTTTGTATTTTTAGTAGAGAAGGGGTTTCCCCATGTTGGCCAGGCTGTTCTTGAACTCCTGACCTCAGCCTCCCAAAGTGCTGGGATTACAGGCGTGAGCCACCACGTCTGGCCCTTTATTCCTTTTTAATGGCAAATAATATTCTATTATATGGATCTTTTTACAGCTTGCAGAATACTTCATAGTTTCCTAGAATGCTGTGTTTGGAATGGAATATGAACAAATTCAGCTCTATTCTAGGTGGACAGAGGAATTCTACACTTTTCTAAGTGATTATAGTTGTAGTTGTAGTCTAAATCATCTTCCAGGAGAAATAGTCACTATATACATGTACCTAACATTACCCAAATGTGATCTAGAATGAGAAGCATAGAGAGAAGAGGGAAGAAAAAGAAAGGGAACTATGACATGGGAAGAAAGGAAAAGAAGAGGCAAAGGTAATATTTTACAGAAATAGAAAATATTTGTATGGAAACATAAAAGACCCCAAATAGGCAAAGCAATCTTGAGAAAGAAAAACAAAGTTTGAGGCATCACACTTCCTGATTTCAAACTATATTACAAAGTTATAATATGGAAAAATAGTATGGTACTGGCATAAAAACAGACACATAGACAGATGGAATAAAATAGAGAGTTCAGAAATAAACCAAAAAGAGATGTGTTGGTGAGACTGTGGAGGAAAGGAAACTTTTGTATGTAAATTAGTGCAGCCACTATGGAAAACTGAGTGGAGGTTCCTCAAAAAATTAAAAATAAGACTACAATATAACTCAGCAATCAGTCCCTCTTGTGGGTATGTATCCAACGGAAATGAAGTCAGCACCTTGTCAAGATATCTGAGCTCCCATGTTTATTGCAGCAGTATCTACCATGGTCCAGAATGGAAACAACCTAGGCATTTGTTGATGGATGAATGGATAGAGAAATGGTGGTACACACACACACACACACACACACACACACACACACACACACACACACACGATGGAATATTGTCCAGCCTTAAAAAAGGAGATCTTGCTATTTGAGAGAACATGGATAAACCTGGAGGACAGTATCCTGAGTGAAAAAGCCAGGCACAGAAAGAAAAACACTGCATGATCTCACTTATGTGCAGAATCTAAAAAAAAAGTTGAATATATAGACACAGAGTAGAATGGTGGTTACTAGGGCCTGGGGTGGGGAGGGAGGGACAGGAATGGGGAGATGTATGTCAAAAGGTACAAAGTTGTAATTATGTAGCATGAATGTCTAGAGATCCAATGTACAGCATGTCTAGAGATCCAATGTACAGAATGATATCACATCGTATACTAGAAATTTGCTAAGAGAGTAGATTATCACCAAAGGGGGAAAAAAGGTATCTGAGATGACAGATATGTTAATTTGTTTGACTGTGATAATGATTTCACTATGTATATGTATAACAAAACATCATGTTGTATACCTTAAGTATTTACGATAAAAAAGGTAATATTTCAGCAGAGACCGAAGTTGTATATTAGGGAAACTAGGAGATTCCTGCAGTGGATGAGAGATTGACATTGGCTTCTTAATAACTTAAAGAATTGGAAAAAATGTATTGAATCACATCTTAATTAATTTTTCTTTCTTTTCTTTTGGAGAGGGTTTCTTTCTGTCGCTCAGGCTGGAGTGCAGTGGCGTGATCATGGTTCACTTCAGCCTTGACTTCCCCGGGCTTGGGTGATTCTCTCACCTCAGACTCTCAAGTAGCTGGGACAATGGGTGCACATCACCACGCCTGGCTAATTTTTATATTTTTTTGTAGAGATGGGTTTTACTATGTTGCCCTGGCTGGTCTCCAACTTTTGAGCTCAAGCGATCTGCCAGCCTCAGCCTCCCAAATTGCTGGGATTACAGGTATGAGCCACCATGCCTGGCCTCTTAATTTGATAATGATTGCTATGCTCTTTTGATCATTAGCAATGATTTTTGTCCTTATATTAGTAGATATTGAATAAACAAAAATAGAACTCTCAGGAATTTAGTAACTGTATATTATGTAATTTTCACTTGCATTGCCTCACAAATATATTCCTTTAAAAAATGATTTGAGGAGTTCATTGGTGCTATTATTCTGATTTCAACTCTTAGGGTTATAATTCTATGTCTATTTGCTATGTTCCCACTTAGGATGCTAGATGATCAGTACTAGCAGGTTCTTCTTAATTTGAGCTTCAAAGGAACCATAGCTTTTAACCACACCACTACATTTGCTCTTAGTCCTTTCTAAAATTCTGTGATTTGTTATCATGTTGCTTTACTTGTTCCTCTTTTGGGTTAGTTTTAAGGTGAACATCCTATTAACAAGGTTTGTATCAGAACAGTCAGGTTTTTACAGTTTTTTTTTTTTTTTTTTTTTTTTTTAAGAATTTCTCTGGAGAGGAGAAAACAAATTATTTCCAGGCAGCATTAAAAGCAAAAAGGAATGCTTTACCTGCCACCTTGTTAAAATTACAGTCTGATTTTAAAAGAAGAGTATGAAAACAAAACAGAGAAACAGCAAAGAACACCATTTTAACTGCTATCACTTTTCATTCACCTTTTGCTGGGAAGTAGCACAGTGTCCATCCCTGCTGACGGTTATGAAGATATATCAAGTTCTATTTACAGAGAAAATATAACCCTTTTCCATGAAGCAGCAGGAACAGCAAATGACAAAATATAGAGAACTGGAATGATTCAATATTGCTCCCCTTATTAACTGTTGAAAACTCCACCATAGGGTTGCTATCACTGGTCTGATCATGCATTTAGATGTTTTTCAAGTCATGCTTTTGACATTAGCAGTCAGTGAGAACATGCCTGGCATATTTAGAGAACAGTAAGTACTTCTGATTGCTACAGCACAGGCGGCATGGGGCTGTGGAAGAGGGGCGCACGCTGGGGAGTGGGGAGCAGCAGACAGCCTCAGGAAAATTTTATGCCTGGGGGAAATTAAACACAGAACTGATGGTGCTTAAAAAACTATCAGTGACTTCCCCTGACAGTGCTGGTTATTTAGTGTAGCATGGAAGGCCCACCATGAGTCCCAACCTTACAAGCCTTTTGTTAGAGCCATCATGAGTATTTTCTGTTCCCTAAACTTGCCTTGCATTTTCTTGCTTTAATGCCTGTTCTTGTCCTGTGTCCTTGCCTGGATACTTGACTGTATCCTTCAGTTTGTGTGTAAGCTCTGCCTTCAGGCAATGTTAGTTCTCTACTCTGTGCTCCATGGGACCTTATGTGTATCTTTGTTATAATATGGCACATTCTCTTGTGGTTATTTGTTTACACATCTTTTTTTCTTTTCTAGACTTTACTTTTCTGAAGGGCAGAGGCTATGTTTTATTTATTGTTATATTCCCATACTCCCGGCACTACAATAAATATTTGTTGAATGGAAGGCAGAGATAGAATAAAGAAGCATATGAAGGAGAAAATACAAAAATATAATTTTTAAAAGCAGTTGTGCCAAATTATTTCACTGAGTTTTACTTTGAATCCAGTACTGTTTAATGATAGGATGAAATATAATTATACGGATATTATTAATCAACCATGAGACTAGAGAGTGGTGAAAATGTGTGTCAACTTGTCCCAGAGGCAGCTTAAAGGAGAAGAAGATGAGATGAATATGGCCCACTTCCTTGAATCCATTGGCCTAAACAAATCAGTCAATCAACCAAATTCCGTTCAGCGGAGAATGAGTTATATTAGGTGTGAAGTAAATGATCATCATTTGTGATTCTAACCAGCCCTCCTCTGAAAAATATCATAAGCATAGACTTCTCATTGTGCATTACGTCTTTGGGAAGACTTTGTTTGGACAAAGTCACAAAGAGAGTAATATGGTATTAGAGTGAATTTTGGGTAACAGAGACTTAATGATGAAGAGAATGTAGCGATACAGATCACTACATTATTCACGTGAGGTCTTTTCCTCTTCATTGCCAGTCCTGCTTCTTGCCTCATTGCTGGCTGTCTAGGTTGACATGTCTTTTAGGGTCAATACCAGACTTTGTTCCAGGCTGCAAACATACAGATGCCTGGTCTACTCCTAAGAATTTCTGAGTGTGGCCAGAACACCCATAATTTGTAACATACCCCATAATCGATTCTGTTGAACAGTAGTGTTTGAAACCGCTGGTTTAGATCTTTCATGTTTAACATATCCCTGAAACCAAATAACTCTATATGACCTCTTCAAGATTCAGCTATTCTTGGATTCATCTAACCTCTGTTAGAGTGGTTACCTAGACGGTACTTGTTATGGGCTGAATTATGTCTTCTTAAATTCATATGTTGCTCTCCTAACCCCATCTACCTTATAATGTGACTGTATTTGGAGACAGGGTCTTTAAAGAGGTAATTAAGTTAAAATGGGGTTATTAGGGTGGGCTCTAATCCAATATGACTGGTATCTCTATAAGAAGAGGAGATTAGGACATTGACAAACACAGAGGGAAAACCCTGTGAAGACTCAGGAAGAAAGCAGCTATCTGCATGCCAGATTGAGAGGCCTCAGCAAGAACTAACCACTCGAATGCTTTGATCTCAGACTTCTGGCCTTTAGAATTGTGAGAAAACAAATTTCTGTTGTTTAAGCCTCCCAGCCTGTAATACTTGGTTATGGCCCCAGCAACTGATACAACTTTGTTGAGTACCTTCTGTGTGCAAAACACATTACAGCACTTTATTGAACCTCCTAGAATGTGTGTGTGGAAGAGAAGAAGGAGGTGAGGAACCAAGAGCCATTTATGAATGCTTTGGTATGTCTTTCCCTGTGCCCACAGACCTAGAATTCCTTTTCTCTAATTCTCACTCAGGAGGAATCAGTTGGCATTCTTAATGCTTGATTTTTAATTGACCAAACTTCCACTCCCTTCCATGGTCTCTGGATGTGAGTGAAGTCAATTAAATCAAAATTATCTAACTACAGGTGGACATTTGGGTACAACATGGCACTTAATATGGCCACAGGGCACTTTCTTTTTAATGTAACTGTAGTCAGAGTAATCCAACAATTAACTCCCTTTACCCTCAATTCAGACTAGCAGAGAGCTAATTAAAATTAGAACAGAAAGAAGGAGAGATAGGCCATTACCTAAACTTAGTACTCTTATTATCTCCCACTACTTCTCTGGACTATTTTAGATATCATATTGGAAATAGCATCATATTAAAAGTCCACTTTAAGTTTTTCTTTTAGTTCAACAAATATTTATTGAATATTTGAAGTATATCCATTAAGGGGTTAGGAATTAAGTATACAAAGGTGAATATAGTATGCGCTTCAGTAAATACAACAGAGGAAATACTTGTAACAATAGAAAAGGTAAATAAGGGGCAGAAGTTGCTATTTAGATTTAGTAAGTGATCCAACTCGGTAGTTTTGAATCTGGGTGATTATCAAAATTACTAGGACAACATTTAAAAAAATGGAGTCCCAGATTCCACCTCAGATCAACTCAATCAGAGTTATCACTTGTAGTACCTTTGATTCTTGTTTGCAGATGCTCCATTATGGTTTCTTGTGCTAATCAAGGCTGGAATACAGAGGTCTAATGAGTCTTAACTGTAGTGCATATGTGAAGTGGGAGTTGGCACTCAAGTAGGGAAATAGGTGATAGTCCTTATGCTAATAAGAATTGGTGAATCAATTTTCAGAATATAATGTACTGTGTGTGATTTCTAAAAAAATGATTAGGCTGGGCACAGTGGCTCATGTCTGTAATCCCAGCAGTGTGGGAGGCTGAGGCAGGCGGATCACCTGAGGTCAGGCATTTGAGACCAGCATGGCCAACATGGTGAAACCCCTCTTCTACTAAAAATACAAAAATTACTGAGGCATGGTGGCACATGCCTGTAATCCCAGCTACTTGGGAGGCTGAGGCAGGAGATTATCTTGAATCCAGGAGGTGGAGGTTGCAGTGAGCTGAGATCATGCCATTGCACTCCAGCCTGGGTGACAGAGCAAGAATCCATCTAAAAAAAAAAAAAAAGAATTATTAGGGTTTCAGATGTAAATGGAATAAGTGAAATAATGTTTTTAGGTAAATTAAGGACTCTCGGGATAAGAGACACAAATCCAACTTAAATTAATGAAATCCTACAAGGGCATGCATTGGCTTATGGCCTGCAAAGGGCCTGGGTAGAGCCCAGGTAGTGTTGGTAGTGCTATCCAACACAGTAGCCACTAGTCATATATCGCTCTTGATCACTTGAAATATGGCTAGTCTGAGTTCAAATTTACCATACACACTGGGTTTTGAACACTTGGCAACTTTTTATTTTTTTTTATTTTTAATTTTTCTATAAGTTATTGTGGTACAGGTGGTATTAGGTTATATGAGTAAGCTCTTTAGTGTGATCTGTGAGGTTTTGGTGCACCCATCGCCCGAGCAGTATACACTGCACCACATTCATAGTCTTTTATCCCTCTCCCCCCCTCCCATTTTTCCTCCGGAGTCCCCAAAGTCCATTGTATCATTCTTATTTGGCAACTTTGTATATTGAGTGCATATTACCATGATACTATTTTGGATACATTGGTTTAAATACAATGTATTATTAAAATTAACTTTACCTGTCTATTTTTAGTGTTTCATATGTGGCTTGTATTATGCTTCTATTGGACAGCACTACCCTAGAATTACTAGAAATAAGCACTCTCTGCCTCTAGTACTCTGTCTCTCATCTGTGCTTCTCTCTGGGTATCAGCCTTATTCCCTCCAATTACAGAGGGCATTTCTCCTAGAAGTAGGAACTTTACCATCAGCATCCCTGGACTCTTACAGGGTCCCTACTGAAGAGGAAGGGGAACTTCCCTTTCAGCTTCTAGTTTGAAAATCATAGGGAAGAACTTAAGTTGGTGTGGCTTGAGTGATGGACCAATCACCACAGCTAAGAGAGTGTGATTCTTGTTGGTTTCATCTAGACCAGTTAGTTGTCCAATGCCCTAGCTGGGTCATGGGATAAGATAAAGTCATCAGTCATTACCAAAACCACATGGGTAGACCAAGGAAGGAACTTTCCTCTTTTTCTCAAAACATGAATAATAGCTAACATTTATTGAATGTTTACTCTGCATTAGGCATTGTGCTTTTTACATAGATTATTTCATTTAATATGTATCACAGGGCTGGGCATGGTGGCTCATGTCCCAGCATTTTGGGAGGCCGAGGAGGGTGGATCACTTGAGGTCAAGAGTTTGAGACCAGCCTGGCTAACATGGCGAACCCTGTCTCTAAAAACAACAACAGCAACAACAACAACAACAATTAGCCGGGCGTGGTGGTGCATGCCTGTAGTCCCAGCTGCTTGGGAGGCTGAGACAGGAGAATTGCTTTAACCCAGGAGGTGGAGGTTGCAATGAGCCGAGATGGTGCCGCTGCATTCCAGCCTGGATGACAGAGTGAGACTCTGTCTCAAAAAAAAAAAAAAAAGTGTATAACAGCTATTTTGAGGATCTGATAGGCATCTCAAATGTAATAATTCTTGAACCCTGACTTTTGCCTAATCTTTGTAGTCTCAATCAATAGATCACCATATACACAGCTGCTCAACCCAAGTAACCTAGAAATCATCCCTGATTCCTTCCTTCTTTCCCTCTTCCATCCATCCTCTTAACTATATTGAATAGATGACTCTTCTTTTCCATATCCATCCTTTCCATAGTAGCTGGAATAACATTTTAAAAACACAAAGCTTTAAATAAAGCACTTCAATGGATTTCCGTTGCTCGCTCCTAGAATGAAATCTCAATTTCTTCCCATACCTGCAAGGCTCAGCACAGTCTGGCTTCTGTTTAGCTTTCTGATGTCGTCTTGTGTTATTTTACCCCCTTCTCACTTGCCATGCTTCAGTTATCTAGATGTCCTTTTGTGCCAAGCTCTTTTCTTCCTCTGGCTTTCCCTCTTCCTGGAATGATCTTCCAGTTCTCTTTGAGTGGTTGGCTTATTCTTTCTTTTTATATTTCAGCTAAAATGTCACCTCCTCAGAGAGGCTTTATACTGAAAGCCTCTTTATCCTGAAATTCTGCACATTCTATGTAAGTGGATCTAGAATCACTCTTTTACTATCTTCTCCCATTATTTATTTCTTTTATGGCGCTTATAATCTGCACCTCTCTTGTTGGTTTATTGTTGTTTACTGCCATATCTGAGCTCCATGAGGATATTGACCTTTTCTATCTTATTCACTATTCTTATCTCAGCACTTGCACAAGCATGGATCATAATAAGTGTTCAATAAATATTTGTTGAATATGTGAATGAATCTTTGTTTTACAGATGAGGAAATGGAGGCTTAGAGCAGTTAAATAAATGGATCAAGTCACATGGGTAGGAAGTGGTGGGAACAGGTTTCAAACCCAGGCAGCTTGATCACATAGCCATTAGTTGCCATTCCATAAGAAGGGAATGTTGTGTTAGGCAGACAAAACAATAAATGTCACTGTAATATGAAGCATAATGTAGTAGAAAGCACTGATGTTGGCATCAGCAGTCTTATGTTCATTTTTGGCTTTGTTGAGTGGAGTAAGGAGACCTCATCCAGTCTACATGGACTGAGAATGGGGGAGGGGTGTTATCTAAATGAGGTTTTGGAGTTGTACCAGAAGACCCAGAATAATCCTGGAGAGGGTTGGGGGGCACATAACAAATGTCCACTATAGGATTCCAGTGTGTTCCCACAGTGTGCAGAGAGCCTACACATGCCTTTGCTACAGAGGCTGCCTCTTCTGTCTCTATCTTTTGCAAATTGCTAGAAATTTTGAAATGTAATATTTTCTAGGGCATATTAAATTTGAAACGAAATTGTGGGGACAGCTGGCGTTGAGATAATTGCTAAATGTGAAGTCTGGCAGCACAGGCTGACAGTTGTGAGAATATGATAATATTTTCTACTTAATAGATGTGAAATCATGGGTGAACTGTGTTGTGATTCTTTTCTTCCTTCTTGGTATAAATGAGTCTTCATTCATTCATTCCAAAACTGTGTCTAGTTTATATAGTAATTGTTCTTTAGCTATGCTATAAACTAGGGTTAAAAGTTATAGCATTTGGTTTTCTTGGTATATTTCTAAGAAGATATATCTATTTTTTTAACTCGTGATTTTTATCTAGAAAAATTTAGTGATTTTGTGTGTTAGCTGTTTATCAGCTTATCAGCTCAAAGACAATTTGCTTTTCTAGAGGATAATTATACTTGTTGAGGGGACAGCCTCATTCTTCAGAAACAAAAAGTATAGTTACAGAGAAAAAATTATATAATGGCAAAATGCTGGTCTGAAATTTAGAAATTCAGCATTTCTTTCTGATGAAATGTGATTTGCTCATGCATTGCATACGTTCATTTGTCAAACATTAACTGAACATTCTTTTATATAAGAAATAAAGATCAAGTAGAGTAGCAAGTATATAGGACTCACGAGTCAGAAGACCAAGGTTCTAATCCTGGCTCTGCCTCTTGGTGACTGTGATTTTGGCTGAGACAAGTATCCATTATGAATCATAGTTCTTCCTTAACTTTAATGTGGGGATAATGTAATCTTCCCTGCTTGCTTCTCAGGATTAGGGTAAGAATTGAAAGAGTTCTGGAAATTATAGCTCTTTGAATAAATGCTAAATATTTTTGTCACTATTGTGTGCAAGGAGCTACTTCACATAGTTTTTTTTTTTTTTTTTTTTTTTGAGATGGAGTCTCACTCTGTCGCCCAGGCTGGAGTGCAGTGGCACTATCTTGGCTCACTGCAACCTCCGCCTCCCGGGTTCAAGTGATTCTCCTGCCTCAGCCTCCTGAGTAGCTGGGACTACAGGCACCTGCAACCATACCTGGCTAATTTTTGTATTTTTAGTAGAGACAGGGTTTTGCCATGGTAGCCAGGCTGTTCTCGAACACCTGACCTTGTGATCCACCTGCCTCGGCCTCCCAAAGTGCTGGGATTACAGGCGTGAGCCACAGCACATGGCCATATAGAAGATTTTTAGATCACTGTTATGCCAGGAGTGGTGGCTCATGCCTATTATCCCAGCACTTTGGGAGGCCAAGGCAGGTGGATCACCTGAGGTCAGGAGTTTGAGACCAGCCTGGTCAACATGGTGCAACCCCATCTCTACTAAAAGTACAAAAATTAGCCGGGCATGATGGCAGGTGCCTGTAGTCCCAGCTACTTGGGAGGCTGAGGCAGGAGAATCGCTTGAACCCGGGAAGCGGAGGTTGCAGTGAGCCGAGATCGTGCCACTGCACTCCAGCCTGGGCGACAAAGCGAGATTCCATCTAAAAGAAAAAAAAAAAATCACAATTCTTTTTACAGTACTTTGGTTTGCCAATCCATATCCTGGAAACATTTTAAGACTGTTACGACATGAAAAGTGCTTTAAAATTCCCTGAGGGTAGATTATAAATAACAAGGGCATTATTATTTTTAACTTAGTGTATATTGTTATTTATTTCCTACAGTGGAAATTCTAAGAGAAGCTAGTTTAGCTGCTTTGTATTGTCTACAAATAATCCTGATTTTAGGACAGGGCAATCTTCTGCAAGAATATAACAGTGAGATGACTTTTTTTCCTCTTGAAATAAACTATGTGCATCTGACTTATAAAAACTAAAATTGATTAAATGTCATATTGATAAAATGAATACTATTGCTAATTACTTAATAATATATATTAGTATATTTTTACAGCTAGAGATGGATCTATATTCTGTAACATTAAACTTGTAGGGGTAACAGATAATATATTAGAAAATAAATGCAATACGTATTAGATTTCTATTTCAACACATACCTCACTAAATTTAGGAGACAGGCTATGAGGGAAACAATATTAAACTAGGATCAGAGTCAGAAGAATCGAGTTGTAATTTTAACTACAGGAAGTGTAGTTTAGTGTTTTAACTTGACAGATTTTTGAGTCCATCTGCTTTTTGAATCTCAGTTCTGCCACTTATTTGCTGTGTGACTTTGGGCAAGTTTTTTGATCTTTTAAATTCTTAGTTGCTTCAGCTTAAAATTAAGATAAATATAGTACTTCCCTCCTAGGGCTGCTGTAAGGATTAAATGAGACAAGGCACACAAAGAATTTAGTGGGTTATTAACGTAATCACTGCCACCATCACCATCATTATTATCATCACTGTTATTATCACCAATGCCACTAATTTGTAGTCTTGGCAAAGTTATTAATCTCTCTGACTTCATTAAGTTGTCTAACCTATAAAATGAGAGGACTAGACTCATTGATCTCCAGGTAGCTGTTATTCTTGTTAATATGAGATAGTGTTTTTGCGATTATGTAGTGAAAGCCTAAATAAATGTGAAATGTTGTTGTTGTTGTCGTCATCATCATCATCATCATCATCACCATCTTGTTACAGTCTTTCAGGCTCTGAAATGTTATGAAAAATGAAAAACCACCTCTGATATTAATCCTTGGCTCTCCTGCCTTCTTATATCAAAGTCGGGGCTAAAGCGGAGAGCAGTTTGGCAACCTCCCCCCTCCAATCTTTGCTTTCTTCATCGTTGTTCCATATTTACCCATTATATGTAGCAAATTACAGAAAACAGATAGGGTCATGGAAGCCAGGGCCAAAATAGGAAGAAGAGGAGGATGCCTAGGGCTGAGCTTGGCTTACCCAGGGCTTTTTTTCTTTTAAACCAAAGACACAGGATCAGGGCTGGACACTCACAGAAGTTAGATAAGAGACAGACTTGCCTATAAATTCATCTATTATAAAGCTTCCTTCTTTCTTGCTGTTCCTTGGGGAAGGTTTTTTCTTTTTGGAGGACAGAAAGTCCTGTTTGGAGGACATCAGCATTAGAGAGTGTCAGAGAAGGTTATCATTGCCTGGGGAAAGACCAAGCTGAATTTCTGTTTAGATAGAAATTGATTTGAAGTACAGGGAAATAAAGATGTGCCTTTTGAGTAATATTGAGGGCTTTGTGGTGAGATCATGTATATAAAATTAAGAAGTACATAGAAATGTTTAATTCTAGATTTTAAAAATCGGGGTAGTCATATTTACTAGTTGTCCAAACTACAGAAAATACTATTTGAAATTTTCAGTTAATAATAATAACAACAATAATAGCAAATATTTGTTTAGCCTTATGGGCCAGATACTGTGCTAAGAGCTTTATATGTGTTGCTATTTAATATGCACATGTACACTGAAAAAATTATGCCTTCCATCATTGTACTTCTATCTAAATATTTCTGTTATTTCTCAGTGTAAGTTTCACCTACTTAATCTTATTTCCCATCATTCTCTTCTAAGAACTCTGCATTTGGGAAAACTGTTTGCTGGATGGTAGTTTTCAGGGTTTTTTTTTTTTTTTTTAACTTTTAATTTTCAAACTTTATGTCCTCGTTTAGAACTCCTCTTCCCTCTCCTTTCTATATCCCTACCTATCTTTTAAGGCTTAGCTCAGACCTTCATCTTGAAGCTGTCTAAACTTTATAGCCAAAATGGCTCCCCGTCCTTGTTCTAAGCACTAGTATGGTAGATAAATAGCATACTTGTTTGTTAAATAAGCACAGTGTTGCTTTTTAGATTTGAATGGACTGTAAGATTTTATTCTAGTAGCTGCTGACTGTGTAGTTGTTCCTCGGCAGCTGTGAATGGAAAAATAGAAATGATATGTTTTATTTGAATCTGGAATAGTTTACACCAATCTTTTGTGTGGCTTTCACTAGTTTAATAGTAATTCCCAGAGTAATTAGGCTGATTAGGTAGCCACTGAGGATGACTTTAGTTATGTTTAAATGAGAATGTGAAAAACATTGCTCAAATTTGCTAGTATGATGCATTTGAGAGATACACACATATACCCATATACACATATACTCATTTTGTGTACAATGAAAGTAACAATTTTCAGTTAGATGCTTCCATTTTGAATATAATTTTGAAAAAAGCTATAGTAAGTTTGTATTTGTAGTGTTCATGTCAGTTTTTATCTCACCTGATTTTATTACTCTGCCAATTTTGATAAATATGTATGTGTCAAGGCATTAAACCCAGCTATAAGCCGAGACTCTGGGAAGATTTATAAAATATACCAAAGTTATCTTCAGTGTTCTTTCATCTTTTTTTTGTGCTATCTCATTTACTTTCAGAATTTCTCTAGTTCTCTTATATGTTTTAAGAGAAAAGTAAATAATGTTTATCAGAGTAGTTAATGACCAGTGAAGAGATTTCAGACATCTCTGTGAGATAGATTTTTGTGCAAGACAACAACTATAAATATTGAAGAAAAACAAACACATAAATGAATTACTTCCTGAAGCCTCAGGGGTTGCCTAGTTAACAGACTAGTTTTGCACTAATTATGAGTGACCTAGGGACTATTAATAAATGAATTTGCTTCTATTCCGTAGGCACAGAGAGCTTCCATTTATGAATAGAGAGCATTTTCCAAAAGTTTGTTTAAAAGCTGCTTGTTTGGATCTTAAGGCACATTTAAGTTCTAGGCTAGACCACAAAGGCCTGAAATGTAATTCAGTATAATATTCTAGATGTCATTGTTGGGAGCTAGGGAAAGGATGAGGTGTGATCCAGCAGGAATAGTCTTGGTCATGGGCGGTTCTTTTGGAATTTGCACCAGAGATGGCTCTTTATATATTTAAAGAGCAAAAAGAAAGAGGTTTTCTTCACAATATCCAAGATAATGAAACAACCCAAGTGTCCATTGATAGATGAATGGATAAAGAAATTGTGGTGTCTCTATTCACAATGGAGTATTATTCAGCCTTAAAGAAGGAGTTACTGCCATTTGTAACAACATGAATGGAAGTAGAGGACATGATACTAAGTGAAATAAGCCAAACATAGAAAAATACTATATGATCTCACTTATTTGTAGGATCTAAACAAAACAAAACGAAATGAAACTTCAAGTACATGGAAACAGAGAATAGAAGAGTGGTTACCAGGAATGAAGGGTGTGGGAGAAATGGGCAGATGGAGGTCAACGAGAGTATAAAATTTCAGTTATGTAGGACACGTAAGCACAGAGATTTACTGTATAGCATGAGGACTGTAGTTAATAATATTGTATACTGGAAATGTGCTAAGAGAGTAGATTTTAGGTACTTGTACCACACACATACAAAGAGTAACAGTGTGAGATGATGGATATGTTAATTGGCTTGATTACAGTAATCATTTCACTATGTGTATATATATCAAAACATCATGTTATATACCTTAAAGAGATACAATTAAAAAATAGCCAATGCAAAAATGCAAAGTAAAAAAAAACTTATCCAAAAATCTAGAATATGAAACGTAAAAGCAGGGCTTCTATAAATGAAGCAGGGGCAGATGGCCCAGAGTCCTGCCTGCTCTTGTTTCTTTTCTATTCATCAATCTCAGGAGTATTTTCCAGAACCGAAGGACTCCATAGAAAAGAGGCTGAAATTGTAGGCCAATTACTCTGAGTAAGGGTTTTGGCCTTCTTAGAGGGAGGTGTGCTGGTGTGTTAAGCAGGTAGTTCATGTGGATCTATTTCTGTTTTTTTTGTGGTTGGTACTCTGTGGGCCCTTTCAATCCAGAAAGTCATGTTCTTCAGTTCTGGGGTAGTTTTTTGAATTATTTATTTGATTTAGTCAAGTTTGTTTTTTCTGTTCTGTCTTTCTGGATATCCTGTTAAGATGTTGACCTCCTGGCTTTGACTTTCCTTTTTTAAATGCTTTATTTCTTACTATCCTATATTACTAAGGTTCTCCAGAGAAATAGAATCGAAAGGACACACACACACACACGGGTTGGGGGTTGATGGATTGATTTTAAGGAATTGGTTCATGTGTTTGTGGAGATTTCGCCACATGGGACTTCTCAGCCTCTAGGTAACTTATAGTAATTATTTTTCTAGATTTCTCTATCCCGTTGGTTCTGTTTCTCTGGAGAACCCTGACTAATACATATTTCAGTCTGATGACAAAATTCCTTCTTGCTTCTGGGTGGTCATTTTTTGTTCTACTAAGGTCTTTGACTGATTGGATGAGACCTGCCCACATTATGGAGAATAATCAGCTTTACTCAAAATCCACAGATTTAAATGTTAATCTCATCGAAAAACATGTTTGCCAAGAAACATGCAGAATCATGTTTGACCAAATATCTGGGCACTGTGGATCAGCCAAATTGACATATAAAATTAACTATTATACAAATGGTCCTTGATTTGTGATGGGATTATGTCCTGATAAACCCATTGTAAACTGAAAACATCATAATTCAAAAATGCATTCAGTACACCTAACCTACTGACTATTGTAGCTCAGTCTAGCCTACCTTAAACATGTTCAGAACTCTTACATTAGCCAAAATCATCTAACACAAAGCCTATTTTATAATAAATTGTTGGATATTTATTATATCCAACAATATATTGTTGGATATATTATTATTATTATATATTTATAATAAATTGTTGGATATAATGAATTGTTGGATCACAGAGTGGGGTGAAATAATCTAACACAAAGACTATTTTATAATAAAGTATGGAATATCTTATGTAATTTATTGAATAGTGTACTGAAACAAAATGGTTGTATAGGTATAGTTTCTGTTGAAGGCCTCTCACTTTTGCACCAAGTTAAAGTTGAAAAATTGTAAGTTGAACCATGGTAAATCAAGCACGATTTGTACCTTGTTTTTTTTTTTTTTTTTTTTTTGAGACAGGGTCCCGCTCTGTTGCTCAGGCTGGAGTGCGGTGGCATGGCCATGGCTCACTGCAGCCTTGACCTCCCAGACTCAATCAGTCCTCCTGTCTCAGCCTCCTGAGTAGCTGGGACTACAGGCGTGCACTACCACACCTGGCTAATTTTCTTTTTTCTTTTCTTTTCTTTTCTTTCCCTCCCTCCCTCCCTCCCTCCCTCCCTCCCTCCCTCCCTTCCTTCCTTCCTTCCTTTCTTTCCTTTCTTTCTTTCGAGATGGGGGTCTCCCTATGTTGCCCAAGCTGGTCTCAAACTCCAGGGCTCAAGTAATCCTCCCACCTTGACCTCCCAAATTGGTGAGATTATAGGTGTGAGTCACTGCGCTCGTCCATTTGTACCTTTAAAAATCTTTTTACTTTACTTTCTGGGAAATTTTGTCAGTTTATCTAACACTTAGGTTTATTTTACAAATCTCTTCAGGTTTTCACTTTTCAGCCTTCATTTTTCATGTTTGGGGCTTTTCTAAAATGTCCTGTGATCCTTGGTTGTCCATTTGTATTTAAAAGTTGGGCTCCGTATGTCCATCATAGTGCTATTCACAGGAGCGAAGACATGAGATCAACCCAGGTGCCCGTCAGTGGTGGATTGGATAAGGAAAATGTGGTATATATTCACCATGGAATACTACACAGCCATAAAAAAGGACAAAATAATATCCTTTGAGGCAACATGGTTGCAGCTGGAAACGATTATTCTAAGTGAATTAACGCAGAAACAGAAAACCAAATAACACATGTTCTCGCTTATAAATAGGTGCTAAACATTGGATACACATGGTCATAAATATGGGAACAATAGACACCATTTTTACAGACAGTTTGTCAAAAAGAAAGCCAAAAATATATTAGATTTGACCATTTATATTGTTTTTCTTTTTTGGCATAGTTTCTTTTTTTAATAAAACAAGTAATTTAGTATAAACTATTCTCCCAAGAGGTAACATATAGTAAAAACTTGATTCACCACTGCTTCATGAAATGGCTTTTCATTACTTCCTCATATAGTCATAAATCTGTAACTTTTTCTGTAGTTCTCAATTTTTTTTTTTTTTTTTTTGAGATGGAGTCTCGCTCTGTCTCCCAGGCTGGAGTGCAGTGGCGCGATCTCGGCTCACTGCAAGCTCTGCCTCCTGGGTTCATGCCATTCTCCTGCCTCAGCCTCCTGAGTGGCTGGGACTACAGGCTCCCGCCACCACACCCGGCTAATTTTTTTGTATTTTTAGTAGAGACGGGGTTTCACTGTGTTATCCAGGATGGTCTCGATCTCCTGACCTTGTGATCTGCCCGCCTCGGCCTCCCAAAGTGCTAGGATTACAGTTGTGAGCCACTGCACCCGGCCTATAGTTCTCAATTTTTAAATCAACCCCCTGAACCCCAATAAGTTATCTCTACCAATTAATGACTCAGAAGAAAAGGTTGGGCTCTGTAAAGCTAGTGCGAACTCTGTGTGCGTGGGTGAAGCTTATTACTGTGGAGTGAGCAGACATGGTGGGGGGTCCTCTAATGTCAGCATCTTTTAGTCTTTCTTGTTGGACATCCAGATTCTTCTAATCTTTTAGCCTCTCTATAAGCATTCTGGGAGCTGAACTGAGGAAGAAGTCTCTATATTCAATCTGTAGACTTTTACTTATTTTCTTCATTTTAGTATTTTGTCCCCACCCTCAACCGTAGCTTGGATTCTTCATCGCAGAGAACCTCTCTTTGACTCTGCAGAAAATAAGCCAAAGTCATTTGCTGGAGTAGGAGAGGGGTGGTTGGTTGGCTGTGTAGAGTGTAGTAAAATATCTGGAGGTTCATTTTCTTAAATCTACTTTCAGTTATTCCTTGGTGTTCAGTTCCACCTTCAAACTTATCTCCAGAGATGTACCTGATGCCACCTATTCCTAAACCCTTTGAAGATTTTTGTTGTGTAAATCAGGTTGTTTTCTTGGCTTTTTCCACTTCTGGTTGGGGATTCAGGTTTCTCAAGTTGGTTCATGTTCATCCATATACTTTCTAGCTTCCAAAGTTTTGTTGCTGTTGTCTTCATTCCCATTCCTTTTCTTCTTGTTGCTTATGCCTTAAAAAATCCCTTTACGGTGTATTTAGTAGATTTTGAGAGAGTGTATATGTAGGTTAATGCATGCATTCGGTGTGTCAGCTTTTATTTCTTAAAACCTATTGTGGGCTGGGCATGGTGGCTCATGCCTGTAATCCTAGCGCTTTGGGAGGCAGAGGTGGGCAGATCACGAGGTCAGGAGATCAAGACCATCCTGGCTAACACGGTGAAACCCCGTCTCTACTAAAAATACAAAAAATTAGCCGGGCATGGTGGTACACACCTGTAGTCCCAGTTACTTGGGAGGCTGAGGCAGGAGAATTGCTTGAACCTGGGAGGCGGAGGTTGCAGTGAGCCGAGATCATGCCACTGCACTCCAGCCTGGGTGACAGAGCGAGACTGCATCTCAAACAAACAAACAAAAAAACCTATTATGGAAATTTCAAACATAGTATTATGAGTCCCCATGAATCCTTTTCTCAGCTCCAAGAACTATCAGTTGTCAACATATGGCCAATCTTTTATATAAATTCCCCTACCTCCTCTGGATTATTTTATAGCAAATCACAGACCTCACATTATTTCATCTATAAATTATTCAGTGTGTCACATTAAAAGGTAAAGATTTTTTTCTAAAAGCATAACTGCAATAGCATTATCAAACCCAAAACAACCCTAATAAATCCTTAATATCAAGTATCCTTTGAATGTTTAAATTTCCACAATTTTATCATAAACATATTTTACAGTTGGTTTATTAAAATAAGTACCAATATCCAAAGTTTATTAAAATAGTCAAAGATTCTAATAGACATTTCACTGAAGAAGATCTACAAATGGCTAATAAACACATGAAAATATGCTCAACATAAATAGTCATTAGACAAATGCAAATTAAAATCACAACGAGGGCCGGGCATGGTGGCTCACACCTGTTATCCTGGCATTTTGGGAGTCAGAATCAGATGGATTGCTTGAGCCCAGGAGTTCAAGACCAGCCTGGGCAACATAGCAAGACTCTGTCTCTATTTTAAAAAAATCACAATGAGATATAAACAACCTCTATATAGTACACACTGCACACACACAAACACACACACACATACACACACACTCTCAATTGTTTATAATTTAAAAAGTTAGCAATAATAAATTTTGGCATTGATATGGAGAACGTGGAACCTTCATTGCTGGTAAGAATATAAAATGGTGCAACCACTTTGGAAAACTGCTTTCACAGTTTCCTGAAGTTTAAACATAGACCTACTACTACATGATTCCACTTCTATATTCAAGAAGTTTTAGGAGTGATCTATTGATGCACGCTACAAAATGAATAAACTTCAAAAACATTATGCTTCTTTAAAGGAGTCAGATGCAAGACTACGTGTTGTGTGATTCCACTTAAGTGTAATGTCCATAAAAGTCAAAGCAATAAAAGCAGAAAGTAGAAGAATGGTTTCCTATGGTGGGCACTGTATTTTTAAATCTATAGGTTTCCCCTTTCCCTTTTGTCTTTTGTTTTTTTCAATGAACACCTTATCTTCTTTTGTCCTTGGCTTTTTCTTGGCTCACCTAGTGCTAACTTCTGTACTGCTTGCTCTCCACAGCCACTAAAGGAAGCTTCCCTATCTCTGGTCACATCTTCTCTTTATAGCTTGCTTATTCAACTGTTTAATTGGGTTGTGTAAAGGCTAACTCAGAAAATGTATGTGAATAATTTAGCATGGTTTCTAGTACATAGTCTGTGTTTAAATAATGGTATCTAGCATTAGGGTCCCCTGGAGAAATTGAAACAAGAGAATACACACACACACACACACACACACACACACACACACACACACACACACACACACCATGAATGCGAGTGAGAAAGAGACTTATTTTAAGGAATACGCTCATGTGATTATGGGAGCTGGCAAGTTCACAATCTGTAAGGCAAGCTGGGAGCCTGGAAATTCAGGAAAGAGTTGATGTTGCAGTCCTGTCTGAAATCTACAGCACATGCCAGGCAGGCTGGAAAGCCAGGTAGAGTTTCAGTGTTGCATTTGGGAAGCAGAATTCCTTCCTCTTCTGGAAACCTTAGCCTTTGCTCTTAAGATTTTGACTGATTGTATGAGCCTCATCTACATTAGGGAGGGTAATCTAATTTACTAAAAGTCTACTGATTTAAATGTTAATTACATTTAAAAATACCCTCACAGCAACATGGAGGCTATGTTTGACCAAACAACTGGGCACCATAGCCTAGTCAAGTTGACACACAAAATTAACCATCACGGTATCTATTATAATTATCTCTCCAAGTTTGATTTTCTTCACCTAACTCTGAGTTAATCAGCGACCATGCTTTTCATAGGACTGGGGGAGAAGAGCTCAAAGAAAGGACATTCAGCAGAAATCAGGCTCTCATGTGCCAGTCCAGTGGTTTTCAACTATGACAGTTCTCAGCCTGGAGTTCACATTGGAATCACCTGGGGAGGTTTTAAGCTGCTAGATGAATGGGCCCACCTAGAAGCTTATTAAAATACAGTGTGAGCCCCACTGTGAGTATGATTCTGGAAGAGCTAAAGATGTACCACGATTCCAGCCTAATATTTAGGTTCTAGTTTTAATATGCTTCTTAAGCTACTAAAATATTTTAAAAAGATTGTAGATTCTATTAATTGACTTTGTTACTAGGTTTTCATCTTTTAACATGCCATGACATTATGAAAAAGTGAGCACAAACTTATATTTCCCTTTGTTATTTCTGAAGGGAAATGTTGGTGTTTTGTTAAGTATTCTACCTTTAGTGTGGAATTTCTCAGCATTCAGACTCATATGGATTTGGGGAAAATGAGTTTTTAAAATGTTCATAGACCTTTCTTAGTTGACATTTGCATTTAGAATTTATAGTGTTAGAAAAATGATGGGTGATTGATTTGGAATCTTTAAGCAAAAAGGTCTCTTGTAATAAGAAATACCCGAAGTTGGTGACATATATGCAAAAAAAGATGCATTTTTCTAAACTTAACTTCTTAGAGATATAAATGTTCTGGGTGCTCTGGATTATTGTGGACAAGAGCATAAAAGCCCAAGGTCAGCTCCCATACTTTGACATTTGTTAGGTTGGAGATCTTGGATAATTATGTTACTTACCTTTCCAGCAGTCAGTTTCCTTGTTTTTAAAACAAGGGTCACACAGCCATCTCACATGGTTTGTCACAGGGATGAAAACAAAGAGCTATATTATATAAGATGCTTGGTACGGAGTAATAGTGCTTCCTCCATAAAGTGAATATGATTATGTGGCTGATGGGAGGATCTACTGGCAATGATTAAAACCAACATTCACTTCTCACCATGATAATTCTTGCACATAATTATAAAGTAAATTCCTTTTTAATAAGTACATAAATTTTGTGTGGAAAATCAGTCTCTAGTTGTGTGTGTGTGTGTGTGTGTGTGTGTGTGTTTTGGCGAAGGTGAGCCATTTTTCCAGGGTTGGAATTTTAGGGTTAAGAGATCAGATTTTGTACTCCCTGCTGAAACCACTGAGATATTGTTTTATTGAAAGAGATACAATTTGAAACAAATAGTTATTGTTGTCCCTTATGTAACCATACTTAAGACCTGGACTTCAAGCCTGTCCAATAATACATTTAGAATGAGGAAATTCTTCTTTCCTTACCTTAATATCGCAAATTAGTTTAGTGAGGCCCACAGACTGCCCTGCAAAAAGTGATCAGGGGACTCTGATGTAGTGAATCCCATTTATGTTAGTGAAAGTAGTCTTTAATAAGTACTTATAGTCTGTAGTTTTAGTTGGCCGATCTTTTTTCTCTTTGCCTACATATTTCTATGCAGTGCAGGTAAGGCACTTAAAAGTGTATTTCTGGTAGTGGCTTTCTAAAGGAATATTAAGGGTCAGTAGCCCTTGCTATCTCCACTTGTTTTCTGTTCTGTCTGTTACTGGTTTTAGGAAAGGAATGGCCCACTTTGAGGAAGAACCCTTTTTGTTTGATTTATTACCTAGGGCAATACATATTTTGTCTTTGTGTGTGTGAGTGTCTAACAAAAAGGCACTTTTCTGTGCCTTCCTTTGTGAAGCTACGTTAGTTAGGTCATTTTAGTTTCAAGGAGCAGAGCCTTCATCTATTCATCTAAAGAAAAAATATTTATTGTAAAGAGACATTTGGACTGGAACTGGAAGTTGTCTGGGTCTTATAAAGCTCTGGGAATTATTCCCCTGTTACTTCCTCTCTCAGGTCATATAGCATGTAATAAATAGACAGTCATTAATATTTGTGGAGTGAACAAATGAATGGCTTTTCCATCTTGTTACTTCTATGTCTCTTTCTACGTCTGCTTCCATTACCCTTTTGTTATTAACCAGTCTGTCTCTGTTTCTTGGATGAATTCTGAAGGGAGCAGATATGCTGTTTTTCACTATTTGAGCCCATTGTATTAGACTATGCCAAACTACAGACAGGTCATACTTGTGTCATACCTACTTTGGGCTACTCAGTGACCACCATTCTGTACCTGGTTTTCTGGTCATGGAGGTTGTGTTAACCTAGACCGAGGTACTGGGAATAGTAGGCATGGGGACTAATCTGTCCACTATGGAAGTTTAACTGCAGCTTAAATTAACAGGGAAGTGGATTAGGAAAAAGGAGGAAAAGAGAAATTAACATCAAGTGGCTATTCATTGTAGAATACATTATTAGACCTTTAATGTATTATTTAACCTCGTACTAGTACTGTATCATAGATTTAATGTTCTGATTTTAAATGTGGGAAAAGTCATCTTAGTGATATACAATAATCTTCTGCAAAGTCACTCTGTGTGTATATGGTAGAGTCTGGGAAGTAAACCTAAATGTTTGCCTCCACATGTCTTCTATTATTCAACCATACTGATCCAGGAGTGCTCTATCATGATGCCGCTGGAAATATAATACAAGCTACATATATAATTTAAAAATCTGTAGTAACTACACTTTGAAACGTGAAAAGAAACAGATGATATTAATTTTAATAATGATTTTATTTAATCCAACCCATAGTCATTTCAACATGTATTCAGTATAAACAAATAATGAGAATTTTACATTCTTTATCTTGTACCAAGTATTGAAATCTGGTGTGTATTTTACACTTACAGCACTTCTTGATTTGGATTAGCCACGTTTGAAGTGCTCTGTAGCTACATGTGGCTCAGTGGTTACCATATTGGACAGTGCGGCATTGCAGTATTAATACCTGTCCCATCGTTTATTAGTGCTGCGATCTTCATTGAGCCTTTCACTGTTTCAGTTACTGACCCATCAAGGAGGGTGGGATATTAATACCCCACGTACCTACACTGTAGGATGCTACATTAGATCATTTCTACAAGGCCAGGTTGAAAGATACAAGATAGCTTTCTGGGGATTTGCTTTGGCAAGTATCCGTAATTGAGTTCCAACTAATTATTAATGTTGCTGGTTGTTCTAGAGGAATTTTTACCATTATGCATAAGGTAATCTATAAGTCATGCTCTGAGTTTCTTAAATGTCACATCTGTAACATTTTTGACAGCTTATATAAGAGGGAAAAAGGTTTGGTTCTTAAGTGCTTTTCTGCATGTAAGTCTGGATGTATGCCCAACAGTTAGTAGACTCATATGTAGATGTATTGATTCTTCAACTAATTTGTTAATTTGACTTGTGGATATACAGTAGGTCTGTCACATCTTATTTTTGTCAGGTTCAATTAGTGTTAATGACTACAAATGAGGAAAAGTTAGTAAACAGGTATGTCAACCAAGGCATAATCTATTATTTGTTATCTTTTGATGGACATTTGCTAAGAAACTTTGTTGATGGTATGCATAGTATATACACATACATACATATATATGTATGTGTATATATACAGGGTGAGGAAGATAAAAACATTAAGATACATGTGTCTATACATATAAATAGTGAGAAAGGTAAAGATATTAAGAAAGAATTAATTACACAATAGGAAATGCCATTGTGTTTTTGCACATTTGTTTAAAAATATGTACAGAATATTCACCAGTGTTTCAGACACTTTGTACTGCTTGTATTCTGATAACAATTTCTTCCCTCACAGAGCTTACCATTTCATGAAAGAGACAGACATTAAATAAAATTATTTACCTATAGATGTACTCACTAATCATCAGGGAAATGCAAATTAAAACTGCAGTGAGATACCAACTTACCCAAGCCAGAATGGCCATTATTTAAGAATCAAAAAACAAAGATGTTGGCGTGAATGTGGTGAAAAGGGAATGCTTGTGCACTGCTGGTGGGAATGTAAGTTAGTACAACCTCTCTATAAAAAAAATACATGTGCTTGCATATGTTTATCACAGAACAATTCATAATTGAAAAGATAAGGAACCAACCTAAATGTCCATCAGCTGATGAATGGATACAGAAAATGTGGTATATATACACCATGGAATACTACTCAGCCATAAAATAAAGAATGAAATAATGTCCATTGTAGCAACTTGGATGGAACTGGGGGCCATTATTCTAAGTGAAGTAACACAGGAATGGAAAACCAAATACCATATGTTCTCACTTATAAGTGGGAGCTAAGCTATGGGCGTGCAAAGGCATACAGAGTGATATAATGAACATTGAAGACTCAGAAATAAGGAGAGTAGAAGAGGGGTAAGGGATAAAAAAACTACATACTGGATACAATGGACACTGCTCGGGTGGCAGGTACACTAAAACTTCAGACTTCACCACTACAAAATTCAGCCAGGTAACCAAAAACTACTTGTACGCCTAAGCTCTTGAAATAAAAAAAAAGACCGGGCGCGGTGGCTCAAGCCTGTAATCCCAGCACTTTGGGAGGCCCAGGCGGGCGGATCACGAGGTCAGGAGATTGAGACCATCCTGGCTAACATGGTGAAACCCCGTCTCTACCAAAAATACACAAAAAAATTAGCTGGGCATGGTAGCAGGTGCCTATAGTCCCAGCTACTCGGGAGGCTGAAGCAGGAGAATGGCAGGAACCCGGGAGGCAGAGCTTGCAGTGAGCCAAGATCGGGCCACTGCACTCCAGCCTGGGTGACTCTGTCTCAAAAAAAAAAAAAAAAAAGGACATGAGAAGTGTTATGAAATAAGAGTACACTGGGCAGTAAAGGCATAGCTGAGGCCCTGATTTAAAATGTGAGTTAGGAGAAGCTTTTATGAAAAAATAACGTTTAAGCTGAGACCTGAAAATCAAATAGCATTTAGCCAAGCAAAGTAGGGAAGAGAGGATGGGAAGAAACATTTCAGAAGAAATAGAATGTGAAAAGGCAGGATCTTGAAACCTTTAAAAAACTTTTTTATAAAGACCTATGAGATATAAATACTATATTTTTCATTTTAAAAATTGGGGGAACCAAAGCTCTATATTAAGTGATTTGTCTAAGATCACATTAAATAGTGATGGTAATATGGGATCCTAAGTTGTTGCTGTCTTTGTTTTTTTTTTTAAATAGGTAAATTTGTTTTAAAATTTAAAAACGTTAAAATGCAATAAAATTTACTGTTTTTGGTGTACAGGTCTATGAGTTTGGACAAATATGTAATCGTGTAACCACCATCACAATGAACATACTAAAGGGTTCCATTGTCTCTGAAAATGCCTTCAGTCTGCTCTTTTGTAGTCAGCCTTTTCCCTAGCTCTAATCCTTGGCAACCTCTGATCTTTTCTCTGTCCCTGTTTTTTTGCTTTTTCCAGAATGTCATATAAATGGAATTATATGGTATATAGTGTTTTACATCTGTCATCTTTGACTTTACATAGTGCATTTGTGATTCACCCATGTTGTTGTGTGTATCAATAGTTCATTTTTACTGGAGAGTGGTATTCTGTTGTATGAATGTGCCACAATTAGTTTTGTTCCATCCATTCACCAGTTTAAGGACATATGCATTTTTTATTTATGAATAAAGCTACTGTAAATATTCATGTACAGGTGCTTTTGTGAAACAAATACTCATTCCTTTTAGGCAAATAACTAAGAGTGGAATTACTGGGTCATAAGTTA